>NC_000002.12:105974466-106277496 GCF_000001405.40 Homo sapiens
TCAGCTCATGGTCATACCCTTAATGATGAAATTACCAAAAACTGCGATGCTATTTAGAATCTTGATCTGGGGTGTTCCATTCTCCAGTAACCCCAGCTTATCTTTCCCATGCACTCCTCTCTTTCTCCAATTCCATTAACTTTTTAATCCCTTTCAAACTTACAACCCACACACACCTTCTACCACTTAGACACCCCTTCTAACCCATGGTCCCACCATCTTTTCTCCCTCTCCCCGGCCTCACTTCCCTCTTCCCCAGCCCTGATGGGCCGTAGTGCCAATCATTTTCCCATTCTTGTGTTAGCCTCTGTCCCTTTGTCTCTTTCTCAATTTGTCTCATTCAGCTAAATCCCAACCCTGGTTAAATCTGACCTCCCACCTCCTCTGTACCTGAGCCCAGAAGGTTAAATTCACTGGTCTCTGCCTCTGCCTTACCTTCCTACAGTCTGTGGTCACCTGCAGGCACAGTGATCTTTTTGAAGCTGAAGTCAGATCATGTTGTTTCTCTGTTCTGTATTCCTCAATGGTGTTTCATCTCTCTCAGAGTAAAATACAAGACTCTTCAAATGCCTCCCCTTTCCTGCCACCCAACACCTCTCTGACTCTCTCTTCCTGTTCCTTCCCCTCTGCCTTCTCTGCTCCAGGCATGCCAGCCTTGTAACTGGTCCTTGAACTCACCAGATGTGTCTGCCCCAGGACATTTGTACCTGTGGGTCCTGCTGCCTGGAATGATTTTTGCCCTGGGTATTCACATGGTTTGCTCCTTCAGGTCTTTGCTCAAATGTTACCGTCTTAGTGCTGCCTTTCATAATCATTCTATTCAAAACTAATCCTCTCTCACTCTGCCTTTCCTTCTCCTTCTCCCTGCTTAATTTCCCCAGAACATTTAGTTTCTTCTCATATCTTACATAATTTTTCATTTATTAGGCTTATTGCTTTTCTCTCCAGATAAGTATGTAAGCTCTATAATGTCTGATTGTTTTGTTATTATATCCCCAGTGTGCAGCACACATAAGTATCTGCTAAATGAATATTTCAAAATTATATAAACATATATATGCATACACACATGAACAAAATGCTAGAATATTATACTCTTGTGTAAGAATTTATGCTTTATATATGTAATACTTAAAATGTGAACAAACATGTAATACTTCTATGGTCTAAAAAATCAAGAAAATTAAAAACAAATATTTTCATGGGCTGCACCAGCTCCCTTGTTCCCTGCAATTCATATGGGGCTTCCCCAAAGAATGTGCACTCCCACAGGCTGCCTTAACAGAGGCCTGTCTCCCCATACAGGCCTGGGACCTCCAGCCTGCCCAGATCCACAGAGAAGCCCCTGGCTCCTTGCCTGAAGGGTTTGACCTGGAGAGGGAGGGGGCAGTTGAATCCAGGATGAGATCTCCTTGCATGGGCAAGCCCCAGAAAGAACCCTCATGTTCCCCTCTGGAGAGTTGAATGAAGAACAGTCTCTTCAGCACCTGTGCCTTGGGAAGATGGTTTTGTTTGTTTGTTTGTTTGTTTTTGTTTTTGCTTTAGATGGAGTCTCGCTCTTTCACCCAGGCTGGTGCAGTCTGGGCTCACTGCAACTTCCTCCTCCCAAATTCAAGTGATGTTCGTGTCTCAGCCATTCCAGTTACTGAGACTACAGTTGCGCGCCACCACACTCGGCTAATTTTTTGTATTTTTAGTAGAGACGGGGTTTCACCATGTTGTCCAGGCGGGTCTCAAACTCCTGACCTCGGGTGATCTGCCCACCTCGGCCTCCCAAAGTGCTGGGACTACAGACATGAGCCACCACGCCCAGCCAGGGAGACTCTTATGTTGCATGTTCCGATGCAACACTTTGATGCAGGACTAGCCAGAACTTTTGTACTCAAAAGTAAAAGGTGCACACAGTGGCTGGGCACGGTGGCTAACACCTGTAATCCCCCAGCACTCTGGGAGGCCGAGGCAGGCAGATCACGGGGTCAAGAGATTGAAACCATCCTGGCCAACATACTGAAACCCCATCTCTACGAAAAATACAAAAATTAGCTGGGCATGGTGGTGCGCACCTGTAGTCCCAGCTATTCAGGAGGCTGAGGTGGAAGAATCGCTTGAACCCAGGAGGTGGAGATTGCAGTGAGCCAAGATCCCGCCACTGCACTCCAGCCTGGCAACAGAGTGAGACTCCGTCTCAAAAAAAAAAAAAAAAGTGCACACAGTTGTGCCACTGTCAGGATGGCTCTCTCCAACAATAAGTTGATCCCATATTAACTTCAGATGCACAAGTCAGACTGCAGAGTTGGGAGTGTCCTGCTGCTATGGGAGAAAATTAGGTATCCACTAGGCCTCCTTGCCATGTGAAGTCCTCAGAGAGCATTGCCTTCTGGCAGTAAAGTGGAGAAAATAGCTTACGGCTATATTTAAAAGGTGAATTGTTACATTAAAATTATGTGTACAACATTCACAGGAGGAAGCAGTCCAGCCCCTTGATATTAGTAGTGGGTCTATCTGAGACAAGCTCTGAGCAGACTCGAGGACCTGCTGGGGGCCTGCTGTGGGGGGTTGGCAGTAAAGCAGGTGTCAGCAATTAGCATGATTGCCACCTGGCCTGTAAGGATCTCCACTTTCCATAGTGTCTTTGTGTGTCACCTCCCATGCTGTACCAAGTCATGTCACTTCTTTCTGTCTTGCCCTCACTCTCCTCTGCCCCTTGGAATATGCTTTCTGGAGGACATCAGCCTCCATGTCATGTTCAGCCCTATAGAGAGGCCTGCGTGGCAAGGAACTGAAGCTTCCTACCAGCAAGTATGTGATCCCCAGCCCCGGTCAAGCACTCAGATGCTACAGCTCCAGCTATAGCTTGATTGCAATCTTATCAGAGACCCTGAGCCAGCACCACCCACAAAAGCCACTCCCAGATTCCTGACTCAGAAACCTTGTAATAAAAACAGTCGTTATCTCTAGATACTCTGTGTTGAGGTTACTCAGCAAGAGATGACTAATAATAATTTTGGTATGTGGAAGTAGAGCACTGCTACAACACATACCTAAAACATGAGTGTCTTTAGAACCAAGCAGTGGGCACTAGCTGGGAGGCCTTACGGAAAGCATTCACGAAAGCCTAAATTGCTTGGGACAGGCTGTCAGTAGCATTTGAATTTGAGGAGGTGACTGATAGGGGCATAAAGGAAAGTGAGGAAAATTTGATTGGATGTGAGAGAAAATGGGGTCCTTGTTATGTGGTGGTAGAAAACTGAGCAACACCACTGCATGCAGTAATTCAGGAGTTAGGAGATGATTTAATAAACTGGGTGATCTAGCCAAGGATGTTGTTCAAGGCAGAGAGTTGAAGGTACTGCCTGGTGTCTTCTTATTGCTTATGGTAAAATATGAGAGAAGAGAGATACACTGAAGAGAAAGGAGTCAAAATTTGCTGTTTTTGAAGATTCCCAGCCTCTTCAGATGGCAATTGATGCTACAATTAAGAAATGGCTTCTGAGCAAAGATCAAACACAGGAAACTCTCAGCAAAGCATAGTTCAGAGATGAAGCCAAGTGTGTGACTGAAAAATCCTTTGTTAAGACCTCAGAATGATCAAAGATTGTGCCTCTGAATACCATTAAGCCAGACAAAAGGCCCTCTAAAATTTTAAATGTATGCTTCACAGATCCTCTCCATTACACAAGAGAGCTTCTACGATGCTTAAGGAAGCTGTTCCTCAGCAGAAATCCAAAATGGAGAAGGACTTACATCGAAGAGAATTGGGGGTGTCACTTTTGTCTAATGGAGTAAACCCCAGTGAGATTCACATGAGACCCACAATGTTTTTAAGAGACTTACATCACCAGAAACACCTCTAGCTTGGACTGACACAGACAGTTCACAAAGAAGAGAGAACTTCGGATCTCTTAAGCAGAAGAAGCTGAAAAACCCATACATAGTACCTGTCATGAAAAAAAATAGATGACTCAGAGGTGGGTCCAAGAGCCCAGAAAATGGAATTAAGAGCTATGAAGCTATTGCTGGGCAGTGTAGGACTGAGTCCTGAGAAAGGGACTCCCACCATTGCCCAGAGGGACTGCTATGGACAATGACTCCCTTTTGCTCCCATTTTCCCTCTTTCAAAACAAGAATGTTTATACAGTTATTCCCTGCCTGTTACACCAATGTCAGGTGTGTGCAGGACAGACAGATATCTTGTCTTCTTATGTCACAGGTTTTCAGATTGAGAATTATGTCTGAGGAACTACACCTGAGGAACTTCTTCAACACTTGGATCTGATTTTGAGAGTAAGATTTCAGACTTTGAGCTGATTCTGTAATGGGGATAAGATTTTGCTGGGGGAGCAAGGGGGAAGATCTAGGTAGGGCTGGTGTGTCTATCATGCAGAGGAACATGAATCACTGGTGGCCAAAGCATGGGCTGTGGTTGCCAGTCTCTAGGATGACCCCTCCCACGTGTCAGGGTCAGTCTGTGTGAGCAGAAGACAACAGAAGTGATGGTATGTTACTTCTTTTTTTTTTTTTTTTTTTTTTTTTTTTTTTTTGAGACTGTTTCTCACTCTGTTGCCCAGGCCAGAGTGCACTGGCACAATCTTGGCTCATTGCAACCTCCACCTCCTGGGTTCAAGTGATTCTCCTGCCTCTGTAGCAGGATGAGCCACAGACAAAACCCCTCAGACACCGAGTTAAAGAAGGAAGGGCTTTATTCGGCCAGGAGCATCGGCGAGACTCAAATCTCAAAAACCGAGCTCCCCGAGTGAGCAATTCATGTCCCTTTTAAGGGCTTACAACTCTAAGGGAGTCCATGTGAGAGGGTTGTGATCGATCGAGCAAGCAGGGGGTACATGACTGGGGGCTGCATGCACTGGTAATTAGAATGGAACAGAACAGGACAGGGATTTTCACAATGATTTTCCATACAATGTCTGGAATCTATAGATAACAGAACCAGTTAGGTCAGGGGTCAATCTTTAAGCAGGCCTAGGGTGTGGCACCAGGCTGTCTGCCTGTGGATATCATTTCTGCCTTTTAGTTTTTTTACTTCTTCTTTCTTTGGAGGCAGAAATTGGGCATAAGACAATATGAGGGGTGGTCTCCTCTCTTATTCCCCCCCTTTGAGAACCTCGCTCATTAGTGGGAGTTCTCACTTTTATTTTCACTACCCGTGTCTTCTTGCAATACAGATCGATAGTGATTCATATAGTACACTTGTGCTGAAGCATTTTGGTGAACTAAGGTAGTGATTAAACTTTTTATCATTTGAAGAAGTACAGGTAGCAAACAAGGGAGCAGTAAACAGTTTCCTATTACTATTATAACTCTTATTATAAGAGGTTTAAATCTTCTTAGCCGTGGGAACCATTTTCCAAACATGGCCCCAGGATCAAATCCATGCCACACTTGCACGGGCATGTGTGCCAATTTTGTCATATCTCTAACTATGTCTTCAACTCTTTGCCCTTGATTACCTATGTGTAGACAGCAATTAGTAAGGTTAAATTTCTGACAGACCCCTCCTTTAGCTGCTAGCAAGTAGTCGAAAGCCAATCTATTTTGATAGATAGCATTTCTCATCTGAGTTTCTTGCTGGGCCAGAATAGTCAAGGCTCTGCTGGTCTTATTAGTGATTATTTCTAAGACAGCTTGCAACCATATGATTTGGTTGAGCATGTAAATGGGGGTCCGGTATCCCCACAAGCCATCTTGTGGCCAAGTAGCAGGCCTATGACATTGTATGATTCTCTCAGGGGGCCTTTTATCATCTTTCCAATTTCCTATAGCTATGCTTCTCTTTTCACAGGAAGCATAGACAGGGAAGCTCAGGAGTTCGCCTGTCTTTATGGGCAGTGGGAAGAAAGACGATTTAATAGTGCCAATTGGCCCACTGGTCAGGTAATTTGGCATAAGCTCTATGCCCACATATCCAGTATAATCCAGTGGGGGCTGTCGAGTCCTGGTGGGACTCCGGGTGGGTCCACACAGTTTTCAACTTTGGGAATTTACTAAAAGGATTTTTCTTAGTGTGGTTTGAACTCCACTAGGAGGCTGTTTTTGTAGTACTATTGTACAGTTTTTGCCCAAGGCAGCTGAGTCTTCCTACAGGAAGTGTGAAGTCCTTCCCCACTCTTGCTATACAGTATTGTCTAATGATTGAGGCTTTAAGACCCAGAAGTTATCAGGGTGATTATTTTGAGCCAGGAATTCATCAGGAACTGGGTCTGTAGGTACTAATTCTCGGGCTTCCCATGGCCAGTGATCTCCCATTACAGTTTCTGCACATACATAACATGATGTGACATTGAGAGACTGGGCTACATGCTCGGCTAATTGCAAAAACAAATTTGTTTTTCCTGGAATTTCTGGTACTGGCACATTCAGTTCATCATAGAAGGTTTAAAATACTAGCTCAGGAGAGCGTTTATAGACTTCTCAAACCAAGATATTTACTTGAGGATCCAGTCTGGCCCCATCGATTCCTAAGGTCACACTCTCCCCTTTTTTCCAGCGAGGATCAAGGGGATTCGTTAGTACTAGCTCTAAGGGGTTACATTTTTGTTTAGTACAGGAAGGGCCATTTTTTCCTTTCTGAAGGTGGACTGGATCCTTTTCATTTTTTATCCAAGTGGCCCAAATGACACAACAGGAGTATCCACATTCATTTTTCCACAGTCCTAATTCATGACAAATGTACTTATTTTCGGTCATGTAGTCTTTCCTAGTTAAAAGAGTCATATCCCCTTCCTAACTTTTTGCTATTAATTACAGTGCAGGCATCAAATTTCAAGGTGACTTGTTTGGGCACCCCTTTTTCTTCTGTTTTGACTAACACTTTACTCATACCATTTATGAGCCCCCACCAGTCCTCAGCCTTTAATTTTATTTCAAAAACTGTGGTCATGGGAGGCTCAGATAGGTCATAACACACATCAGGTTGGTCATTTCCTGGGCTACATATCTTGTATAGAATAGCATTATACAAACAAGTTCTTTTTAGAGTCCCAGTACACCTATAATAACCATAAAATAATAGGACTGTAGCAACTTTTTGTCCTACCTCAGTGACTTGATGTATACACTGGGAACAGTCCTCAGTCTGAGGAAGGTCAGTTGAAGTCCTGACTGTACAAGCCCTAATTTTAAGGAACATGAGTCCCGCGATGAGTTTCCTCATGCTTTGGCCGTGCGTGGACCAGTCAGCTTCCGGGTGTGACTTGAGCAGGGCTTGTTGTCTTCTTCAGAGTCACTTTGCAAGGGTTGGAGAAGCTGCTCCCATCCACGTACAGCTCCCAGTCTACTGATGTTCCAGGATGGTCTCAGAGGTTGGGCCTACTAGAATAAACTGAGTCCAATACCTCTACACAGTTATGTTCAACTGGGCTCTCTGATACCAGGAGCAAGGTGGCAGGGTTTAGAATGTTGCAAACTTCAATGGTTATGTGGGGATCTTCACATAGCAAGCTTTGGTACTTGGTTAATCTAGCATTTGTTAGCCAATGATGTCCTTTGGTATTCATCAAAGTTACCACAGCATGGGGGACCTTTATATTCAGGTTTTGCCCAAGCGTTAGTTTATCTGCTTCTTGTGCTAACAGAGTCATTGCTGTCGGGGCCCTTAGACATAGGGGCCAGCCTCTATGTCTAAAACAACTAGAAACCCCGTCTAGTTGTTTTGAGAGATAGGCCACTGGCCTTGGCCAGGGCCCCACAGTCTGGGTTAAAACTCCAACTGCCATTTCTTCTCTTTCTGACACATAGAGTGTAAAGGGTTTTGTCAGGTCAGGTAGCTCCAGGGCTGGGGCCGACATGAGTTTTTCTTTTAACTCATGAAAAGCTCATTGCTGTTGGTTGTAATAGATGTAGTTTATCTAATCTACATTTTTATTAACTGTCACCCACCAAAATATTGACTCAAATCCTGCAGCTATTTGATTTCAAGTTTTAAATTGATCTGGTATTCCCTGTGGGACTCCAATTGCGTCTCAATAGACTTGAGAGTCGAAAGACCCATAAGGGGCTTCTCTCACTTTATGATGCCTTATTTTTCCTCCCTCTGGTTGATGAAATGCCAGGGTAAAAGGTATAGCCAATTGGACTAAAGCACAAGTGCCACTCCAATTATTTGGCAGAGTGCCCAGTAAAGGTCCACCATAGTGCCACCACACATCCACTTGGGGATGAACAAGGGCTGACTGATTGATAAGCTTTTGAAAATGCTTAAGCTCACTGCATCTCTTCAGGTCTCCAAGGAACGCTAAGTTGCCTCCCTGTCGTGAGAGACACGAAGTGAACTTAGTGTTGGGTGAAAGAGGCTGGATGGCCCTTGGGGGCTGACCTGAAGCGTGCCAGACTTTGGGATATAGCAGGGAGAACTTGGCATGACTTATTACTCCAGGCTGTAGAATCCTGGAAAAGAGCTACCATGCAGCCCATGCCTGGTTGACTGGAGGACCACCTTAGTGGAAAGGGGATAATCTGGGTCTCTGGCCTGCCATGTGCACAAGCATAACAATTGCTTTTGTTTAACATGCAGATGGAGTATTTGATCCATTCCAACCAGGCATTTGCATCTTGGTATCCTGTCTTAATTGCCAAAGTTTGTTTTAAGTCTTTAACTTTTATGATCCTCTAGTAAAATGAATGTATGATTTTAGGAAATTACAAAAACTGTTTGAGGCCATCCATCCTTGCTCTTTAGTGGTCCACAGAACGTTGGACCAACTATGGCATAAAAGCTCTACATTGAGGGGCAAGACTCCTGGTTGACACTGGAGTCTATATCAAAATTTCCCCAGATTAAATGGTCCTAATTTACTAATGCCTAGTCTGAGGAGAGTCAGGAGGGACAAAGGTACTTTTCTGAAGTAGAGAGCTGAATTTGACTTGGCAAGTTCCCACAGGGTGTAACAAGGCAAGCATTAAATGCAATAGTTTGAGGTGAAATTGACTTGGTTATGTTAATAACTAGATGGTCTGCAATAGAGCGAGGAAAGAAGAAAGAGTAATAGAATAGATGAAAGAGTTAATTTTTTTTTAGCTTTAGTTTGGTAGAGTTTTCCCCTGGGACTATGGCCCACGACTCTGGAGGGGGTGGCGCTTTCTTGACTCGGTTGTGATGAGTCCATCCTTTTTTTGCTGTATGAATAGCAGTCTCGGTGGTTAGCAGCACAAGGTAGTGTGCTTCCTAGGCTGGCTCGAGTTTCCTTTCTTTTCACCCTTTGATGAGAATGTGATCTTCAGCTGGTGCTGGTTTACCAGAAATTCTAGGGGTGGTACATGTGCTAAAAGACTTTTAGTTTTGAGGGAAAGGAAAGTGGAAGATAAATCAAGTATATAATTTTTAACCTTTTGTTTTAAATGTGGGGACATCAGAAGTGGACTTTATAGTCCTTGGTGCCTTTCTACTGAGAAATTTCCTTTAGCATCTATCTTTATTAGTTTTTGGACCAAAGAAGACAAACACCATTTTATATATGACAATGCTTCCTGTATGATTTTTATACCAGAAAATCTAAATTTCACCTTTATATTAGTGTGTTATTAATGTTAAACTTAGTTTTAATAAAACCTTGTACACATATTTATTCAATTTTTAATGTTGGACCATAAGGTAAGATTTTTATAAACTCTTTTAACCTTTTATAATCTTTGTTAAAGAGCAGGTTAGTGCTTTAAGCAAAACCCATTGTGTTTTTACTTTAATGTCCAGTTCACAGAAAAACTAGATGACACCCCTTTAACTTTAGCTAATATGTTTACACACAGAATTTTCTTTACAATTAACGTTTTGAAACTTGCTTAAACCTTTAAAACAAAACTTTTTAACTTTTTAATGTAGGTAAAAATTTACATTCTTATGCCTCCTTATAATCCCTTTGCCAAAGGTATATTTTATTTTCCTTATACACCTTGCACATAAACTATTATTTCAATAGTTTTACATTCAGGAGGCCTTGTTGCTTTTAAATTATACAACATTTCTTGCATAAATTCTTTTTATAACCTTTTTTTTCCACAATTTTCACAGATAATTTTTTGACATGCCTCAACTTTCTGACTTGTTGCAAACATCCTTTTTTTTTTTTTTTTTTTTTTTACTTAGAATACTTCTGAACTGGTGAGCTGCACTCACAATGAAGTTTCCTCTAAAAGTTATTTTTCTACTTTCTTCTGTAGGCAAAGGAGTTGCCTCTACAGATTGAATGCATTTGGGCCATCCGCTGGTTACTGGGTTAAGGATTTTTGATAGGAAGGCTGCAGGTTGTGAGTGGCCTCAGTGCTTTCGGGCTATGTCATTGTTTACACTTACAACAAGGTGGTATTGGAGTGTTTTAGGGTCACAGAGAAGACCTTCAATTATCAATTATAGGTTTTAAATTTACCCTAGCTTTTAAATGAATAGGGTACACTTTTTTTAACTACTTGTATATCTTTCTCTTTCTCTCTTTCTCTTTCTCCTTGACTCCCTCTTTGTCTCTCTGTCTCTTCCTCTCTCTCTTTGTCTCTTTTCCTCTCTGTCTCTTTTCTCTCTCTCTCCCTGCTGGTCTTTCCTTGCCTCTGCCAGCCACTTATGCTGCTGTTCTCTCAACCACTGTGGGGCGGGGATGGGGTGTCTAAAACCAGCTGTAACCAAGTGTCTATGTACAGGAACTGGTCTGGGTGCCCTGGCTTACAGGTTACATTGTGCCATACCTTTGAAACAAGGGACCTGTCCAGGCTTCCTTCTGATGGCCAACCTACCTCTAATGCTGGCCAGTCTATTTCACACAAAGCTCTAAGTTTTCCTGGTGTCATAGTAACACCGTAATCTCCCTTAAATCCTTTCTTGAAATTTTTCAACATAGTTCCTGGTGGGGTGGGCTTACTTTGTGCCTGACCCATGCTTCCTCAAGACAAAACACCACACTCACACCATACACACACCACAAAACAAAGAACAGGTAAAAAGGGCACACACACACTTTTACAGTTTATACCAAACCAGAATCAAAACCAAAGTCAGAATATCAAGAAATCCTAGCCAGATCAAAACCAAAACCAAAGTATCAAGCAATCCAAGTCAAGTCAAAAACAAAAACCAAAAACCAAAGTGCCAGTACAGGCATGTTGTGGGTGATCAGGCCACACTTCCACTCAAATGGAGTGGGCAAGTTCCAAAGACGAGTCTTACTGAGTTTCAGATGTCTGGACTCCAAATGCCAGTTCCTTCCCGGTGTTCAGCCACTGCATTGATCTTCTGCAGGGGCCTGCCATGCACCACTCTGGTGAGGCGTTCCACCGGGGCAAATGCATACCCGGGAGCACTCCCAGGATCCACATTGCCCAAACTGGCCAGAGTCTCCTGCAGGGATGCTCCGCGGGGCAGGCCTAAGCTGCCTAAGGGGCTGTCTCAACCATCCATCCATTAATCACCTCGCTTCTCAGTCAGGGAACCAAGAAATGTAGCAGGACAAGCCACAGACAAAACCCCTCAGACACCAAGTTAAAGAAGGAAGGGCTTTGTTTAGCCAGGAGGGTCGGAAAGACTCATGTCTCAAAAACCGAGCTCCCTGAGTGAGCAATTCCTGTCCCTTTTAAGGGATTACAACTCTAAGGGGGTCTGCATGAGAGGGTCATGATCGACTGAGCAAGCAGGGGGTAAGTGACTGGGAGCTGCATGCAGTGGTAATCAGAACAGAACAGAACAGGACAGGGATTTTCACAGTGCTTTGCCATACAATGTCTGGAATCTATAGATGACATAACCGGTTAGTTCGGGGTCAGTCTTTAACTACCAGGCCCAGGGCATGGTGCCAGGCTGTCTGCCTGTGGATTTCATTTCTGCCTTTTAGTTTTTACTTCTTCTTTCTTTGAAGGCAGAAATTAGACATAAGACAATATGAGGGGTGGTCTCCTCCCTTACCTCAGCCTCCCAAGTAGCTGGGACTACAGGCATGCACCACCATGCCTGGCTAATTTTTGTATTTTTCGTAGAGATGAGGTTTCACTCTATTGGCCAGGCTGGCCTCAAACTTCTGACCTCAAGTGATCTGCACACCTTGCCCTCCCAAAGTGGATGCTATGTTACTTCTGAGACTAGGTTGTAAAGTTAGTGAGGCTTCTGACTGGATTGAGCCAGCACCAGCTCCCACAGTCACTCATTCTTGGGGAAGCCAGCTGCCATGCAGTGACAGTCATACAGAGATGTCCACATGGTAAGAAGCGGGGAACTTTTACCCTAGTGGAGCCTTCAGATGATGGAAGCCTACGTCAATACCTTTACTGCAACTTCGTGAGAGGTCCTACAACAGAACTTCCCAGTTAAGGGACTGCTGGACTGTGACCATCTCAAGCTGTGTGAGATAACAAATGTTCCCTGTGAGGAACAAGCTCTGATTTTTTTATCTTGCCCAAATTCCTACCTAAGGGATCTAGGGAGTCATGCCTTACAAACCATCAATTCTCAACAGATGGGTTTTACTTGAACCTATATATTGTGACTTACTTTTTGATCTGACTCTGGCATAATATTATGAGACAAGGAAAAAAATGTTTAACCCCAAAATATATTTCCTTGCCATACTTTGAAATTGCCCTGCAAATCTCTTGTGGGAAAAATTTACATCCTATAGATAATCCCTTTTCACCTTTGTTTTCCTTCCTTTCTTTCCAGATCCAGGAGGTAATCAACTAAGACCCAGGCACCCTTTTAGGTCCAATAAGAAACATTTTACAATCTGCTCTCTCTCTGAAGTCTGCTCTCTGAGAGATTCCTCTGCACAATAAAACTTCGTCTCCACAATCTTTTATCTTAACCTGAATATTCCTTTCCATTGACCCCAGGTCTTCAGATAAACTCAGCCAATTTTCAGCCAGAAAATGTTTAAATTTACCTATAACCTGGAAGCCCCCTCTTTGAGTTGTCCCGCCTTTCTGAACCAAACCAATGTATTTCTTAAATGTATTTGATTGATGTTTCATGTCTCCCTAAAATACATAAAACCAAGCTGTGCCCCAACAACCTTGGGCACATGTTCTCAGGACCCCCGAGGGCTGTGTCATGGGCCATGGTCGCTCATATTTTGCTCAGAATAAATCTCTTCAAATATTTTATGGAGTTTGACTCTTTTAATTGTCACTTGTTGACACTCATTGACACTCCAGCTGCTTGGTTTTGGGGATAATCTGATATGCAGTAATAGTAACAAATACTGGGGGCTAGGTATTACAACCGCTGTCTGGAGGAGTGGACACATATAGAAAAGATGCTTGTGTCAAAAAAAAAGTCAAACTCTGTAAAATATTTGAAGAGATTTATTCTGAGCCAAATATGAGTGACTATGGCCCATGACACAGCCCTAAGGAGGTCCTGAGAACTTGTGCCCAAGGTGGTTGGGGCACAGCTTGGTTTTATACATTTTAGGGAGGCATGAGACATCAATCAAATACATTTGAGAAATACATTAGTTTGGTTCAGAAATGTGGGACAATTCGAAGCAGGGGCTTCCAGACTATAGGGACATTTAAACACTTTCTGGTTGACAATTGGTTGAGTTTGTCTAAAGACTTGGAATCAATAGAAAGGAAATGTTCAGGTTAAGATAAAAGGTAGTGGAGACCAAAGTTCTTTTGAAGTCTCATAGTGGCTGCCTTAGAGACAATAGATGACATAGGTTTCCTATTCAGACCTTGAAAAGGTGCTAGACTCTCAGTTAATCTCTTCAGGATTGAGAAGGCCTGGAAGAAAAAGATCTAGCTGTATTAATAGAGATTCTTTACAGATGCAAATTTTCCCCCACAAAGTACAGCTTTGCAGGACCATTTTAAAATAGGGCAAAGAAACATGGTTTGGGGTAAAACATTTTGATTTTCTTACTTGTCATGTAATGTTACACCAGAGTCAGATCAAAAAGTAAGTCACAATATACAGGTTCAAATAAAACCCATCTGATGAGAATTGATGGTTTGTATGGCAAGACTCTCCACACCCCTTAGATAGGAATTTGGGCAAGATAGAAGAAATCAGAACTTAGTCCTCACTTGGATCTTCTTTCCAAGTGGAAAAAAGAAAACAGGCAAAGATATATTCCCAGATCTGACTGAGAAAGGATACAGTTGTCACTTTTCCTTGAATGTGGCCCAACTGCTATCCAAGTTTCAACAGAAATTACTTCCCTTCAAAACTCTTGAACATTCTGAAACCAAACTTCAGAAGAGATGCCAACCTGGGAACAATGTTAAATGAGAGTGAAGTTAGGCATGAAGTGATGGAAGGAGAGGTGGTCTTGGGGTCAGGAAGCCTGGGTTCAGTCTCAGTCCCTCACTTGTTGGTTTGGCCACACTGACAGTCACAAGGGCAGCTCTGCCTCCCTGCTTGCCTTGCCCATAATGAGAATGCAAAGCCTGTGGGTTGATATGAGGATTCAAGGAATGGCTTGATGGTAGGCACCCAGCTGCACTCACTGTTTTCCTGACTATGCCCAAACTGGGGGCATCTGATCATGTTAGCCACCTCTCCACCTTGCTCTGCACCTTGCCCTTAACTAATTTCCAGTGTTTCAGGAGGATCTCTTTTATTTTTTTTCTTTTTGGATTTAAAGGTATCATTCCTGGGGAAAACCTACCCACCAGCCTTATGAACTCAATTACAGGTCACACTTGGTGGCAATGTAAATTATGCCTAGCACTTACTAGCTTTTTGTGTATTTGCTGAATGAGTAGATGAATAAATAAATGGATCAGGTAAACAAATGACTCAGTTTGCTTCAGATGTTTTGACTGGTTCCTTACTAACCCATATCTAGAAGTAATCACTTATCAGATCAACTTCAGCATTTATTCAGGTTTCACTACTGAACTGGTGAGTAGTGAAGTAAGGCCTAAAAGTTGGGTGTCTTGCTGTCTAAGGTAGTTCTTTTTCTTGTATAATAAATAATTTGATATTTGTCCTGGGTTTCTGGGAGGGAGTGTCTAAACCCTTAGAATTTCCCAGGTAATAGGTGTGTCTTTGTTATTCCTGGTAAGCCCCTGGGGCCACTGCTAAGTTTCTACTAATGAGATGACCTAGGGTAGGTGCTGGTCATGCTAGAAGACCAACCATGTGATTACAGGGTTGGGTTTTGTACCATGTGATATCAACATGACCTGCAGGGAAGGGACAGGGGCTGGATATGGAGTTCATCCACACAACCAGTGAATCAGTCTGTTGGGAGAAAAGCTGAGGCAGGGCTTCCATGTCAGACATAATGTAAAAGAGTCTTGGAACATCTCTGGGGTCCAGGGTCTAAAACCCCTTGTGGCCTTTGGAACACCAAGCTCTGTGCTAAAGGGTGGAAGTCTGTCCTGCTGCACCACAATCTAAGCCCAGGGCATAAAACCCTTCGTGGCTTGGATGGAATCCAGGGCTTAGGGTATAAAACCCCTCATGGCCTCTGGAATGTGTCTAGACTTGCTGGCTTCTTGCTTCTAGCACTCCCAGGCACATAAAATGATAGTATCTTAAACTAGAACATGTTCCCCATTATCTCAAGTGGTAGAACATGTTCCATACACTTCAAAGGAAATGCTAAACCATCACAGCTACAGCTCATGTGCTTGATGCACCACTTCCTTTCAACCCCCACATCCTCACCACCTGCTTCTTTGATCACCAATAAATATGGTGGGCTCCCAGAGCTCGGGGCCTTCACAGCCTCCATACTAGTGTTGGCCCCCTGGTCCCACTTTATGCACTCTAAACTTGTCTTTTCTCATTACTTTGAGTCCGCTGGACTTCGTCATCCCCATGGCCTGGTTTTGGGTCCAGCCACCCCAACATTCCTGGCACCTGATGTGGGGCAATGAAGACCCCAGTGAAGGAATGCTAGAGCATGTGAAAGCAGAGGACCCATCATTAAAGGACACCTGAGGACAACTGAAAGAAGCTCAGCAGGAAAGCTGAGTGCTCGGAAGAACCAGGGTAACAATGGGACTGAATGAAAGCAAATATACTGCTTATTTGAATTTCTTAAGGCATTTATTATGAAGAGGGGGAGTGAAAGTTAGTAATCCGAATTTGTTATCACTTTTTAGTACAGTAAAGCAGTTTTGCGCATGGTTCCTGGAACAAGGGACCATAGAGTTGGATGAATGGGATAGAATTGGAAGAGATTTTTAAAAGGCATATAAAGAGGGGGCAAAAATTCCAGTTTCCATGTGGTCAATGTGGGCACCAATAAAGGCAGCTCTTGAGCCATTTCAAACAGATGATGAGGCAGATTCACATGAGGAAGGGGAGGACGAGTGTAAAAAACTAACTTCAGATTCTAAATGTGAAGAACAGAAACTGGAGGAAATTAAAGAAAAGAAAGGGAAACAGAAAAAGTATGTTTTACTAGCCCGTCAGCTCCACCTGCTGAAATAAGTGAATGACCACTTCCTCCCTCTCCCCTTAATGGGTGAGAAGATGAATTAGCTGCAAAACTTACCGTTCCTGTAGCTGCAACATTAAAACGTGGAGCAATTGGTGGTGCCATACAAAACTCTATTCAAAAGGCTGGAGCCGACGGAGACCTTGAAGTATGGCAATTTCCAGTTACTATAATCCAGCAAGTAGGACAGAATATAGCTAATTGGGCCACCTTTTCATTTAAGTTGTTAAAGGAATTCAAGCAGGCCATTAGTCAACATGGGCCAAACTCTCCTTTTGTGCAAACTTTGTTAAAAAATGTGGCTCTTGATAATAGGTTAATACCATATGATTGGAATACTTTAACAAAATCTGTTTTCACTCCATCTCAGCATTTACAGTTTAAAACCTGGTGGGCTGACAAAGCTCAAAATCAGGCAAGGGAAAACACACAAGTGCAGCCACCTGTGCCTGTTTGCTTTGAACAGTTAATGGGAGTCGACCCTAATTGGAGCTGATTAGAAAATCAAGCAGTAATGGAGGATGTTGCCATTGTTCAGCTGCGCTCTGTGTGCTTACGGGCATGGGAAAGGATAAATGTTACAGGGATGGACAACCTCTTTCTGGAAACAGGAAAAGGGGCCCACCTCGGGCCCCTCAACAAACTGAGGCATATCTGGCACAGCCAGTGCCCTTACAAACATAGAATTCTCCCCTGCCACAGCAGGCAGTGCTGCCATAGACCTTTGCAGCACAATTCCCATCTCCCTGCTTCCTGGAGAGCCACCAGAAAAGGTCTCTACAGGAGTTAGGGGACGCTTACACTCAGGAACAGTTGGTCTACCACTTGGGAGGTCTAGTCTAAATTTGAAAGGTGTCACTGTACGTACAGGAATAATTGATTCTGATTATACTGGAGAGATTCAACTAGTTATTAGTTCCTCAACTCCGTGGTCTGCCTCCCCAGGAGAAAGAATTGCTCAGTTGTTGCTGTTACCTTACACAAAACTAGGAAGCAGCACAGTGAAAAGAACAGGAGGCTTTGGTAGTACTAATCCAGCAGGGAAGGCTGTATATTGGGTTAATCAATTAGGTTTTTTGTCTGACAAAAAACCTATTTGTACAGTAACTATTCAGGGAAAGGACTTTGAAGGACTAGTAGATACTTGAGCTGATGTCTCAATTATTGCTTTAAATCAATGGCCCTGACACTTGCCTAAACAAAAGACTTCCATGGGTATTGTTGGCATACGGACTGCCAAAGTTCCTTGATTTTACCATGTCAAGGGCCAGATGGCCAGGAAGGGACAATTCAACCTATTATTACACCTATTCCTGTCAATTTATGGGGTAGAGATTTATTGCAACAATGGAGTGCCCACCAAACATCTGAAGATCTATCATGAGCCACGGCAGGAAGAGAGGACTATGGGAAGAGCCAGAATTCCCAATACGAGTGATGGCATGAATAAACATCTCAGAGATGAAGGAGAAGACTGAGAATACTCATCAGGCAAATCCTCCAACATGAGGACAAATCAAGAAGTTGGCACAGATGGCAGAGGACAACTTGAAAGCACAGAACATAAACAACTAGTAACCTGATGGTGGCCATGCTGGTGGTACTCACCATGGTGGTAAGCTTCCCTACTTTAGGAGCAACTCAGATTTCACTTACTGGGCATATGTCCCATTTCCTCCTTTAATTAGGTCTGTGAGTTGGATGGATCCTGTTATTGAGGTGTACACCAACAACAGTAGCTGGATGCCTGAGCCCATAGATAACCGAGGGCCAATGCATCCTAATGAGGAAGGGATGAAAATGAATATATCCATAGGATGTAAATATCCTCCAATATGCCTGGGACCTGCTGTTGGATGCTTACAAATTATCACACGAGCCTGGTTGGCAATAGTTCCTGGAAAAAATAAATCACATGATTTCAGGGCATAGTTTAAAATATAATCATTCCAAACCTAAAATTCTGCAGTTCCATCTGAATAAGCTTGAATATGGCAAAACAGAGTTTGGTTTGAAGGTGTGGACACTTGAACTTGGGAAGATTGTATAGCAAGTAAGGCTGAGGTGCTACAAAATAATTCCTATGGAATCGTCATTGATTGGTCCCCAAAGAGGATTTTTAAAGACAATTGCACTGCAAGGCCCTCTTGTTGAACAAATGTAATAAACCAGTGGAATCATTGGCAATGGAATCATACACAGTATGTTCAGACAGAAGCTGATTTCCCTATCATATGGAGTCCTGCTGGCATTGTCGCCCCTAGTCCAAAAATGATATCTCCTGCCATAGGACAAGAACATTCAGAATTATGGAAATTAACTATAGATCAAAGTTCAATCAAAATTTGGGAGGGCAAATATAATAAGTATAGCAGGGAGGGAGGTAAAAATAAATATGTTCTTTCTTTTCTTTCCAACAGGACCTTCTGGATTCAGAGTTGTGTTCAGCCACCTTTTATGCTAGCAATAGGAACTGTTACTCTTGATATAAATACACACTTTATTACATGCTCCAAATGTCACTTGTTTACCTGCATTAACTCAACCTTTGATAAAAATCAAACCATTTTATTAATTAGAACCAGGGAAGGAGTTTGGATCCCTGTGTCCCTAAATAGACCATGGGAGGCATCACCATCTATTCATATTGTAACTAAGATCCTTAAAAAACGCTTATCCCATTCCAGAGGATTTATAGTTGCTCTTATATTTGCTATAATTGGCCTCATTGCTGTTACTACTACTGCTGCAGTAGCTGGTGTGGCTCTACACTCATCTGTGCAAACTGCTGAATTTGTCAATAAGTGGCAAATGAATTCCACAAAACTATGGAATTCTCAGGCTCAAATAGATCAAAAAGAGTTAACCAAATTAATGATCTCCATCAGACAGTGATTTGGATGGGAGATTGTATTATGAATTTAGAAAGTAGAATCCACATGCAATGTGATTGGAATACATCTGACTTTTGTATTACTCTCCATAGTTATAATGAAACAGGACTCCGATGGGAAAAGATTAAATGCCATCTGGAGAGCAGAGATGAAAAATCTCACCCTCAATATTGTGAAGCTAAAAGAGCAGGTTTTTGAAGCTTCTCAGGCTCACTTAGTCCTGCACCCTGGAACTGACATCTTGAACAAGGCAGCTGATGGATTGTCTGCAATCAATCCTATGAAATGGATTAAGGCCATTGGAAGCTCTACGTTTGAAAATTCTATCCTAATAATTATGTGCTTGTGCTGTCTCCTTTTAGTCTGCAGATGTGGAAGCTGTCTCTGGAGAGAAAGCTGCTGTCGAGAACAAGCAATGATAGCTGTGGTGGTTTTATGAAAAAAAAGGGGGGCATGTTGGGAGAAGCTGAGGCAGGGCTTGCATGTCTGATATGATGTAAAAGAGTCTTGGAACATGTCTGTGGTTCAGGGTCTAAAGCCCCTCATGGCCTTTGGAACACCAAGCTCTGTGCTAAATGGTGGAAGTCTGCCCTGCCACACCACAATCTAAGCCCAGGGCATAAAACCCTTCGTGGCTTGGATGGAATCCAGGGCTCAGGGTATAAAACCCCTCGTGGCTTCTGGAATGGGTCTAGACTTGCTGGCTTCTTGCTTCTAGCACTCCCAAGCTCATAAAACGATTGTATCTTAAACTATAAGAACATGTTCCCCATTATCTCAAGTGGCAGAATATGTTCCATATACTTCAAAGGAAATGCTAAACCATCACAGCTATAGCTCATGTGCTTGATGCACCACTTCCTTTCAACCCCCACATCCTCACCACCTGCTTCTTTGATCACCAATAAATATGGTGGGCTCCCAGAGCTCGGGGCCTTCACAGCCTCCATACTAGCGTTGGCCCCCTGGTCCCACTTTATGCACTCTAAACTTGCCTTTTATCATTCCTTTGACTCTGCTGGACTTCATTGCCGCCATGGCCTGGTGTTGGGTCTGGCCACCCCAACATCAGTCAATCATGTCTACTTAATAAAACCACAGTAAAAACTCTGGACACTGAAGCCCTGTAGAGCTTCTTGAACACACTGATGTGCCAGGAGGGTAGTGCACCTTGAATTCCTGGGCCAAGGACATGGAAGCTTCATGTTTGGGATCGTCCCAGAGCTCATCTTATGGTGGTCCTAATTTGTATCCTTTATAATGAACTATAATTGATCCTAAGTACCATGCTTTCCTGAGTTCTGTGAGTTTTTCTAGTAAATCATCACACTTGAGGGGGTCAGGAGAACTTCCTGGAGTTGTGGCCAGTTGATCAGAAGTATGGGAACCATAGAACTTGTGGCTGGTGTCCAAAGTGAGGGGAGTCTTTCTGGGGACTGTTTCCTTAGACCTGTGCAGTCTGTTCTAGCTGTGGTTGGTCAGTGTCAGAATTGCATTGCAGTATTGCACACCTTCTAAACTCAGCTGCCTCCATTGTACCTCTCTTGGGGCAGTGCATGTATATGTTATTTTTCAAATTCAATATTTGAAAGAAAAACATGCTAGTAGTGAATTTATCCAGTCAATCAAAGGTATCCCAATGCAGGGCTACAGAAATCCAGACAGAGTAACACTGTAAATAAGGATGTGGACAAGCTGACATTAATAACATGTAATTATAAAAGGCATACTGGTGGATAGAAAATACTAGCTAATTTGGAGTTTCAGTAAATTAATTTGTGCTTAATTAAAATTTTATAGTATTGGAATCCCTAAGCCAAATGATTTTTTTTCTAGTTTATTTGCTGCTTACTCATTTGCTTGTTTATTATTTAAGCTATTTAAATTTTAAAATATTCAAGAGAGGTTATCAAGTTAAATAAAGTTTAAAAATCACAAAAAAAGTCATCAATTAGCCAGGCACTGGTGACTTATGCCTTTAATCCCAGCACTTTGGGAGGCCAAGGTAGGCAGGGATCACTTGAGGAGTTCAAGACCAGCCTGGCCAATGTGGTGAAATGCCATCTATACTAAAAATACAAAAATAAGCTGGGCATGGTGGCACATGCTTATAATCCCTGATACTTGGGAGGCTGGGATATGAAAATCACTTGAACCTGGGAAGCAGAGGTTGCAGTGAGCCAAGATTGTGCCACTGCACTCCAACCTGGGCAATAGAGCGAGATTCCATCTCAAAAAAAAAAAAAATTGTCAGTTAGTCATGATCTCTGATAATCTGTTATCCTTGGAGATTTGGAAAGTCTTCATCGTTACCATTAGTGACCTAGTCTTTCAGGATTTGGTTTGATCTTCCCAGACTTGACTGGGCAGGGGGACTTCTATGGAAAAGACTGGTCCAAGATCCAGGGATGTCTCCTTTAGTCAAGGGGAGCCCGGGCAATGGAGTAGCCTGGCCTTCTTGAGGTCTCATGCTTCCAAGTTGAGTGATCCCCTGCCCTCTCTCACAGGAAAGACATAGGAGAAATTCAGCCTCACTGTCTCCAGTTTTTTTGTGTGATTTATGGTGTTGCCAGGTGAAATCTCAACCCCGTAATTCATCCATACATGTTAGCCAAGAACAATTTTACACGGAAAGGGTCCAGATAACTGAATTAACAAACATTATCTGACCCACATGGTATACTGTAGAGTTATTTCTGCAATTTGAGTTTGCTTTTGCTTTTTAGTAACATGGCAAGGAACAAAAGGAACATCTTCAAAGGACCAGCAAAAAGGCTTTTTAGCTTTGTAAATAATTTGTCAATGGAACTACAGGTGGGAAAGATGTATTTTGCCTTGCTTGAGTGCCTTGAGAATTGAGAACTCGTGTGTGTGGAGGCTTTGAACTCTCCGGGAGATGGTGGGAGAGCAGCCCTGTCTCATTTCCAAGGTCCTTTGGAGCAGAAAATGCAATTGCCCTGCTCCTTGCCCTTCATCTGTCAGGTGAGGAGATTTTCAATCCTGCCTTCCTGCAGCTCACGGCTCAGCCTTCCCCAGTCTTTGACCTTACCCTCTGCACCCCGCCTGCCATCTCCCCATCACCGAGAATGACAGTTACAAGGGAAGAGGTGAGTTTACCAGCCATGCTGAGGTTGTGGCAGGACTTAGGCATGCCCATGCATCCTGTCCCAGATACTGGCTCGCTCCTCAGGGCAATCTCCTTTCACCTTTTCCAGCCTGTCAGTTCACAAATGTGAAACACATTTCATCATTCTGTTTCCACCAACTGCTTGCATGTTCCCCAGATTTTGGCCAGCCATAAATTCCCACTGACTCTGAAACTCATCTCCATTCTTCTTCTTGGGCCAATCAAGCATCATGGAGGTTAGTGTGCTTCTTACACCCAGCATGCAACACCCTAGCTATTCACGCCGAAGGAGTGCATCTGTGGCAAAGCCCTTGGAAAATAATACATATTTTCCCAAATTTAGTGGTGTATTTACTCAGAGCAATAAAGACTGATTTGCTACTGTATTTTTGTAAGTATGATACAGTAAGATATTCAACTCCTTTGTTCGCAAACCATTTTTCTCATTATTATTTGTTAGGGTCTCTTCTATGCTGGGCACTGGGAAGGGAAAGGTGAATAACAATAATACCAGGCCCTCGGGGTCTAATGTTGCCAGAAAGGGGTCACTGGGGGAGCACACAGCAGGCAGGGTGGCTGAGGTCCTGAGTGAGAAGCCAGTGCTGTGGACATGGGGAGGTCATCTGTCACAATCTGAGGGAGGAGTCAGGGATGAATTTCTGAAACGGAAGCAGGAACAAGCTGGGAAAAAGGGTCGGGAATATGGAGGGAGCTTCAGGCAGAGCTCAAGGAACCTCTAGGAGTTTCAAGAGGTGATGGCTCAGAGCGACAAGGATGGTGGTGAGCTAGGGTTAGGTCCCTCATCCATAGCCTTGGCTGCCATACTAGACAGCTTGGAAATGGCACCTTCTGGTGGAGAAGGCACGTTTCAGGGGCCCTGGGTGCCTCCGGGTGTATTTGGAGGTAGGTTTATCTCCTCCTTCCTTTCAGCACTCTCTTCCTCATTTTTGTCTCATCTTTGCTCTCTCTCCTGAGAGGGACCTTGTGACCTCAGACTGGCCACCCACCCCTTGGGTCCCACCCCAGCTAGTTAGCACCAACACCATCACAAGGCAGTGGGTGCCACCCACTAGTGTCCTCATCAGAAACCTGTGGGCTGGTGCCCTTGTATCCTCTTTCAGAACAAGTTCTCACAAGTAATGGGCTGTCACAGGAGAAGACCAGTTAACTCCTTCATATGACAGTGATACAGCAGCTAAAAAGAAATTATTTAGGCAGTTAGTGAGGGTAAGAGAGTCCTCACTAAGGTTTCCGTTTTAACAAAGAGCACTCCTCAAAAATTTCTTTTCTGACAAAGAGCAGCCTGTAAAATCGAGCTGCAGACATAGATAAGCAAGCTGGAAGCTTGCACAGGTGAATGCCGGCAGGTGTGCCAATAGGGAAAGGCTACCTGGAAGCCAGGTACATTCAACATAGAGGCTCGATCTTCCCTTTTCTTTGTCACCACGTGTACAGTAAAAAAGCAGACAACATGGCACTGGCCAGGTAAAGAACTTATCTGCATAATGAAAGATTAGGTTACGGCAGCCAGCTTCTTCGCACGCTATGTAAATAGAACACCTGGTCCAACAAATCTTTTGGGCCCTATGTAAATCAGACACTGCCTCCTCAAGCTTGTGTGTAAAACCCTGCGCATTTCACCGCAGTACTGGAAGACCCACTTGGGAGCCCCTCTCTCTCTTCAGGAGAGAGATCTTTTCTCTTTATTTCAACTATTAAAACCTTTGCTCTTAACCTCACTTCTTGTTTGTCAGCATCCTTGTTTTCCTTGGTGTGAGACAACAAACCTCAGGTATTACCCCAGACAAATGACACTGCTTCAACAGTAGTAAACGCTATGTAACTTACTGTATTTACATTTTCACATTGGGAAAGTGTTGAGCTGAAAAATAAATCTCTAGAGGTAAACTTTCATAAGAGTGTGGCAAGCTGACCACTCCTCTACAAATTAAGCCACGCATGTAAAGATCACTTCTGCCTATAACTATCCTGGACGGTTTTTACAAAATCTTTAAAAAAATTCCTGGCACAATTTTTTTGTTATTACAGTCTGCTTTCTTCTATAGATGGCAGGAAAAAAATTTATTTTGTTTTTGAAAGTCCCAGTTTGTGAGTCTCTGGCTAAGAGAGGTTAGCTGTACCAAACATTACACTGGCAGTTACATATCTTACAGACAGTTCTGTGCCTGGGCTGCACAGAGACACCTTTCTCTAAGAAGCTTATGAGAGATACATGTACAGGAGTTTTTATTGAAGCCTTATCCAAGGCTCCTGGAGAGAAGGTGGGAAGGGTAGCAGAAGGAATCATCTTCTAGTTATTAGGGGTTAACATGGGAAGAGTGACTGCTGGAGACAAATCTAATGGTTTGAACCCAGTTGTGGCCACCAGCCTGCTGGGGCACTTGGTGCTGTGCTGTGTCTGCGGGCAGCTGTGCCTCCAATGTGGCTTGGGGAGTTGCAGAGCAGGCTGGCACCAGCTTTAGCAATATATCAGCAGCTTACAGAGAAGAATAGGAACCTGCTATGCACTAATGGAAATTTATAGCCGATGCAATCTGGAAAATACATAAAACAACCCAGCATCATGAAGCCAAAATACTTCCTGTGGGCTTAAAGCTAATCCTCGACACCTGGTCAGAGAGATCTAGCTTATTACAGGTTACCACTGGTATGTGGCATCCTAGTACCAGAAACCCTGGTTCACTAGCAGTACATACAGATACCCTTAGAAGTCTGAAGGATTCCTAAGTGGGCTTCAAAATCAGTGGACAGAAAGAGGCAGAAAAGAGCACAAGAAAAATATGTGGAATTTGTTCCGTGTTATTTTTAAAATTCTCTATTTTTAGACTTGTCAATGTTGTACTAACATTTGAGTTCATGATATGTACTATGTACTGCTCTGAACTCCGTAAGCAATAAGCTTGTTTTTATATTCCCACTGCCTAGCGCAATGCCTTAGGCTCAGTATTTAGAACCTCTAAGAGGCTCAGTATTTAGACCCTCTAAGACCAATTACAGTATAAAATCCATAGTACACCTATACATTCACTTTGGCTTTTCTTTTTAACAATTCAATGAATATTTATTTATTTATTTATTTATTTATTTATTTATTTGAGACAGAGTCTCATTCTGTTGCCCAGGCTGGAGTGCGGTGGTGTGATCTCAGCTCACTGAAACCCCCATCTCCTGGGCTCAAGCAATTCTCCTGCCTCAGCCTCCCAAGTAGCTGGGATTACAGGTGCCAACCACCACGCCCAGCTAATCTTCATATTTTTAGTAGAGACAGGGTTTCACCATGTTCACCAGGCTGGTCTCAATCTCCTGACCTCAGGTGATCTGCCCACCTCAGCCTCCCAAAATGCTGGGATTATAGGTATGAGCCACTGTGCCCAGGCAAATGAATTTTAATATACGTATAGAGTTGTGCAACTATAATCACAATTTTAAAACATGTTCATAACCCCCCAAAGAATTTGCACACCGTTAGTAATCAATCCCCACCAGGCATGGTGTAATACCAGAACTTTGGGAGGCCAAGGCCAGTTCCAGCTACTCAGGAGGCTGAGGTGGGAGGATCGTTTGAACTTGGGAGGCAGAGGTTGCAGTGAGCCAAGATCACACCACTGAACTCCAGCCTGGGTGACAGAGTGAGACCCCATCTCAAATAAATAAATAAATGTTGATTAATCACTTCCCATTTCACCTCAGTTGCCCCTACCTCCCTCCGGTCCCACTCTCTACCCCTTCTTTCCCCAGCCCCAGGCAACCACTAATCTGCTTTCTGTCTCTATGAATTTGCCTATGCTGGAATTCAATATAAATCAAACAATACCCTATGTGGTGTTTTGTAGCTGGCTTCTTTCACTCAGCATGATGTTTTTAAGTTTCACTCATGTTGTAGCATGTGTCAGCACATGCTTCTTTTTATTACTGAATAATATTCCATTGTGTAGAGGTGCCTCACTTTACTTAACCATTCATCAGTTGATGGACATTTGGGTTGTTTCCACTCTTTGTTATGATTAGTCCTTCTAGAAATATTCATGTATGAGTTTCTGTGTGGACATATGTTTTCATTTCTTTTGGGTATATTTGGGGAGTGGGAACAATTTGGATAGTGGACTTGCTGGGGGTCATGTGGTGATTTTATGTTTAACTTCTAGACTGTTTTCCAAAGTGATTGTACTATTTTATATTCCCGTCAGCAGTGCATGAGTGCTACGATTTCTCCATATCCTTGCCAACACTGGTTACATCTGTCTTTTTGACCATAGCCATTGTAGCAGGTATGAAGTAGTATTTACATGTATTTAGATTTGTAGGTCTGTGATGGTCAATGATGTTCAACATCTTTTCTTGTGTTTATCAGCCATTTGTGTATCTTTTCTGGAGAAATGTCTATTCAAATTCTTTGCCCTTTAAAAAAATTAGTTATTTTTCTTTTATCTATTTTTTCTGTTATATATCTATTTTTTCTCCTATTCTGTGTGTTGTCCTTTCACTTTCTTGATGGTATTCATTGGAGCACAAAAATTTTAAATTTTGAGAAAGTCCATATTCTCTAGTTTTTCTTTTGTCACTCATCTTTTTGGTATCACATCTAAGAAGGCTTTGCCTAGCACAAGGTCATGAAGATTTGCTCTTATATTTTCTCCTAAGAGTTTTGTAGTTTTAACTTTTGCATTTAGGTTAATAATTCATTTTGAGTCTATTTTTGTGTATGAAGTGAAGAAGGGGACCAACTTCATTTGTTGGTATGTGGATATCCAGTTATCCCTCTACCATTTGTTGAAAATATTATGCTTTCTTTATTGAATTATCTTAGCATACTTGTTGAAAATCAATCAACCATAAATGTGCAGGTTTATTTCCAGATTCCACATTCTATTCCATTGATCTATGTTTCTGTTAGTACCTATACAGTATTGATTATGATAGTTCTGTAATAGGTTTTAGAGTTGTCATGAGTCCCCCAACATTTTTCTTTTTCAAAATTCTGTTGGTTATACAGGGTCCCTGAATTTCCACATGAATTTTAGAACCAGCTTACCAATTTCTGCAAATAAAACAACTGAGATTTTTTTTTTTTTTGAGATGGAGTTTTGCTCTTATTGCCCAGGCTGGAGTGCAATGGTGCAATCTTGGCTCACTGCAACCTCCACCTCCCAGATTCAAGTGATTCTCCTGCCTCAGCCTTCCAAGTAGCTGGGATTACAGGCACCCACCACCATGTCTGGCTAATTTTTTGTATTTTTAGTAAAGACAGGATTTCACCATATTAGCCAGGCTGGTCTCAAACTTCTAACCTCAGGCGATCCACCCACCTCGGCCTCCTAAAGTGCTGGGATAACAGGAATGAACCACCACACCTGGCTGACAACTGAGATTTTGATAGAGATTGCATATAATCTGTAGATTAATTTGGGGGAGTATTGCCATCTCAACAATAGTAAATCTTCCAATCCGTGAACATGTGGTGTCCTATTTATTTAGGTCTTCTTTAATTTCTTTCAACACTGTTTCATAGTTTTCAGTGTACAAATACCCTTTTTTAAAAAAATTTATTCTTACGTATTTTATTCTTTTTGATGTTGTTGTAAATAAAATTGCTTTAATTTTATTTTGAAATTGTTAATTGCTAGTGCATAGACATATAATTAATTTTTATAGATTGATCTTATATCTGGCAGTCTTGCTGAAGTTGCTTATTAGCTCTAATAATTTGTTAGTCATTTCCTTAAAAATGTCTATATGCAAGATAAAGTCATCTGAAAATAGTGATAGTTTTACTTCTTCCTTTCTGATCTGGATACCTTTTATTTCTTTTTCTTGCTAAATTGCCATGGCTTAAATTTTCAGTACAATGTTCAACAGAAGTAGTGGTGGACATTCTTGCCTTTTCCCAACTTAGAGATTAAGTCTGTCTTTTACTATTAAGTTTGTTGTTAGTTGTGGCCTTTTGAAGATGTTCTTTATTAGGTTAAAAAGAGTCTCTTCTACTGCTGGTTTGGTGGGAGTTTTTATCATGAATAAGTGCTAAATTTTGTTAGAGGATTTTTCTGCATCTATTTTGATCACACAGTTTCTTTTCTTTTTTTTAATTAATGTGATGCATTACATTAAGTGATTTTCAAATGTTAAACCAATCTTGCATTTCTGGGATAAAATCCACTTAACAGCTGTATATAATCCTTTTAACATGCTGCTGGATTCAGTTTACTAAATTTTAAAACTAATTTTGCATCTATATCCATGAGGAACTGAATATGTAGTTGTCTTTTCTTGTCATATCTTTATCTGGCTTTAGTATGAGATAATACAGGCATCTTAAAATGTGCCAGGAAACATTCCCTCCTTCTCTATTTTCTGAGAGCGTTTATGTAAGATTGGTCTTATTTCTTCCTTAAATGTTTAGTAGAATTCACCAGTGAAGCCATCTGGACCTGGGCTTTTTTTGTGGAAGATTTTAAATTTCTAATTCAAATCATAGAAGAAATCTAATAATTTAAAAAGATTTTGTAAGATTTGTGTCTTTCTAGGAATTTTTTCTATTTCATAAAAATGGTCTAATATGTTAACATCAATTGTTCATACTAACCTCTTCTAATCCCTTTAATTACAATAGGGTCTGTAGTGATGTTTCCTCTATCACTCTTGATTTGGTCAATTTGTGTCTTCTTTCTTTTCTTGCTCATGTTAGCTCAGGGGTTAGCTAACTATGATCCATGAGCCAAATCTGGCTTGCAGTCTATTTTAGTATAGGCTGGGAGTTAAAAATGGTTTTTGTTTGTTTTTTTTTACATTTTTAAAGAGTTGTAAAAAACAAACAAACAAAAAACACAAAGAAGAATATGTGATAGAGACCATACATGGCCTGCAGAGCCTGTAATATTTACTATCTGGCCCTTTACTAAAAAAATCTGCCAACTCCTGGTTAATCCCATGTGCATTTGAGAAGAATGTGTACACTCTTCTGATCAGTGGAGCAGTATAATGTGCCAGTTGGTCAATTTGGTTTATAGTGTTGTTATTTACTTACTTATTTTTCTGTTTAACTGTTATATCAATTATTGAGAGAGGAGTATGAAAATCTCCATCTGTAACTGTTGAATTCTTTTTTCAATTATTTAGATTTTGTTTCACATAATTTTGAACTCTGCTGTCAAGTGCATACACATTGGTCATTGTTATTTCTTCTTGATGCCTTGACTCATTTATCATTATGAAATGTTCCTTTTTGCCTCTAAAATATGTCTTTTCTTGAACTCAATTTTGTCTGATATTAATATAGCTATTTCAGCTCTCTGATGATGACTGTTTCCATGGTATACCTTTTTCTATTCTGTATTGAAATATAAAATGTGCCTCTTGAAGACAGCATATCATTGGATCTTCATTGTTTATTCATTCTGACAATCTTTGTCTTTTGATAAGAGTGCTTAGTCTATTTGCAGTAAATATTTTAATGATGAGATAGGATTTACCCCTATTATTTTGTTTTACTCTCCATATATCTCATGTCAGTTTTGTTTCTCTGCTCCTCTTTTAAAATAAACTTTTGTGTGTGTTATAATAGTTTGAAATATACAGAAAAGTTGTAAAGTTAGTACAGAGCATCTGTTTCTTTCTATTGTCTTCTTTTGTGGTAAGCAAATATTTGTAGGTGTTCCATTTTAATTATTTTATTTTTAGCTATGTTTTTGGTTCTATATTTCTTTACAGTCATTGTTCTTAGAACTACAACTGCATCTTCAATGTATTACAATCTTCTTCAGGTTACTACTGATTTAATTTCAATAATATATGCCAACTTTCCTCCAGTGTAATTCAGTTTTCTCTGTTTAGTTTTTGTACTGTAATCATCATAAAGATTGATTTACGTATGTTGTAAACTCAGCAATAAAATGTTAGAATTATTGCTTTAAATAATCTTACAATTATCAAAGAAATCAAAAAATAAAGTCTTATATTTGGCCATATATTTACCATTTCTTGTGTTCTTCATGCATTCCTATGGATCTAATTTATTTTATTATGAAGAACTTCCACTCATATTTCTTAAAGAACAGATCTACCAGCAAGAGTTATTTCAGTTTTTGTTCATCTGGGAACACCTCACTTTCATGTTTATGTTTGAAGAAGAATCACACTGGATGTAGAATTCTTGGTTGACAGCTGAATTTTAGCATATTGGATATGCAATTTCATGGTCTTCTGGCCTTCATTGTTTCTGATGAGAAAACCATTGTTAATCTTATTAATGGTCCACTATATGCGAGGAGTCCTTTTCTTTGCTGCTTTCAACAATTTCTCATTTTCTTTTGCTTACAACTATATGACTATCTGTCTAGCTGGGGATCTCTATCTATGTTTTTTCTATCTAAGGATTGTTGAGCATCTTGAACCTATAATGTTTATTGTCAAATTGTGAAGTTTTTAGTAATTATTTTTCCAAATATTTTTCTGCTTCCTCTCTCTTTTCTCCTAGTATACTTGATGTTTTCCTATAGATATCTAAGGCTCTGTTTATTCTTCTTCAATATTTTTGCTCTCTGTTCTTCAGACGGTGTAGTTAATATTGATCAATCTTTAAATTTATTTATTTATTATTCTGTTATCTGCAATTTGCAGTTGAGTCCATCTAAGTGTTTTTTTCATTTTCGTTATTGTTTTCAACTTTAAAACTAGCTTTTAATTTGTTTATAGTTTCTATTTCACTATTGAGATTCTTTATTGAGTCATTGTGATATTTTTCTTTAATTCTTTGAACATATTTATAACAGATACTTTGAAACCTTTGTCTATTATATCCAAACTCTATGCTCATCCAGAGTCAGTGCATTTTGACTACTTTTTCTTCCTGAGTATGAGTCACACATTTTTGGGCTTTTTTTTTCAGTCTAGTAATTTTTAAACTAAAATTGGACATTTTGTATAATATATTGCAGAAACTGTAGATTTTGTTTCATTTTTCTTAAGGTGGTTGTTGTTGATCATTGCCTGGATTTAAATTCTGAAGGCTGTCTCCCCTGGGGTGTGCCAGATATGAATCTACTAATGTTTTTATGCTTCTTTATAATTTTTGGCCTTACCTAAAGGCTGCCCCATATCTGCATAGCTCTTCAGTCAGCCAATGTTTTAGATAGTGCTCAAACACCTCAAGTCTGTAAGGCTTACACCCTCTGCTGAGGTATCTGTGTGTAGGCCGAAGAATGCCTCACAGTTTTAAGTGTCCCTAGGCTTTCACTTTTTGTCAAGCTCTCTTGAGTCTCTCCTCCATGCTGAATAGTTTTCCAGTTGCCCAGGACCATGTGAAGGGCTTATCTTAGTTCTTCTGTAGCTCTCTTATTTCTAATACTTTCTTGTTAAATTGCTAGTTGTCTCATTGTTTGTTTTAATCAGGTCCCCAGTCTCAGGCTAGTGAAACTGCAGGCTTTCCTTTGTAAAAGAAACCAGAGCTGGACACTAACCAAAGCAGTAAAACAGATTTTATTCAGGAACTATTGCAAAAGGGGAAAACAGACCTCAATATATGGTGTTCTCAATTCCAAATACAGCAAAGACAATTGAGAATTTATAGCCAAGGAGGAGGTTGTAGGGATATGGTTTGTGAAAAAATTACTAATAGGAGACATCAAGGGTAGTGAAAATTCTTACTAAACTAACCTAAAAGTATTCTTGCTAAAGGTAGGTGATATGGTTTGGCTGTGTCCCGACCCAAATCTCATCTTGAATTGCTGCTCCCATAATTCCCACCTGTTGTGGGAGGGACCTGGTGGGAGGAAATTGAATCATGGGGGTGGGTTTTTCCTGTGCTGTTCTCACGATGCTGAATAAGTCTCACAAGATCTGATGGTTTTATAAAGGGCTGTTCCCCTGCGCACACTCTCTTGCCTGTCGACCTAGTAAGATGTGCCTTTGCTCCTCCTTCACTTCCACCATGATTGTGTGACCTCCCCATCCATGTGGAACTGTGAGTCAATTAACCTTTTTTCCTAAATTACTCAGTCTCAGGTATGTCTTTATTAGCAGTGTAAGAACAGATTAATACAGTAAATTGGTACTGGTAGAGTGGGGTGCTGCTGTAAAGATACCCAAAAATGTGGAAGTGATTTTGGAACCAGATAACAGACAGAGCTTGAAGCAGTTTGGAGGGCTCAGAAGAAGACAGGAATATGTGGGAAAATTTGGAACTTCCTAGAGACTTGTTGAATGGTTTTGCCCAAAATGCTAATAGCAATATGGACAATAAGGTCCAGGCTGAGGTGGTCTCAGATGGAGAAGAGGAACTTGTTGGGAACTGGAGTAAAGGTCAGTTTTGCTGTGCTTTAGCAAAGAGACTGGAGGTATTTTGCCCCTGCCCTATAGATTTGTGGAACTTTGAACTTGAGAGAGATGATTTAGGGTATCTTGCAGAAAAAAAATTCTAAGGAACAAAGTGTTCAAGAGGAAGCAGAACATAATTGGAAAATTTGCAGCCTGACAATGCAATAGAAAAGAAAATCTTATTTTCTGGGGAGAAATTCAAGCCTGCCACAGAAGTTTCCATAAGTAGCAAAGAGATGAGTATTAATCACCAAGACAATGGGGAAAATGTCTCCAGGGAATGTCAGATATCTTTGTGGCAGCCCTCCCATCACAGATCTAGAGGACTAGGGGAAAAATGGTTTCATGGGCCAGGCCCAGGCCCCCCTGCTGTGTGCCACCTAGGGACTTGGTCCTCTATGTCTCAGCTGCTCTAGCCATGGCTATAAGGGACCAAGGTACAGCTCAGGCCATGGCTTCATTGGGTACAAGCCCCAAGCCTTGGCAGTTTACACATGGTATTAATCCTGTGGGTTCACAGAAATCAAGAATTGAGGTTTTGGAACCTCTGCCTAGATTTCAGAGGATGTATGGAAATGCCTGGATGTCCAGGCAGAATTTTGCTGCAGGGGCGGGGCCCTCATGGAGAACCTCTGCTAGGGCAGTGCAGAAGGGAAATGTGGGGTTGAAGCCCCCACATAGAGTCCCTACTGGGGAACTAACTAGTGGAGCTGTGAGAAGAGGGCCACCATCCTCCAGACCCCAGAACGGTAGATTCACCAGCAGCTTTTACCACGCACCTAGAAAAGCTGCAGACAGTCAACACCAGCCAGTGAAAACAGCCTGGAGGGAGGCTGTACCATGCAAAGCCACAGGGGCAGAGCTGCCTGAGGCCAAGAGAGCCCACCTCTTGCATCAGCATGACTGGGATGTGAGACATGAAGTCAAAGGAGATCATTTCAGAGCTTTAAGATCTGGCTGTCCTGCTGGATTTCAGACTTGCATAGATCCTGTAGCTCCTTCATTTTGGCCACTTTCTCCCATTTGGAATGTGTCTATTTACCCAATGCCTGTACCCTCATTATATCTAGGAAGTAATTAACTTTTTTTTTATTTTACAGGCTCATAGGTGGAAGGGACTAGCCTTGTCTCAGATGATACTTTGGATTGTGGACTTTTGAGTTAATGCTGAAATGAGTTAAGACTTTGGGGGACTGTTGGGAAGGCATGATTGGTTTTAAAATGTGAGGACATGAAATTTGGGAGGGGGCAGGGGCAGAATGATATAGTTTGGCTGTGTCCCCACCCAAATCTCATCTTGAATTGTAGCTCTCACAATTCCCATGTGTTGTGAGAGGGACACAGTGGGAAGTAATTGAATCATGAGGGAAGGTCTTTCCCATGTTTTTCTCATGATAGTGAATAAGTCTCACAAGGTCTGATGGTTTTATAAAGGGGAGTTCCCCTGCACATGCTCTTTTGCCTACCACCATGAAAGATGTGCCTTTGCTCCTCTTTCACTTCCACCATAATTGTGAGACCTCCCAAGCCATGTGGAACTGTGAGTCAATTAAATGGCCTTCCTTTATAAATTACCCAGTCTTGGGTATATCTTTATTAGCAGTGTGAGAACAGATTAATATAGCAGGCCAGAGGGATCAGGCATTATTTAAGAGATGACATGGGATTGTCACTGGTAGAGGGTCATGACTGAAACTTGTCCAGGTTCTTGGCATTTTTAACAAAGAATTGGACAAAATTCCCAGCAAAGCAAAGAAAGAATGAAGCAACAAAAGAACAAAAGCAGGGATTTATTGAAAATGAAAGTATACTCCACAGTGTGGGAGCAGACCCTAGCAGTGGTTCAAGGGCCTGCATACAGAATCTTCTTGGGTCCAAACACCCCCTAGATGTTTCCCATTTGCCACTTCATGCTCACCACATGTAAGTGAAGTGGTGGCCTGCAATCAGTCCGACCAGTTGCAGAAAGCAGCCAACCAGAGGCTGAAGTGAAGTTACAAAGGTCACACTCCTCTGCAAACATCTGATTGGTTGCAAAAAGCAACCAGTCAGAGGCTAGGGTGAAGTTACAAAATTGCAAACCAAAACTCCACCCACAATCAGTCTGATTTGTGGTGGACAGTCAATTTCCCATCTGCCTCTCAGAAAAGGTCAAAGGGAGTAGCCTCTTGTCCTTTTGTTACTTAATTTGGAAAGCTAGGGATTTTCCTTTCAATTTAGTTCTAGGAAGTTAGCATGAAATAGCCTCAGGTTCCTTGCCTCCAGACCTATTCTCCTGCCTCAGGATGAGGAATTTGATCAGATATTGACAGTGATCAGATATTGAGGTGGGGAATTCTTGCTTAAATGACTTAGTAGACTTCTCACTAAAACTGAGCTGTGTAGGCATGAAGCGAAGGCCCAACAATGAGGGTTAAATGAGGCACAGAGGAGCTGACTAAAGTTTGGTGAAGGAGAGAATCTTTGTCACCTTCTTCTTTCTCAATCAAGTTCATCACTGCCAACAAAGTCATAGGGAGTTTTCTCCCCAACTCCAGCCCCCAAAAGGAATATGTATTCTGGCAACAAAGCTGCTGATTTTTGCAACCATCACAACAATGGTCAAACTACCACTTTTGCTAACAAAGCTATGGACAAGGGGGTAGGGAAGCAGCCCCAGGCAACAAGGCCACAGACTCTTACACAAGCTCTAGCACTTTTATTAAGAATGTGTCTTCAGGCCTGGTGGAGTGGCTCATTCCTGTAATCCCAGCACTTTGGGAGGGCAAGGTGGGTGGATCATCTGAAGTCAGGATTTTGAGACCAGCCTGGCCAACATGGGTGAAACCCCATTTCTATTAAAATACAGAAAATTAGCTGGGCATAGGCATGTGCCTGTAATCCCAACTACTCAGGAGGCTGAGGCAGGAGAATTGCTTGAACCCAGGAGGCAGAGGTTGCAGTGAGCCGAGGCTGTGCCATTGCCCTCTAGCCTGGGGGACAGAGTGAGACTCTGTCTAAAACAAACAAACAAAAAAGAATGAGTCTTTACTCGTTGTCCATCTTTGTTTGACTTTTAGTACCCTAAGGGTGTTATTTCAGACAATCCTGTGCAGTATTATATGCATTCTTACAGACAAGGATTGCTGACCTCTTCACGCTGCCATGATTGGAAGACCCTCTAAAGGCTCTTGGTCAGAGTCTTTTACATATCAAAGCATGTTGTGAATAACCAAGTGGGCAACACAGAATTCAGTGTTTTGAAACCGCTGTGGCAGTGGAACTTTGCCCCTAGTTTTTTTTTTCCAGGAGCATCTGATTTATTTCTCAAAGTTTAATGCAGAAGACTTACACGGAGAGGTTAGTAAGACGCAGATTCCTGGGCTCCCACTCCAGAGGTACAGGTTGTATAGATCTGGGGTGCATACATATGACTTTAGACAGTTGTCTGAAGACCACACCTTGCCCTTTGTTCCATAGAGTGCATCCGTTCATAAGCTCCCACACCTCTCAATAAAAAGGCATTTACTTCTTTTCACTTGGTGTTTAAAAAGACTGATAGAGAAAAGACGATGCTATATGTTCACCAAGTCTGTTTTATATTTTTTCTTGATGGTAACATGTAAAACTACACTTACCAGTCCTTTTTAGCTGGCTGGGACCACATGACTACATCTGGCCAAATATATGTGAATGAGATAGCCAAGTGTAAAGACGTTCCCGGAATAACTCAAACCAGCCTGCACACTGGTAATGTGCACTGAGGTGGAGCCACAGAAGTTCTGCCATTTGCAGTGGGGAGGAGCCTGGCTCCTCCTCTTCCTGGGTGGAACCTGGAATTCAATCTGCCAGGCAGGAAGCATGTACTAGCAGGACTCTCGCTCAGCTGAGAGTTCCTGTTTCCCTTTTTTCCCAATAAATCCCATTTTTCTCACCCTTCAAATTGTCCACGAGCCTAATTTTTCATGGTCATGTGACAAGGACCCCATCTTTAGCTGAACTAAGGAAAAGTCCTACAACATAAGCAGGAGGAATAAGTGGATCACTTTCCAGCCATGGCAGTGGGGAGCCCGTGTGCAGTTCTTCAATCTCTTGCCTTCCCTTTGGTGTGAAGGGTGGTGGCCTCGTCATATAAAGATGGCAGAGCTCTGGCTTTGACAAAAGTCTGTATTCTGAAGACTCACATAGTCAACAGCTGCCTGTGGAGGATAAAGGGCTTTGGGGGAGCAAGAAATAAGCTTTTAGTGCTAAGCCATTGAGATTTGGAGTTTTGTGTTACCACATCATAAATCTAGCCTATTTTGAGTTAGGGGTAATAGAAAGGGCAACAGTGAAATTACCTTCTGAAGTAGCTCAAAGGATTGAGGAAAGAAAATATAATTAACAGGAAACCTACAGTCTCAAAAATGAAAGCTTGGCATAAGCCAGCGTCATTTGATCCCACTCTTTCCATGGTGAGGTAATAGTCGCAATCCACAGGCCTTTCCTGCAGTTGTTAAGGTCTGACCTTTTAAGTGGAAAACAATACCTTAGGCCTAATCTAAAGGACAGATGCAAAAAAAAAAAAAATGTCAATTAACTCAGCCCATCTATCCAGAACTTGCATTTGTAAATGGTTTTATTTTCAAGATGAAGATATAAACAAGAGTCTTTCCATTTTAATCTTCTGTTAACCAGCATATTTTGTTAATTATAATCTATAGCCTACCCCTTGGGTCTTTCATTATTTGAGGTTTTACCTTATATGCAATGATTTTAACAATAAATAAACACCAAGGAGGGAGAAAATAGGTGGTGTACTTCATAATACAAAAATAAATAAATAAAATTAGTAAAATTGCTTTCAGCAGGGAAACACTTTAAGCTCTCTTTCTGTCTAGGAAAGACAACAGTTCAATTAAATATAGCTGGCTGTATTTTATGTTTAAACAGTGAATGTGAGTCAAAGATTCACAACTTCCTCAAGCTTGCTTCACACTGCTTGCCCGTCCTCCACCCGCATCTAACACCAGTCTGTCCTTGGCCCACCCAGCAGGAAAGAAGTGTGATGTGTGTGTGTTCTATCGTGGAATTAATCAGCAGACAGTATGTCGGGGTTAGGTTGGAGAAAATTAAAGGCACACTTGCAGCTCATAGAAAATACTGTGAACCCATTTGGTGAAAGTAACAGACATGCTATGAAAGTCAAATGGCCAACCTTTCTTCCCTTCTACTTTATTAACTTTGACATTTGCATGAAAATTGAATCCTGGTTTCCTGGGGGCTCATCTGCTCCTGCAGCTTCCCCTTACCTGAAGGCTTAATCTTCTGTTGGTGACATGATAATCAGTTCTCCAGCAAGCAATTATGATGTCACAAAGAGGTAATTATCACTTCAGGTGAGAAAATAAACAGCCCACACAGATGATGACTTGAAATCATTATGATTATCTTAATGTAATTTTTCTTTTGAAAGATTTCATATGAGAAAATGACTATAAGCCTAGATAAAGAACCCATAAGGCAATGGTAGAAGTGTTCATTCTAGACCTTAAGTCAAATATTTGTACATGTTCCCCAAATCCTTACTGAACATTTCTGGGATGGCTTCTCCCTCCTCCAATGTCCCCTGCAAAGTGTGGCATACTGGCTCCCATGGAGACCCATCTGTTGGTCCTCAATGCTTTTCCTCTTTCAAAGCAAAATGAACAAAATTTGATCTAACTGAAATAATGTCATGGAATAGTACCATTAATTAGAAGAAAAAAGATTTCATTGCACAAAAATTGGAGAATGTATATAAAAAGAAATAATTAAAAATAGTTTATAATCCTACCACCCAGAGGAAACCATAGTATTTTAGTTCCAGTCATTTCTTGCTTCAGTGTGTTGGTGTGTACATTGTGAAATATTACCACAATGAATGTGCATCATCTCACATAGTTACTTTTGTGTGTGTGGTGAGAATGTCAGCGGCGTTTGAACCAGAGCAACTCTACCTTGAGTAGGGGCTGGATAAAATAAGGCTGAGACCTACTGGGTTGCATTCCCAGGAGGTTAGGTGTTCTCAGTCACAGGATGAGACAGGAGGTTGGCACAAGATACAGATCACAAAGACCTTGCTGATAGAACAGCAAGCAGTAAAGAAGCTGGCCAAAAACCACCAAAACCAAGATGGCGATGAGAGTGACCTCTGGCTGTCCTCACTGCTCATTATACTTTAATTATAATTTATTAGCATATTAAAAGACACTCCCACCAGTGCCATGACAGTTTACAAATGTCATGGCATTGTCCAGAAATTACCCTATATGGTCTAAAAAGGGGAGGAACTCTCAGTTCTGGGAATTGCCCACTTCTTTCCCAGAAAACTCATGAATAATCCAACCCTTGTTTGGTATGTAATCAAGAAATAACTGTAAGTATACTCAGGTGAGCAGCCCATGCTGCTGCTCTGCCTATGGAGTAGCCATTCTTCTTCTTTTTTTTTTTTTTTTCTGAGACAGAGCATTGCTCTGTCACCCAGGCTGGAGTGCAGTGGTGTGATCTCGGCTCACTGCAGTCTCTGCCTCTCGAGTTGAAGTGATTCTCCTGCCTCAGCCTCCTGAGTAGCTGGGATTACAGGCACCTGCACCACACCTGGCTAATTTTTGTATTTTTAGTAGAGATGGAGTTTTGCCATATTGGCCAGACTGGTCTCAAACTCCTGGCCTTATGTGATCCACCCACCTCAGGCTTCCAAAGTGCTGGGCATGGACCACTGTGCCTGGCCAGAGTAGCTTTTCTTTTATTCCTTTACTTTCTTAATAAACTTGCTGTCACTTTTTGGACTCGTCCTGAATTCTTTCAAGTGTGAGACCCAAGAACCCTCTCTTGGGGTCTAGATGTGGACCCCTTTCTGGCAACAAGAATACTTGAGATCTATTCTCTTAGCATATTTCTGGTATTCAATATATGATTGTTAACTATGGTCACCATGCTGTACATTAGGTCTCTAAAATCATTCATAACTGCAAGTTTGTACCCTGTGACCAATATCTCCCCATTTCCCCTCACCCCCTGGCTCCTGGTAACACCCTTCTACTCTCTGCTTCTGTGCTTTCAACTTTCATACATTCTACATATAAGTGAGATCATGCAGTGTTTTTCTTCCTGTGCCTGGCTTGTTTCACTTGGCATGAGGTCCTGCAGTTTCATCCATGTTGCAACAAATGGCAAGATCTCCTTAGTATTCCATTGTGTGTGTGTGTGTCTATATATATATATATATATATATATATGGTGCATATATATATATATGTGGTATGATTATATATCTAATCACAATTTCTTTACTCATACACCTGTCAATGGACTCTTAGGTTGTTTCCGTTCTTGACCATTGTGAATAACACTGCAATGAACATGGAAGCACGGATTAGCGAGGCCATTTTCAATCGCTAAAGAGACAATGTTTGATTCTGGCCAATCAGAGTGTTAAATGCACTGGGTCATTTGGCTAATGACTAGGCAATTGGGTCAAGGCAGAGGTATCCAACAGTGACCAACTATCAAGTAGGACAGACTTAGAGTAAACAGAGCCACTTAGGCCAGGAGTGACTGTGCTGTAACTTTGACCATTGCAGTCCCAGGAGTAAGCTCTGCTCACTCAGTCCTCATGAGCACAGGTCCCTGTCCTCCATGAGTGATCTCTTTTCCAATACATGATCACAATTTTAATTGTTTTAATTGTTAACCTTGAAAAGGCTTCTGTACTAGTCGACTTCCCTTTAGAGTATAAACGCCTTAAGAGTCTCCTCTGCAAAACTATCTACAGATTCTCAAAAGCTAGTGTAAAGAAGTAGAGAATCTTGCCTATAAGAAATTATCCTGTTGGCTCTTCCAGAGCTTTTTACCATCCAAAGCTGCTTGACACAGTTCAATTAGAGAAGAGGAAGTCTCAGTACCAACCACAGGACTATGAGACACAGAAGGAGGAGGAAAGAGAAGACCCACTAGGCCTGGTTTCTGAGAGAGCCAGTCATAGGACATTACAGTGAAAGACTTAGGGAGTGAGAAACCCTGGAGCAGCTTCAGGGGGCAGGAAAACTGCAGAAGAAAGGAAATTTATAAAATTGTTGTTGTGCAAAATAAGTTGGGTCATTTAAAATATTTTTTTTTGAGGAGGCAAGGGAAGGCTGAAGTTACTTTTAATATATGCCAGGCCCAAAGTGTTTCTTTAAATCTAATGCTCAGATGAGACTGGGCCATGTGGGACCTGTCAGGTCTCTGAGCCCAAGTTAAGCCATTGTATCCCCTAGGACATGCACATATACGTCCAGATGGCCTGAAGCAAATGAAGAATCACAAAACAAGTGAAAATGGCCTGTTCCTGCCTTAACTGATGACATTCCACCCCAAAAGAAGTGAAAATGGCTGGTCCCTGCCTTAACTGATGATATTACCTTGTGAAATTCCTTCTCCTGGCTCATCCTGGCTCAAAAGCTCCCCCACTGAGCACCTTGTAACCCCCAACCCTGCCCGCCAGGGAACAAACCCCTTTGACTGTAATTTTCCTCTACCTACCCAAATCTTATAAGATGGCCCCACCCCTATCTCCCTTTGCTGACTCTCTTTTCAGGCTCAGCCCACATGCACCCAGGTGAAATAAACAGCCTTGTTGCTCACACAAAGCCTGTTTGGTGGTCTTTTCACATGGATGCGTGTGACAGGACCTTGGTTTATATCTAGGCTTCTCGAGTAGAGAAACAAATGACAAATGGCTAAAATGGGTCACCACACACAAATCATGGTTTCATTATAGCATATTTCAAATGTTCTTATTTGCTCACAATTCTACTACTTCCACTAGACACTAATCTTTTCCAAACAAGGCCTTTTTTGTTACTAATGAATCCCTCTTCCTTTCCCCATTGATCACCTGTATTAATTAGGAGAGTTTAGCTGGCCGGAATAAGGACTCCCCAAAATGCAGTGTGTTAAACAAGTTAGAAGTATATTTCTCTTTCACATATTTGTGAGGAGGTAAGCAGTCCAGGGCTGGTTGCGTGGCCCTGCCATGCTCAAAATAGAGTTCTCTCTGGGTCCAAGATAGTTAACTCAGCTCTTACCATCCCATACATACCTGAACCAGCAGGAAGGAGAAAAGGTTGTGTCCTCACTTTAAGGGAATCCACTTCTAGCATACGCTCCCTCACTCTGACTAGCTTGTCTCTATTTCACACATAAGGGTTTCATCCCTAACTTCTGTGTTGTCATTGTATCATAACTTGCTTTAAAGTCCCTAATGTAATTTACTGTATCATTGTCTCTTTTGGTCCCTGTCAGTACTTAGCACCAAGCTCAGTACCCACAGGCACAAAAAAGGTACTTGCTGACTGAGATATTGGGCTAGTTGCAGAATGTCTGCACCAACATAGAGTGCTTGGAAGAAACTGGTTGAATTACAACTGATCCTGACTTAACAATGGTTCCACATTCCAATGGTGCAAGAGTGATATGGACTCAGTAGAAACCACACTTCATTTGGATTTTGAATTTTGATCTTGTCCTGGGCTAGTGATATGTGGCACAATACTCTTACATGAGATATTCAACACTTTACTGTAAAACAGGCTTTGTGTTAGCTGAGTTTGCCCAGCTGTAGGCTAACGTATGTGTTCTGAGCATGTTGAAGGTAGGCTAGGCTGAGCTGTGATGTTCAGTAGGATAGGTGTATGAAGTGCTTTTTCAACTTAATGATATTTTCCACTTACAATAGGCTTATTGGGAAGGATGTAGACCTATCATCATCAGGTGAGGAACATCTGTACACTCAGATATTTATGTTCTGTGTTTTTCCGTCTCCTCTGAGGTGGTGTCTTTTTGGCTCAGTTGAAGATGTGGACCTTTGGATTTAAGGCATGCATTCTAGGGTGTAATCGTTTTAGCTCTGGGAACTATATCTGGTGGTCAGACACTAAGAGACTAATCTAATTATGTTTCCAGATGTGAAGATATGTACCTGCCCATGTAATACTTGCCATAGGCATTAGCTACCTATTTTTCCAAATAGATAAACTCTAGGGCAGACCTTTCCAAATTTAGGTTTTGTATTCTGGAGCTACAGGGAAATTACTTTTATATTTGCTTTATTCTTTAAAAGCAGAAAAGAAATACCCCACTATGATTTTTCAGATCTCCGGCATAAGCCTGTTCTATATTTGGGGAGAGTTACTGTTGAGTATAAGATATCTCTTTTCCAATAATCCATTTGAGATGATAATGTTGTTTTTTTTTTTTTTGGAGACAGAGTTTCACTCTTGTTGCCCAGGATGGAGTGCAGTGGTGCGATCTCGGCTCACTACAACCTCCATCTCTCAGGTTCAAGCGATTCTTCTGCCTCCTGAGTTGCTGGGATTACAGGTGCACGTCACCACGCCCAGCTAATTTTTAATGTTCTTGAATTTAACCATAATTATTCAACAGAGGACCATTGGAAGTAAAATTTGTCCTGCAGACCAGGTTCAATATGCCAGCTGAGGCCACATGTTGGGAAGACACTGTGAGGTGACATCAGCATGGGCTTTGGAATCAAAAACAACTGGTTAGTAATTCTAGTTACACCTTCACCAGGAGAGGAACTTGGGAAAGCCACTTAACTCTTTGAGTCTCAGTTTCTCCCCTATAAAATTTTGACAGTAATATCTACCTTATTTTATGGATTAAATAAGATGAAGTGTGTGTAACCAGAACACAATCATAAAATGACTTTGAGCTTTCCAATCACTGCCCTGAGTTATGTGACATCAAACCTCTTTCTCCAGCTGGGTCATGCCTCCATTCATAACACCTTGGGCAGATTCTATAACTTGAGGGTCACTTCCTGTTACAAAAATTTAGTTAACTTCAAGGTAGCACCTCGATCTCATATCTGATTCAAAACTCTCCTCCCCTATCACAGGTCTGACCCATGTCTCCAGAACTCAGGGCAAGGAGTGGGGAGTGGGCTTTGTTCTTCCACTTTCTGTTCTGGGGAGAGGTGGAAGCAGCCATGAGGTCGCTCTGGTGTAACCTGGGGCTGTCTCTGCTCCCTATGAGTGAGTGTGTGTTTTCCTTGGGGGCCATCTTTAGTGTCATCTCAGCCCCTTCAGGGTCCCCATAGGACTTCCTTTGACACCTGACCACCTGCCCTGGCTCACCCACGAGCCTCTCTCCAGGCTGGGCATCTTGTTATTTAGCCACTACCTGTGGAGCCCACTTCCTGTGTCCCTGGAGTCACCACGTCCTTCCTCCCACCGTCTGGCTCTGGCGCTCCTCCTGTCTGTGTCTCACTCCCTTTGAAGTTAACTTATCTTCCATAACCTGGGAAAGGGGAGATCTTTTGACCTATGACTCAAAATCTAGAAGCAATATAGAAAAATATTTATATATTTGATAATATACAATTTTTAAAAGAGAAAATCTGTATGACAAGAAACACCTCAAGCAAAGAAAAAAGACAAATGGCAAACTGGCAGTAAATATCAGCAACTCACACCTGAAAGGATCAATAGCTCTAATAAAGAAAAAACTTCTGAAAATAGAGAAGACCAACAATCCTATAGAAAAGTGGGGGGCCAGAGAGGAGAAATGCAAATAAAAACTATCCTGAGTTACCAAGTCTTACTATCAGATTAATCAAATCACAAAGTTGAGTAGTACACAGTGAGGGTGGGCTTGGAGAAACAGGAGTTTGTGAAAGTGAAATGAGGTTTTGACAGTGGCTAATAAAATTCTCTATGCATTCCCCTTTTGTTTTTGCAATGTTCTTTCCAGGAACCTATTTAAATATTGACAAGACGCTGGACACAGTGGCTCACGCCTGTAATCCCAGCACTTTGGGAGACTGAGGTGGACGGATCATGAGGTCAGGAGATCGAGGCCATCCTGGCTAACATGGTGAAACCCTGTCTCTACTAAAAATACAAAAAATTAGCTGGGCATGGTGGCGGGCGCCTGTAGTCCCAGCTACTCAGGAGGCTGAGGCAGAAGAATGGCGTGAATCCGGGAGGCGGAGCTTGCAGTGAGCCGAGATCATGCCACTGCACTCCAGCCCGGGTGACAAAGCAAGACTCTGTCTCAAAAAAAAAAAAAAAAAAAAAATTGGCAAGACACCCCAAAAGACATATGCCAAGGAGTATTCACAGCAACATTATTTGTGATGGCCCCAAATGTCCACCAATCGGAGACTGGTGGAGTTCTGTGCAGCTTTCAAAACAAAGTAGGAAGATCTCTAGATCCTACTATGCTGGGTTCTCCAGGATATACTGTCAATTGAAAGAAGCAAGTAGAGAAAAGTAAATACAGGCCGGGTGCAGTGGCTCATGCCTGTAATCCCAGCATTTTGGGAGGCCGAGGCAGGTGGATCCCTTGAGGTCAGGCATTCAAGACCAGCCTGGCCAACATGGCAAAACCCTGTCTCTACTAAAAATACAAAAATTAGACAAGCGTAGTGACACATGCCTGTAATTCCAGCTACTCCAGAGGCTGAGGCAGGAAAATAGCTTAAGCCTGGGGGCAGAAGGTACAGTGAGCTGAGATTGCACCACTACACCCCTCTATCCTGGGCAAAAAAGAATGAATGAGACTCTATCTCAAAAAAAGAAAAAAGAAAATATAGAAAAGTAAATATAATACGCTGCCATTTGTCTAAGAAAGAGGGGATATGAATATATATATATATATAAATAAAACAGAAGGATTGATTATATAATGAATAGCATCCTTATCTTTAAAAGGAAGGAGAAGGTGGAGAGAGCAAGGGTGAAGCTAGATTTCTCTCAATCTACCTTCTACTTCCATGTGATAGAAGGTATGTGAATAAAAAAATTAAAGAAGTAAAAATTCTATAATCCTAGTTTTGTTTTTTTCTAAAAATATAAAGAAACTTATTTCCCACATCCTTTTAAAACCCAATGTTAATGGGTACCTAGTAATTCATTACAAAGATGTCCCATGTGTTACTTAACAAACCTAACTGTGTTTTGGAAGTATCTCAGCTTAACAGCAAAACATTCCGTGGGGAGTCAGAAATCCCAGGCTCTGAGCCAGCTTCCATTATGCAGAACCATAAGATATTACTGCTGTTGGATTCTTTTTGCCCTGCCGAAACAGCAATGCGTAAACTCCAACCTTGTGGCTATTACTCCTGGGACCCTGGGCCAGTGACTTCTGTCGCCTCTCCTGAAAACTCTAGAGGAGTCCTGCCAGGCTCAGGGATGGTTGTGAGGGTCAAAAGAAATGCTGGGCAGCAGGTTTTAGGTGACATATTGTTAGAATCGAGAGGAGGCGGGTCTGCCTGGTGCAATGAGAAGGTATGAGTGTGAATCCTTTGATAACTCCTTGCAGAACAATTCTGAAAATAAGGCATAGGTTCATTCCCAAACTGCACCAGGGCTGCAAGCACATTCTAAATTATACCAGTTATAAAGACAGAACTCTTGCAGTGCTAATGCAATTAAAGGGCATTTGCATGGAATGAGATTTTAGGTTTTTTGTTTTTTTGTTTTTTGTTTTTTTGCAGCACTGTTTAAAGAGGGTCCTTTGAGTTGTATTCTTAATTTGTGTAGTTTTTTTCCCTTTAAGATGATCTGTGCACTTCTCACATTTGAGATGCACTGGCTGGAAAATATTGCAGCAGCCCAGGCAGGGCTTGATTTCAGCCGACGTTTCTCAGGGCCTCCACACTAGGCATGCCTGGGAAATTGCCTTTTGGGACCTCTGCCAGGCCCCCTGGGAAATGGGAGCAGCCATCCTCCAGTGTAGATTTAGTTGTTCAGTGACCCAGGGTGTCCAAAATAAGCAGAGAGAAAGAGCCCTCACTTCTCTTCCAAGCAAGGCAGTGTCGTTTGCACTTGGCTCTGTAATTAGGAGCTACTGGTGAGATGCTTTTTGGAAGTGAGCGAGCCCTTTCAATTTGGCCATTTGTGGTCCTGAATTACAGCTGACTGGAAATTAAAGCTGTAAGCGCAGCCTCAAACCACAGGGAATGGGGCTGAGGGCCTCCCAGCCACCTGGCACAGCTCTGGAATGCTTACAGCACTTGATAACGCTTGCTAGGGGCAAGACAAGGGCAATAAAATGTGAATTAGATGGAGATGAACATGCCATCCGGGGCAGGAAGAAATCCTCAAGCAGATGTGTGTGGAAATTAATGGTACGGTGATAACAAATGTTGAAGCACTGCACAGTGACCATACTGGGGAATCGGCCCCCTGACAACTGTTTGTTTTACAAAGGGCGGGGCCTCCTGTGGATGGAAGGAAAACGTAAGAGGTAATAGCTTTTGAATTTGGTGCAGTTGATGCATATTAAGGAGATCTTCCAGTCTGTTTCAGGAATGCATTTCAATCTGTGCTGCCAAAATCTTTGTTGGCCAGGGTCAATATTCAACTTATTAAAAGAAAAGTCTCATTCTCTTTCCCCTTTTTTCCATTTGCTCCTTCTCCAGATAAAGAACGAGGGTAACTAATGCAGAGAAAAAATAACCACCCTCAACCAGGAGGCCACGCTGCAGAAGGATCCATCTCTCTGAGTTGTCTCTTTACCCTAGGCTGGGTCTGGATGTTCAGAGCAGAGTTTTAGCAGGCATGCTTTGGAGCTCAAGAACAGGGGTCCCCAACCCCCAGGCTACAGACTGGTACCAATCTGTGGCCTGTTAGGAACCGGGCTGCACAGCAAGAGGTGAGTGGCAGGTGAGTGAGTGAGCATTACTGCCTGAGCCATGCCTCCTGTCAGATCAGCCTGGCATTAGTTCTCGAAGGAGCATGAACCCTATTGTGAACTGTACATATGAGGGATTTAGGTTGCATGCTCCTTATGAGAATCTGTACCTGATGATCTGAAGTGGAACAGTTTCATCCCAAAACCACCCTTCCCCACCCCTATACTCCCCCTAATCCCTGTCCGTGGAAAAATTATCTTCCATGAAACTGGTCTCTGGTGCCAAAAAGGATGAGGAACGCTGCTCAAGAACATAAAAGAAGTACAGACCCTAATCCTGGATGCTCGGGTAGGCTGGTGATTGGCTTTTCAAAAGCTTTATTTCTATTAAAGGAGAGAAAATAAAATGAGAAAGATACCACTTCGATGGCTGTAACAAAATTCTAATATTTAAAAGTGATACCAAAATATAGATTGTGTAAAGTAGGGAGCAGATTTCATGGTGGGAAATACAGGGCAGTGAAGTAGAAATAATTGCTGGGTTTGACATTTGAAGACCTAGGTTTGGTTCCTAGCTGGGCCACATTTTAGCGGTCACTATGGTCTTTGAGTACTTCCAGGCTCATCTTATATTTTTCCTGCTCAACACCCAAATTAGCTATTTACCAAGGAATCCTGGTTGCTTTTGATAGAGAGTGATACTTAGATCCGGGTGAAAGAAACCAAGATCTGGGGCCTACATATGCTCATTGCTATGAGGGCCTCAGTGTGTCTCCCTTTCAGTGGAGAGAACTAAGGAATGTATCTTTGGAATCATGGATTTATACTGATATCTTCAATTCAAAGACAATTCAACACAAATACATTGCCGAGTTCTTCCTCAATATCCTCCACACCATATTTGTATCTCTCTTCTTCCTTACTCATTGCTTTATTCTAGGACATAACTCAAAATATTCCAGAATCACAGTATCGATACCAGTACTGACAACAAAACTCCTAAGATCAAGATTTCTTTGCAGGTCTTTTTACCCTTAGAATAAGTCCAACTAAATGTGTATGCTTGGAGCTCAGCTTTTAAGTTACTTAATTCTTTTTTTCTATGTACTTATGTAACCAGTTTGGTAGATAGTATATCATTGTGTTGTGTTTATCCAAGTTTAGAGTGCTTCTAAAAAACTCTTTGATTTAATTTTATTTTTGAATATGTAAAACACATAATTCAAAAGTCAAAACTGGCCAGGCACAGTGGCTCACGCCTGTAATCTCAGCATTTCAGGAGGCCATGGCAGGAAGATTGCTTGAGCTCAGGGGTTTGAGACCAGCCCTGGCAACATGGCACAACCCCATCTCTACAAAAAATACAAAAATTAGCCTGGCATGGTGGTGCATACCTGTAGTCCCAGCTACTCAGGAGGCTGAGGTGTGACGAATGGATTGCTTGAGCCCAGGAGACTGAGGCTGCAGTGAGCTGTGAGTGTACCACTGCACTCCAGCCTGGGAGACAGAGCAAGAACTTGTCTCAAAAGAAAAAACAAAGTCAAAACTACATAAAAAGTGATAGTCATTCCTGTCCTTTACCTCTTACACTCTGAGCCTATCTCACCCCCCAAATTTCACTGGTTTATGATTTAATCTTCCTGCCATCACGGCTAGGCTAGAATCACGGTGTTGGCAGTGCTATCTTCCTTCCAGGTGATGATCCGTTTCCTCGCCTTTTCCAGCTTCTAGAGGCCACCTGCATTCCTTGGCTGTGGCCCCTTCCTCCACCTTCAGAGCCAGCAAAGTCAGGCTGAGTCCTCTTCATGCTGCATTTCGCTGGCTCCCTCTCTTCTGCCTCCCTTTTCCACTTATAAAGACCCTTGCAACCACATTGGGCCCACCTGCCCAAGACAGTCAGCTGATTAGCTGTCTTAATTCCATCTGCAACTTTGATAGCCCTTTGGCATGTAACCTAATATATTCACAGGTTCTAGAGATTAGGATGTGGACATCTTTGGGGCCATTATTCTGCCTGCCGTGGATTTCTGCTATCACATTGGCTAACTACTATTGGTTTGTTTCTTGCAACCACATCAGAGGAGCCAGGAAACCTCCCAGAGGAAGTTTGAGTGTTTTCCCTACACCTGGGAACTGGTGTCAGGAAGGTTTTTGCTCACTCTTAATATCTCTGATGAAGCCTGAAATCCTGCAGGACTTAGCAATTGGTCTTGGAAGAAAAATGGCACCATTGTCAGGGCTGGAAGATGCTTTGTGCCTGAGCCAGCATCTGAGCAGCTGCAAGCATCCTTGTTGCACTCTCTTCCCCTTGAGGAATGAGGACAACGCAGCACCCACAGGTGTCCTCATCCGAAGCTGGGCTATTCTTTTACCCAGCTCAGCTCACTCAAGTTGCAAATCTGTGAATGCAAACTTGGAACGGAATGCCCTAAAACCAGCTTCAGCTAGCCCAAAGTTGGGGAGTAGAAGCGGGGAGGGGGGAGAATTATGACTTAAATTATGATTTTAAATGAACATGAGGTTGCTCTTTCCTTTCCAAAATTTGAAACCTGCCTTGCATTCCTGGCTACAATAAATAAGACTTTTGACATTTTTCTACAAGGTAAAAGGTAGACGTAAGAAGTGTGTGAGGAGATGTGTTCTCCCTCCTGCCCTCCGCCTACACTAGCAGCTCAAGGAGTTCCCTGGTTTCGATTGCCTCATTCCCCACCCTGGGCTGTTCTGTCCCTCAGGCAGGGCCTTGGGGCCTGTGAAATCAGGGGCCCCAGGAGAATCTAACAGGTGGCTTGGCTGAGGGTGTGGAGTCAAGAGGGACCTATGGTGAAGGTTGGCTCATGGAACCCTAATTTAGCTCATAAGGGTCCTTCACTAAGCTCTTCTGACCTGACACTCTATTTCTAGATGTATCCTTCCCTTTCTAGATGCGTCCTTCCCTTTCTAGATGTATCCTTCCCTTTCCTTATTCTCTGTCTTTTTCTGGGATGGGGGCTGAGTTTGGGATGTTAGTACAGACAGTGTGATGGGAGAGATCTTTCTTACTTTTCCAATTATGTTCTCTGTCTCTCTCCCTCTCTGTCTCTGTCTGTCTCTCTCTGTCTCTCCTCTGTCTCTGTCTTTCTCCTTCTCTCTCTCCCCTTCTATGTCTTCATCTCTTTCTCCTCTCTGTCTCTCTCTTTCCCCATTTGCTATCCCTCTCTGCCTCTTTCTCTGTCTTTCTTTCTCTCTGCTTCTCTCTCTCTTCCTTTCTTGTTTTCTTTCTTTCTCAACCTCCTCTGGCTACAAATGAGATCTATACCAGATTTTAAATCCTGCCTTTAACTTTGTGATAAACCACTATTCACTGCTTTGAATTTCAGAAATTAGAAATATTGAGCATATGTCCCCGTAGGCACCAGGGAAAAGCATTTTCTTGTTCACAGAGGTGTCACCTCTTTTTCCTTGCAAAATTCTGCCCTGGAGCAGATCTCATGTGTGGGCCTGAATAAAAATGTGACTAGAAAGTAATAATATGGTCGACTTTTCTTTTTTTTTTTTCCTGATAAGTGAGCGTAGTACCCTTCAGTTAGGTGCTCTGAGAGCCTAAGCATTTATTCCAGTCCACTCCTTTCGGGACATTGAGTTTAGACTCTGCCTCATATTTTGGGGGCAATTCCCAGTACTAACAAATATTTGTCTTTGGGAGTGTTTTTATTTTTGGAACCAACCAAATGCTCTTTAGAGCCCTGGTGAAGGTGGGTGATCTGGCAGGACGATGGCACATTTGGTCAAAAAGACGAAGATGTGACTCTAGTGCTTCTCAGAAGAGGCTACACCCTGCAGGTGGAGGGAGGATGCATAGGAAGATGTGCAATATTATACCTTTATATTTGAAAAAAATGCCTCTTGGAAACTTAAAATAACATTAAAAGGAGGCATAAGAATTTTAGGTATGTGAAAAGGGAACTATCGTTTTTAAATGTTTGAGAAACTGCTTTAAGATAACAAAGGAAATATTCCTGTGTAGTCAGAAAAAGAGCTATGGACACAAGTTTCTGCAAGGGCTCAAGTACATTGCAGCAGCAGGTGGTGGTGAAGCTGCCCCACTCTGAAGCCTGGTATCAGACGCACAGGGTCAGGCAAGCAGGAAATACCAGGACTGCCCACGTCCCCTCACACAAGGTCTCAGCAGGCCTCAGTCCCACTGGGAATTTTAATGGAGCTTGTTAGCTAACCAGGGAAGCCCTGGAGGAGGCCAACCTGCGATGGAGAAGAATCTGGAAACCTTCTAATCTTTGGAAGAACTGAAGCCATTCATAATGTGTGTCTTTAGGAGAGGAGGCCCGTGGGATATTGGCCAGCTGCCTTCAAATATTTGACGGGTTGATGTGAAAAAAAGCTTTGACTTATTCTGTGTATCTCATGGGGGAATACATGAAAAAGAAAGAATGTCCTTTCTTTTTCTTTTCCTTTAACCTGTTTTATTTCAAAAAGGATCAACAGCAACTTACTTACAAAGATTCATATGACCCAACAAGACAAAATGAAATCCCAGCATCTAGATAATAAAATCAAAGTAAAGAGAAAAGAAAGGTTGGAAAAAGACATGAAATAGAAAGGCGATTAGGACACAGAAGGATGTGGTTAAGTGGGTTATAGGTGGGGCTCTAATGTTTTATGATAGTAGAACTAAGTCAACGAATTAAAGAGGGTTGGGCTTGGGGATAAAACTAGGAGAAATTTCCAAATTCTCATTGTCCAGCCATGGGAGAGGTCACCCTGGGTGTGGAAAGGTCCTCAGCATTGCAAGATGACCTGACTTGGCCTCGAATTATGACTATCAGCAACTGGGAGGGGAATCCCATCCTGGAAGGAAGACAGGCTGGGCAGAATGAACTCCCAAGTTCCACAAAAATCGTTGGTTTAGGAATCAGTCTCATTACTGTGTACATTGTGATGGGTTCACAGCCACAGTCAACTTACCATACATGGGTCATCTGAGTGTTGTTGAGGCAGAAAAGATGTTGTATTCCTCAAAGGACCTCCCCTCAATTCCTTTCTGAAACCCATAATCCCCAAGGCAAGTACTTTAATTCCCTGAAGAGAGATAAGGATGGAATGCAAGACCTAAGGACTCACAACACATTTTTAAAAGTTACACTAAGTTGGAGGTGACTGACACAGAGACCTTCCAAAGAGCAGAGGCCATGGGAAATGGAAAAGGCATGTGGCTGCTGGGCCCCGAAGGAGCATCCTTCAGAGCTGCCCCAATCTGATCTCCCATGCCACCAGGATACTTCTCGTACCTGGTCATGGGGACCCTGTTTTTACATGAGAAAATATGGTTTTCACAGTATGGAGATTCCCCAAAGAACTAAAAATAGAACTACCCTTCAACCCAGCAACCCCACTACTAGGTATCTGCCCAAAGGAAAAGAAATCATCATATCAAAAAGACACCTGCAGTCATACATTATCACAGTGGTAGCCACAACAGCAAACCATGGAACCAATCTAAGTGTCCGACAATGGATGATCGCATAAAGAAAATGTGGTATAGGCCATGCGCGGTGGCTCACGCCTGTAATCCCAGCACTTTGGGAGGCCAAGGTGGGCGGATCAACTGAGGTCAGGAGTTCAAGACCAGCCTGGCCAACATAGTGAAACCCCGTCTCTACTAAAAATACAAAAATTAGCTGGGTGTGGTGGCACATGCCTGTGGTCCCAGCTACTCGGGGGGCTGAGACAGGAGAATCGCTTGAACCCAGGAGACAGAGGTTGCAGTGAGCTGAGACCTTACCATTGCACTCTAGCCTGGGCGACAGAGCAAGATTCCATCTCACAAAAAAAAAAAAAAAAAAAGAAAAAGAAAATGTGGTATATATACACCATGGAATAACTTTGTAACCATAAAAAGAATGAAATCATGTCTTTTGCAACAACATGGATGGAGCCGAAGGCCATTACCCTAAGTGAAATAACTCAGAGGCAGAAAATCAAATACTGCATGTTCTCACTTTTAAGTGGGAACTAAACAATGGTATACGTGGATACACAGAGTGGAATAATAGGCACTGGAGACTCCAAAAGTGGGAAGGGTCAGGGTTGTGAGAGTTAAAAAATTACCTACCGAGTACAGTGTTCGCTCTTTGGGTGATGAGTACACTAGAAGTTCAAACCTCAGCATCACGCAATATATTCGTGTAACAAAACTGCACTTGTACTCCTGAATCTTATTAAAATAAAAGTAAATAAATAAACATTTTTTTAAAAAGAAAATATGTTTTCAGTGTTTCAGCAACCAAGGTGTATGCCCCATGGGTCACTGGATGTGACTAGCGTTTCTTTATTTAGGGTACTACCCAGGAAGGCTGAACATGGCCACCTTCAACGTCTGAATCTCTCCAACAACACAGTGAAAGGTTTTTTCCTTGTCTGTCCTGGTCGAAAGAGGAGGCATGGCTCTCCTTAAAGGTGTGACTTGGACCTTGGTTTCCACTATCTTTTGCGCCTCCATCATCACTTGGCCTCTAGGCTTGCCACACAAGAGGATAGAAGGCGTGGCACAGTATGGCCACACCTCTGCTCACACCTCTGTGACCTATTTCCTGCCATAAAAGTTACTATCTCACTAGCTGGCTCCAGCCTTCTTGGAGAACCAACTCTCCTGGTTAACTGCTAAGGGAAGGTGAGGTACAGAGGGCATGGGTGTTGGTGGGAGACCAGGCAGCCACAGAGGTGGCCCCAGTGCTCTGGCTGGAGAAAATGAGAGAAGTTTTGCCTTGCTTCTGAAAGGGAGGAAATAGTGAAAGGAGTTGGCCTGATCTGGTGAACCTGGGGCTTTTCAGGGCAGGGTGAGGGTGCATGATGGGGGAGAATTGCCTGGTGGAGCTTCCAAAGGGGTTTGAGGACATGTACATCTCAGGTTCTATGGAAACTTGCTTGTCTGCATTGGTGTGATATAAGCAATCCTGTTTCCTCCAAATCTTCAGCAGGGTTTATTACATACAAAATTACCACCATCCTGCCAGGTTCCAAGTTGTAAGCAACAGAAACCTATTCTGGCTAGTTGAGGAGCAAATGCATTTGGTAAAGGGTATTAGCTGGATCGAAGAACTCCTGGGGACCAGAGAACTGGGCTGGAGACTTTATGGTAAACGGTCATGCCCAATTCACCCCAGAATGGGCCCGGTGGAGCCCACACTGTGGTCATTTCTAGCATAGATGCTGCAGTATGCACCACCATCTCCTTGGAGGCAGGCCTCCAAGGCCACCTCTGTGGCTGCCTGGTCTCCCACCAACACCCATGCCCTCCGTACCTCACCTCCCCTTAGGGTTAACCAGCCGAGTTACTTCTCCAAGACATCCGGAGCCAGCTGATGAGATAACCTTTATGGCAGGATATAGGCCACCTTGCCTAAGGTCCTGCCACTGCTCTCTCTGAAACCTGTGTGTAGCTGCCACCACCTTCACCAGTGTCACTACCCCTGATTCAGGGTCTCTGGTGATTTCATCTCTCTGTTTCCCTGGGAGACTTGCCTGAGCCCTGGAGGCAAGAGAGGCTAGCACAGCAAACCAGCTCCACAGAGACTCCCAGGTGTTCAAGGTCTCAAATCTAGGAAGGCTGGATTAAAATGCATGATAAATATCTGCTCTGTGACTCTATGTGGAAATCAAAGAAGAAGCTGTATTTTTTTTTCTTTTTAGTCTGAGAAGAACAGAGATTTGGGACCTGACAGTATATGAACAGGAGAAGGAGTAAATCCTGACACACCCCACCACTCCAATTTTCCCAGCAAAAATCTTGGGCAGGGTGTGGACATCCACAGATTGTAGAATGAGGTGTTAAGCATACTCTGACCTACATCTCATGGAATAGATGGGTCCAGGTGCTGTAATCTGATCAACCCCCTTCCAGTAAGAAAATGCCTTAAAACTTCCCTTTGAAAATAAGAAAACTACCTAGATAGAAGAAATTATCCCAGCCATAGGGAACTAGGCAGCATATTCTGTTGCCTCTTATCAGAGTCTGGCCCTAACTGGCTGTGTGTCTGCAGGCAAGCCATTTAGCCTCTCTGGGCTTCTGTTCAATGAAGGGCTCTGGGGGATTTCTATCTATTATTTTGCACTCAGCATTCACAGTTTAGTCCATTCACTTCAGGGAAACTTTTTTCCTGTACTTTTTTGAGATATAATTTATACAAAGTGCACAATGTAGTGTACAGCTTGATGACTTTTTAGGCGCACACACACACACACACACACACACACACACACACACCCCTCATGTAACCACAACCCTGATCAAGATATGAAACATTTCCCACATCCAGAATGTGTCTTTGCGTTTCTTCCAGCCAATACCCCACACTCCAGGTTTAACCACGGTTCCGACCTCTATCACCATGGCTTCGTTTTGCCTGTTCTTGAACTTCATATAAAATAGAATCATACAGTGTACTTTTGAACGTCTGGTTTCTTTCATATATAACATGATACTTTGAGATCCATCCGTGTCATTTTAGGTAGATTTTAAAAACTGCAATTGAAAATTCTGGAATAGAAAATTATTCCTGGCTTTTAAAAATAGACATGCCATGTACAGGAAGGATGGGGAGATTTTCTAGGTCAGCAGAGGGTGCAGCGTTGTCTCCTCTGAGACCGGAGATCTTGATTCAAGCTGCAGAATGTGATTCTGTGGCTGATCCAAAGATTTTATGAACAGTGAGTAAGGCAAGGAGGAAGGGGAGAGGGGAAAGAGCGGGAAGGGAAGGGTGGGTGAGGAAGAAGGCAGGGGTGCTGGGGAGCTGCGGGAGCTTGCGCTTCCTTTTCTGGCATCTACTGTTCTCTCAGATCAAGTACAGTTGTGTAAACAGATCTGTGCCTGGAATGTAAGGAAGGAGGGAGGGGAGCCAAGTAAGTCAGAGACTGCTGGAAAACAGGAAGAACTTGCCTGAAATAGACTAGCTCGTGCCTTCAGGATGGGACTCCTGGAGAAGCCATCAGGCCTGTGAATCAGGCACAGCACAGTAGAAGCACTACCTGGCATTGTGCTGTCCAGGCCTGGGGTGGCACTGTCCCTGTCCGGGCCCCTGTACTAAGTAGTCGAGTATTAATGGGCTGGCAGAGCAACTAGCCAAGCAGAGGCCCCCGTGGCTTAGGGGCTCATCTTTACTCAGCGAGATGAGTGTGGGACTGGCGGGGACTGTCCCTTCCAGTCCCCACTCGTCTTCCCCTCCCACTCCACCCCCAGCCAGCTGCTCTCAGCATCAGGGTGTTGAAAACTTGCATCACACTACATGGAACGTTGTAATTGTGAAATAGTTCATGAGAGATGGAAGGTGGACTTTTACCTTTGAATCTTTGTTCATAAACAAATGGTGCTGTACCCAGTGGGAATTCCACACCATCTCCCAATGCATCCCATCAGTAACAGGTTTTTGCCTCTTTACCTGCGTTTCTCTTAACTGTGATTATTATTTTTTTGAGATAGGGTCTCACTCTGTCACCCAGGCTACAGTGCAATGGCATGATCTCAGCTCACTGTAACCTCTGCCTCCTGGGCTCAAGCAATACTCCTGCCTGAGCCTCCTAAGTAGCTAGGATGACAGGTATGTGCCAGCACGCCCCACTAATTTTTGTATTTTTTTTTGTAGAGACAGGGTTTCACCATGTTGTCCAGGGTGGTCTGAAACTCCTGGGCTCAAGCAATCCACCCGCCTCAGTCTCCCAAAGTGCTGGGATTACAGGCGTGAGTCACCATGCTTGGCCTAATTATTTTAATGAAGTATTAAAAAATTATTTTTTGCTCTGACGAAAGCTGATCTTGTATTCTCCCCCATTCTCTGTTCACTTTATTATTTCCTTACAGGCCTTAAGCAACTGGACACTTCTGTTTACATACTAACAAAGTCCATGGATTCAGGTACACTGAGGAATCAGTTGCTGCTGTTTCCATTAAGACTTTTGGCCTTGAAAAAATATCTTTTAAAAAAATAATTTAGACTTTTTTTTTTTTTTTTGAGACAGAGTCTCGCTCTGTCACCCTGGCTGGAGTGCAGTGGCCCAATCTCGGCTGGCTCACCACAACCTCTGCCTCTAGGTTCAAGCGATTCTCCTGCCCCAGCCTCCAGAGTAGCTGGGATTTCAGGCATCAGCCACCACGCCCACCTAATTTTTTGTGTGTATTTTAGTAGAGACGGGGTTTCACCATGTTGTCCAGGCTGGTCTCAAATTCCTGACCTCAAGTGATCTGCCCATCTCAGCCTCCCAAAGTGCTGGGATTACAGGCGTGAGTCACCACACTCGGCCGTAATTTAGACTTTTATTTTAGATTCAGGGGGCATATATGCAGGTTTGTTATATGAGTATACATGTGTGATGCTTAGACTTGGGGTACAATTGATCCCACCATCCAGGTACTGAGCATAGTACCCAATAGTTTTTCAACACTTGCTGCCTCAGTTTCTTCCCCAGTTTCTATTGTTGCCATTGTTTTGTCCATGAGTACCCAAAGTTTAGCTCCCACTTATGAGTGAGAACATGTGGTGTTTGGTTTTCTGTTCCTGTGTTAATTCACTGAGGATAATGGCTTCCAGCTGCATCCATGTCGCTGCAAAGGACACGTAAAATCTTATCTTTAAAAAAAAATGTCAGCTGGGCACGGTGGCTCATGCCTGTAATCCCAGCACTTTGGGAGGCAGAGGGGGGGTGGATCACCTGAGGTCAGGAGTTCGAGACCAGCCTGGCCAACATGCTGAAACCCCATCTCTACTAAAAATACAAAAAAATTAGCCAGGCATTGTGGCGGGCGCCTATAATCCCAGCTACTAAGGAGGCTGAGGCAGGAGAATTGCTTGAGCCCCGGAGGTGGAGGTTACAGTAAGCTGAGAACATGGGCCACTACACTCCAGCCTGGGCGTCAAGAGTGAAACTCCATCTCAAAGAAAAAAAAAAAGCAACATCAAATCCAGGGCCAGTGAAAAATTGTTTCCAAATTGGCCATGCTCCAATGTGGATTTTTAAAAGTGGAATGAACAACAATGGGACACAAGTATACATCTATTAGAATGGCGAAAATCCCAGAAGCTGACAATGGCAATTTCTGGTGAGGATATGGAGCAACAGGAAGTCTCATTCACTGCTGGTGGGAAAGAGAAATGGTACAGCCACTTTGGAAGACAGTCTGACAGTTTCTACAAAGCTAAGCATACTCTCACTATATAATGCAGCAATTGCACTCCAAAGTATTTACCCGACTGATGTGAAAACTTATATCTGCACAACAACTTGCACTCAAATGTTTATAGCAGCTTTATCGATGATTGCCAAAACATGGAAGTAACTGAGATGTCCTTTAACAGGTGAATGAATAAGCAATCTATGGTATATCCATACAATGGAATACTATTTAACAATTAAAAAGGAATGGACCCTCAGTCCAAACAACAATGTGGATGAATCTTGAATGCATATTGCTAAGTGAAAGGAGGCAGCATGAATAGACTGCATACTGTATGATTTCATTTTATGATATTCTAGTAAGGGAAGAGTTACAGAGATAGAAAACAGATTTATGTTCATCAGGGGATTGGGGAAGAAGAGGGGAGGAATAGGGAAAGCACCCAGAATTGTTTTACAGCCGTGAAATTATTTCATAAGGCACTGTAGTTGTGGAGACATGACACTATGAATTTATCAGTTGGGAGATTGGTAATCCCAGGATGGAATCCAGCCTGTGGCAAAACAATCTAACTGTATTACAATGTGGCATAACCTCACTGAAGGAGGCAGGAGAAAAGGTGATGATCTGAGTAACTTGGAAATGAGTGGAGCCTGCAGGACTAAAGACAAAAGAAACAATACAGAAGTACTATACTCCAGCTGATAAAGTTGTTTCTTATGTGCTTTGGGTTAACAATTTTGATACTTCTCTACATGTATACTTGGATTAAGACTATTAGTAAAAGATGATGGATGGTGGGAGGCAGGTTTCTCTCTATTGGAGTAAATGGTTACAGAAAGCCAAGGGAATGCCTAGAATGAACCATGTGGTTCTCTGTGTGAGACATTAGTCTAGACTCATGTTTAGCTTAACGTAGATACAGATCAATAATTATGGAAATAATTCTGGATATGTGTGCACACACAGGTAGACCCACCCTCATATATTTCCAAACTCTGTCTGCTGAAAGGGCCTAGAATCAATGAACCCTGGTAATGACAAGCTAACTCATCACCCTGATTTTGGTTTCTAATGCCATTAAAGGAACCAGAGCTCCTTGGAGAAATGGCTGAGTTTAAGACTGTGGTGGGAAATGCACCTGGAGATGAACTTGGAACCTCTTATAATCACAGAAGATAAGAAGGACCTCAGAAAACAAAAGCATGTGGCCGGGCGTGGTGGCTCAGGCCTGTAATCGCAGCACTTGGGAGGCCATGGCAGGTGGATCTCTTGAGGTCAGGAGTTCAAGACCAGCCTGACCAACATGGTGAAACTCTGTCTCTACTAAAAATACAAAAACATTAGCCGGGTATGGTGGGGGATGCCTGTAATCACAACTACTTGGGAGGCTGAGGTGGGAGAATCACCTGAACCCGGGAGGCAGAGGTTGCAGTGAGCTGAGGTTGCAGTGAGCTGAGATTGCGCCATTGCACTCCAGCCTGGAGTGGGTGACAGAGCAAGACTCCATCTCAAAACAAACAAACAAAACAAATAGAAAAACCCACAAAAGCCTGGGATTACATCAAAAGAACACAGGAGCCAACAGAAAGGGCTCCCAATGGCCAAACCCAGAACAATTTGAGCAACAAAGTAAATAATGTAATTTGGATTATAACCCAAAGTATAAAATAACAACAACAGTGTGTTTGTAGTTAGATAAATAAGGGATTGAATAGCTAAATACACAGGGTAGAATAGACAAAACTCCTATTCAGAATTTCAAATAATTTATGTAGATACTTGCTTCTCAAAGAGGTGGGACATAACTTCCCACAAGTAACTGTACGCTGAGCCTAGTGACTTCCTTCCAATGAGTACGGTGTGGAAAATGTCAGGGTTGAGACGGAGACTGCCTCAGCCAGGTCATGAAGACTAGCATCAACAGCGACAAGTCATGCTGATGTATGGACTCTTGATGTGATGCAGTGAGAATGGCATTTTACTTCTGAGATCTTCCTCCCAAAATCCTAACCCCAGTCTAATCATAAGAAACATGTCAGACAAAAGTAAATTGAAGGACCTTCTGCAAAATACCTGACCAGCACTCCTTAAAACTGGAGAGGTCACCAAAGACAAGCAAAGTCTAAGAAACTGTCAGAGCCAAGAGGAGCCAAAGGAGACACGACAACTTAATATAATATATCCTGGATGGGATCCTGGGACAGAAGACAGACATTATATAAAAACGAAGGGGGGGCTGGGCAAGTGGCTCATGCCTATAATCCCAGCACTTTGGGAGGCTGAGGCGGGCAGATCACTTGAGGTCAGGAGTTCGAGACTAGCCTGGCCAACATGGTGAAACCCCATCTCTACTAAAAATACAAAAATTAGCTGGGCATGGTGGCAGGCACCTGTAATCCCAGCTACTCAGGAGGCCGAGGCAGGAAAACTGCTTGAACCCAGGAGGCGAAGGTTGTAGTGAGCCAAGATCACACCATTGCACTCTAGGCTGGGCAACAGAGCGAGACTCCGTCTAAAAAACAAAACAAAACAAAAACGAAGGGAATCTGAGTAAAGCCTGGACTTAATTAATAATAACTACGCGTCAGTGTTAGTTCATTAATTGTGACAAATGTGCTATAGGAATGTAAGATATTAACAATAGGAGAAACTGGGTGTGGGGCTGTAAAAACTCTCTGTGTTTGCTTTGCAACTTCCTGTACATCTAAAACAATTTTAAAATATAAAGTTGATTTAAAGTGGAATGGATAAATATAGCTAACATTTATGCCAAGGTAAAGAAAAATTTTTTTCACCAGAAATTCTCTGAATTGTGTCAAAAATCTAACAATGAATTTGGAAGATGTGTTTGATGAGTGCTTCTGGAATCCAGGCTGAGCCTCCATGCTCCCTACTGCAAAAGGCGAAACCTCATCCCCTAGATATGAGATAAAAAGAAGGATATGTTTTGTACAGGATAAGTTTTGCTCATGAAAGGAATGCAAATAAGAATTGGGAGAGGGAAGGCCCAGGAAGTCAAGCGGAGAGTGGTAGGAAAATTGTGATGAGATGTGAGAAACCTTCCTTCTTCAGCAAAGCCTCCTTAATCAATCAAACTCTTGGTGGGTGTGAATTTTTAAAATTTTAATAGAAAACTGATGAAGAGGCTGAGTTTTGCATTGGGGTAAAGAAAGAGGAATTTAAGAAGTCAAAACTTTTAAGCCATTTTATTTAATAAAGACCTACAAGGATTGAAGTTTTTTGGGAATTAACAGAAATACTCAGTAGGGCAACTCAACCCTGGTCCTGGGATGGAGGATTTCAAGGCAATGGGACCTACCTGTCAAGGCGCAGAGAGGAACACCAGGTGACGTCTGGAGAGATGCTGATTTAAATTGTTGACTCAAACTGAAAATTATCTTAATAACAAAAAGTTGAGTGCTATCTCAGAACATTGGAGGGTTAGTTACTAAATCAAGAGCATCATGCTGAATCACTGCTACTGCTTCTCTCCCTCTTCCCCTACCCTCTGAAACCATGGTCAGACACTGGCAAAGTTGTGAAGCAGTCTAGGGTCATTTCTGGTTTTCTTTCCCCAGCCCACCTATTTTCAATGACCTTCTCCCTTCACTATCCTTTCAAACTCCATCTCTACAAGGTTTCTTGCATCTGTAAGTCATGAACACCATAATACCAACAGCTAAGTTCCAATGGCATTTGCCCTAAAAAACAAACTCAGGGGAAAGAAGCAAATCAAGTAATTTCTAAGGCTTTTAGGCTCTGTGGTTTTAACTTGCTCTGGGAAAGGTATTCTGAGTACGCTGTTGGTATTAAAATCATACATGATTTTCTCACTCATAAGTGGGAGCTGAACAGTGAGAACACATAGACACAGGGAGGGGAACATCACACACCAGGGCCTGTTGGGGGGTGGGGGCTAAGGGAGAGATAACATTAGGAGAAATACCTAATGTAGATAATGGGTTGATGGATGCAGCAAACCACCATGGCACGTGTGTATACCTATGTAACAAACCTGCACGTTCTGCATAATGTATCCCAGAACTTAAAGTATAATAATAATTTAAAAACTCATGCATGAATGCAACATTCCTCCAAGCGTGGCTCCTGGACCGAAAGCATCAACGTCACCCTGAAATGTGTTAGAAATGCCAAGTCTCAGGCCCTACCCCAGACTACATGAGTGACTTGAGGGCGGGCCTCGGAATCTGTGTCTTAGACTCTCCAGGTGATTCTGATGCTGTCCTAAGTTTCAGAAACACTGATTTTGTGAGTCCCAATTCTTCCCCACAAGGCCAAAGAGTGGGGTGGCTGTTGTGCACTGTGAGCAGCTCTGAAAGCTAATTGCAGGTAAGAATCACCTGGGAACTTAAAAAAAAAAAGCTTTCCTTGCTTGGGCCCCATCCCCAGAGGCTCTGATTTATGCACTACTTTTCAAAGGCCCCCCAGTGGTTAGAATCTGCAGCCAGCGCTGAGAACCCCTGCTCCAGGATCCAATCCCAGGCCTTATCTTTTCCTCCAAGGTCCCTTGCTCAAACTTGAGCTATGAAGGGCCAGCATCAGAATCCCCTGGAGGCCTTTTAAAACTACCTCAGGTCTCTGATCCAGGAGGTCTGGGGTAGAATCCAAAATTTGGCATTTCTAACAAGTTCCCAGGTGATGCAGAGGCTGTGGGTCCAGTGACTCCACTTTGAGAAGCATTGATGTAAGGTTCAGATCTGAGTGAACACTCAGATGTCTGCCTGTCAGCCCCACTGCCATCCGGCCTGCCCCCATGTATACATAGAGGGACTTTGAATGAGCAGCAGTTGGATTTGCTTGGAAATATGAAAAAGCTGGAAGGGCCTCCATGCACTTCCTCATGAACACGGGAGCCTGTCCCCTTCCAATCTCCACGTCGGCTCCTCCCCTCACCTCCTGCATAGCGGGGTCAGCTAAATAATGGTTCCCAGAGGTGCATGTTCTAATCCCTGGATCCTGTGAATGTGCCATTATATGGCAAAAGAGACTGCAGACGTGATTCAGGATCTTGAGATGGGGAGAGGAGCTTGGATTGTTTGACGGTCCCTAAATGCAATCACAAGGGTCCTTATAACAGGGAGGCAGAGGGAGGTCTGACACAGAAGGCGATGATGTCACCACTGATGCAGGATGCTCCACTGCTGGGTTAGCGGAGGGATGCTGAGCCATGGACCAAGAGGCCACGGAGCAGGCTCTCCCAGACAGCCTCCTGGGGGAGCACAGCTGTGCCCACACTTTGATTTGTGCTCAGGAAACTGACTTCGGACTCCTGACCTCCAGAACTGTGTAAAGAGATGTTTTATGCTACCAAGTCTGTGGTAATTTGTTAGCAGCCACAGGAAACTCTCTCTCCTCTCTCTCTGTCTCTCTCTCTCTCACACACACACATACGCATACACACACACACATATTCTCTCACACACACAGCAAAAGGAGCAAGAGGCCATGGGAGAAATCGGAAATCATATATGAGTTTGTCCAACATGTTTTCCTATAACTCACTTTCTCTCCACAATCCTGTTAAATAAGCGAGGAAGTAGTAGTAGCAATAGTGTACCCATTTTACAGGTGAGGAAGCAGTTTTGGCCACTGTCCATTGCTAGCAGATAGGCGATTTGGGACTCAAACGGAGAATCTGAGGCCCTGTGTCCTGTTTTGTCAAGCTCCGCCCCTCTGCTGTTTCAGCACATCCCCAGAGTCCATTTCCTTTGCTGAGAATAACGACTCACTCTCTGCTGGACACCTGCAAGGAATTACTCCAGTGCCTCCCTCGCTAACCTGTTGTTCATCACTCCCTCAGTTGGCAGGAATTAAATCACTGCTGCTCAGAAATTGCCAGGACATCTGCTTACCATCACTGTCCCCAGGGAACCAGGCTCTCTGACATTGCAGCCACCACTCTCCTTAGCCAGGGCCCTTGAATGCTTTTGGAGACATTTAGAAAAGGAGTTGGCACAGAAGCATAATGCTGGATGAAAACTGCCATTCAGAAGACTTCGCCATTCAAGACTGCTGAGCCTAAGGGTTTCAAACACGTCTCCCCACCCGCCAGTCATTGCTTGTCCTGATTCAAAGAGACTTGAATCCATCCAAGGAGCTGGATAGAGAGCAGCTTGTCGTTGGTCAGACGTGGTCTTTTTTGCAGTCCAGGCACTGGGACAGAAGCCAGCAAGCAAACTGATCTCAAAGGTAAAGTGGTAACATATGGGCTTCCTAGGGGGACGTGTGTCTCAAACACTGACAGAGTTGGCCACATTCTGCAAAGCAGAGGACAAAATCCATTTGCCACAACAGACTGTTAGAGGTGTTGGTTGAGTCACCTGGACTCACCCACCTTCCAGATCGGGGGCTTTTTACCTGATTGTGGGAACTTGGCCAGTTAAGAGTGTAACAAGATCTAGGTGATCAGAGAGCTATCTTAAGAGCAAGAAAGGGCCAGGCGCAGTGGCTCACGCCTGTAATCCCAGCACTTTGGGAGGCTGAGGCGGGTGGATCACAAGGTCGGGAGTGTGAGACCAGCCTGGCCAATATGGTAAAACCCTGTTTCCACTAAAAATACAAAAATTAGCTGTGTGTGGTGGCACACACCTGTAGTTCCAGCTGCTCGGGAGGCTGAGGCAGGAGAATTGCTTGAACCCGGGAGGCAGAGGTTGCAGTGAACCGAGATCACGCCACTGCACTCCAGCCTGGGCAACAGAACAACACTCCATCTCAAAAAAAAAAAAAAGAGAGCAAGAAAGGCAAAAACAGCTTCTTGAGGTGGGAGCAAGGGCAAGATTGCTTCATGGCACATCTTGGAGAATGTTTGCTTGTGGATGGCCCTGTGCCCAGCTCTGGTTTCTTTCTGAGGAGTACCAAGGGGAACAGCATTCGAAATTGTCTATTAAAAGCAAAACAGAAAAGTTCTTGCAGTTAAAGTTCATATTTAGGCAGCATTTCTGTTTAATAGCATGTGGTATTTTATAGGCTCTATGCTCTTCAATTGACATTTGAAACAGGTCTTAGAACATCAAGGCTCTTGTACCTGGGGAAGAAAAGTGTGACAGAGAAGGATGTGTGTCATATTCCAGTGCACTTTGAGACTGGATGAGCACAGCTGTGGTGTGTGCACCAGCCTTGCTTTGATCATAGAAAGCTCTGATCACAGGTCACCCTCACTAGCAGCAGACATAGTTGTGAAATTGATGTCACATCTGTCACTTCATGTGATCTCCCAGCAACTCCATGAGGAAGGCCAATTTCCCTCATTTTGTGGATGAGGAAACAGTTGTTTTTTTGGTTTTTTGTTTTTTGTGTTTTTTTGAGATAGAGTCTCACTCTGTCGCCCAGGCTGGAGTGCAGTGGCGTGATCTCGGCTCACTGCAACCTCCACCTCCTGGTTCAAGCAATTCTCCTGCCTCAGCCTCCCAAGTAGCTAGGACTACAGGTGCACGCTGCCATGCCCGGCTAATTTTTTGTATTTTTTTCGTAGAGACGGGGTTTCACCATGTTGCCCAGGCTGGTCATGACCTCCTAAGCTCGGGCAATCCGCCCGCCTCGGCCTCCCAAAGTGTTGGGATCACAGGCGTGAGCCACAGTACCCGGCCAACAGTTTTTAAGAAACTTGCCCAAGGTCAGCTGCTAGAAAATGGCAGGGCTGGGATTTGAACCCAAGAGCCTTGGCCAGAGCTCTGATCCACTCTAACGTACCATGTCCATAACAAGCACAGGCTTCCCTCTCGCTCTCCTCTGATCATTACTGTCTGCATTTGAGAGTTAGGTAAGAAATCTAGACTGTCTGCCCTCAGCCCCACCACTCACACTCCACTTTCTTTTCATCAGAGGCTATTTGACTCTGAGAAAAAGAGTGAAAGAAATGAGCCAATGAAAAGTTGAAGAACTCACCCAAAGCCATCCAACTACACAGACTCCAATGGTTTGGCTCCAAAGCCCAGACTCTTAACTGCTATGCTAAATTAGGGATAAAAATAGAGCCTACGATTTGGGTTATTTTTCACTTTTAATGAGGAAAATGTGTTCCAAGTTTAATGCCTGCCACAAAATAGGCTCTCAATAAACACCATCTATTATTATTGCTACCACTAAATATTAATTAACACAAGATTGCCGTGCTGAACACTACTGGGTTTTTCCTCTCTTCTATTTCTGCTATAACATGTCACTTTTTATTGCTTTCTCTGTCTTCCTACATTTTAAGATTTTACTTTATTTTACGCACAATTCAAAGGCCTCATAGAAGGGACACATCTTGACTTGTCTGTTGGGGGCCATGTTTGTACCTGGTAACCCAGTGTACTGGGACTAGGGGTTGACCCATGACTCATCATAAATCAGGTTGAGCTAATCAGATTCTCTCTCTCAGGAGTTTGGAATCAAGAATATGAGATACTGAGAGAAGATGGTTGCTTGACCTGAGGTCTCCTAGAATTGGATAAATCAAAGCCACCTTTACACCAGAGCTACGGTGGAACAGAGAAGCCACCACTTTGCCAGGAGAGATGCAGAAGAATGAAGCAGATGTGGGCAGAGAAGAGAGGTCATTCAAGGTGAGGGAGTAGCTTCAATCTTCAGAGTTCAGTTCCATGAAAAATAGGTGAATTCTAAGAGCTTGCCTGGAGTAAACTTCAGCTAACTTCCATTTCACTTGAGCTAGTTTGAGTTTGAGTGCGTCTCTCTTTCTTGCAATAAACCTAACATTAGCTCTGCCTCTCCTGCAGAGTAAACTCCTGGAGCCCCATGAGGGCTCTTTGACAGTGGCCCTCAAATAAAGATCTACAGCCCCCCACAGAGATGCACAGACACTTGGGGATCTGCAAAACTGAGCTATTCTTATAATAATAAGATGTTACTTATAATAATAAGATGTTATATTATTCTTATAATAATAAGATGTTACCATTCATGATGTTACCAAATCATAAATGGTAAAAGATCTATTCAAAGTGTGAGGTGGATTTATGGATTTAATGTGACATATGAAAAGTTATTGATACAATTTGAAATTTCTCATTCCAACCAACATTTAAGAAATTACCACTTTTAAGCTTTGGTGTAGTATCAAAGAATATCCACAATTATCTGGAAAGGAGCATCTAAAATACTCTTCCCTATACCAACTACATAGCTAGTACGGATGGATTTTTTCATGCACTTCAGCAAAAACAACAGATGGAATGCAGAAGGAGAGATGAGAATCCACTTGGCTTCTGTTGAACCAGATATTCAAGATATTTTATTGCTTTAAATGAATTCACAAATACTTTAATAGTATCTCAGTTTTGGGCCAGGCGCAGTGGCTCACACCTGTAATCCCAGCACTTTGGGAGGCCAAGGCGGGCGGATCACATAAGGCCAGGAGTTTAAGACCAGCCTGGCCAACATGGTGAAACTCTGTCTCTACTAAAAATACAAAAATTAGCCGGGCATGGTGGTGCAATCCCAGCTACTCAGGAGACTGAGGCATGAGAATCGCTTGAACCCAGGAGGCAGAGGTTGCAATGAGCCGAGATCACGCCCCTGCACTCCAGCCTGGGTGACAGAGTAAGTCTCTGTCTCAAAAAAAAAAAAATCAGTTTTAATTTTGAATATTATAAGTATAGATAGATAAAAGGCTCTTTGGGCTTCTCGATAATTAAGAGTGTAAAGAGGTCCCAAAACCAAAAAGTTTAAGAATGACTACTCTAGTCCAACCACTCTCATGACTCAGTAGAACCTTCTGCAGCATTCCTAACAGTGGTCACTTAGTCTCAGTGCAATCTTTTTCTGGAATAGGAAGTTTATTCTTTTTCCAGTGATCCCATTCTATACATTGACTTGAAGTCTGTGTCCTTGTAACCATCCCCTAGTAGTCCCACTTCTAGCCACAGAAATTGGGCACAGTGATGTCTTCCAGGCATCTTCACCTATTGGAAGGCAGCCATCTGGCCTTCCCGTTCTTAGAGAAAGCTGCCCAGCTCCTTCGGCCTCTCTCCTCTAACTTGGTTAGTGAACCCTTCATCATCCACTTGCCCATGTTTGTACTCATTTCAGGTTTCACTGTGCCAAGCGCCTTTCTTTTTTATTTCTTCCAAGGTTAAGTGTATTTTTCAGATAGCTGATGTTTTTACAAACCTGGCCTGAGAAGAGTTGAGAGCCCCTGCAGTAATGTTATGCATAGCAGATTCAGCTATGCAGTTCTGTGTTTTGTTACTTCTTGGTATATTTCCATGTGCATTTGTGAGCACCCTCTCCGTTTCCTGCAATGATACACTTGTGACCTCCTCCTTTGCCCTCCCTGATCTCTTGTCTTTACCCTCGCCTCTCCTGGGAAAGGGAAGACTTCTCCAGACCCACATGAGGCAGGCCTGTACTTGCCAATGAAGCCCATGACAGATAGGTGAACCCCACCCAGGGTTTCAGGATTAGCAGCCCACTGGTTGCCCCCAACCCCTCTTCTCCAACTTTGCATTTATTTGTAATGAGGATGATATTTTGATCATATGTCTGTCTCCTGTGTCTGTCTCCCGTGTCGTCTCATACACAGACAAGGAAAGGGATGTTACTTATTGGTTTCTCTGAAATTCTGATTTTTTTTCCTTAAATTATAGGCTTAAAAAGCTAATCTAATCTGGCTGGGCATGGTGGCTCATGCCTGTAATCCCGGCATTTTGGGAGGCTGAGGCGGGCGGATCACGAGGTCAGGAGTTCGAGACCAGCCTGGCCAACATAGTAAAACCCCATCTCTACTAAAAATACCAAAATTAGCAGGGTGCGGTGGTGCATGCCATAGTCCCAGTTACTTGGGAGGCTGAGGCAGGAGAATCGCTTGAACCCAGGAGGTAGAGGTTGCAGCGAGCGGAGATCGGGCCACTGCACTCCGGCCTGGGCAACAGTGTGAGACTTTGTCTCAAACAAACAAACAAACAAACAAAAAACCAAACTAATCTAATCTTTGAATTAGCAAACTTTAAATGATCATAAACTCACAAAGACACAGGCTCTGGTGTCAGCCTTGACCATTGATAGACTCCTTGGGACGGATGTTTAGGGAGTTAGTTCTCGTATGGAAATGAGAGCACTTTAAAAAGAAGATACATTTGGTAAGAGGAGAAACATAAACTGTCCTAGGAGTGGGGGAGACAGAGCTGGGGAGGCAGAGGACAAGGGCTCTCCCTGCCCGTTGAGAACAAGACCTGTGACACATGTCCACACAGAGACAGCCATCTGGAGGCAGCTGAAATAGAAGTGCTCTATTATTTGACATTCAGTCCTGCCTTCTTTACACTGAGAGACTGCCTTTTGACCTTCGAAAACTTCCATCCCTGATGTGCTGCAAGGGTGACTTTATGCATTCTTTTTTTTGTTGTTTTTTTAACTTTTATGATTCCTGAGATTGTAGCAGCCACTGAATTTCCTATGCTGAGGCCAAGCCATCAAAGCTTGATCCAAGATACTGACCTGAAAACAGCCTGGCCCTTGGATACAGAGATAGAGGGCAGATTTGTGAATATCGGGCACTTTAAAAAGCATGAATATGTAAAATCACAGGTTGTCATGTGAGAGTGAAAAGGAAGACTGAGAAGAGATGGCAGTCAGGACAAACCCTACTGTATAAAAATCAAGTGAGGTGGAAACGAGAAGATGAAAGTCGATTGTGGCAACAATAATCACAAATAAATAGGAAGGTAGAATATAAAGAGAATCTAGCCTATACCATGAAATCTCTTATTCCCATTTATCATCTGAGGAGATTACAGAGGCACCCATTTAATGACTTTTTGCAATTTGTGCTCTATCTTGATTTTAACTGATTTCCTAGAAACCCTTGGTAGACTCACATATCACTTGCTGTCAAATGAGTCTTCAAGAACAAATGCCGCTCTGGCCAATGTTCTGTACAATGTACTAAAGATAGTTGTGTGACTATTTGAGAGGCACACATTGGCTCTCTGGCAGTCTTGGGCATTCTCCGTGCAAAAACTGCAAAAATGATTTAGCGCAGTGTTAGCAGCAGCCTGACATTTTCCTCACCAGTGATTGTAATGTGACCTTTTGGGAGGCTGCATTTGCCTGAGGGAGGGAAGTCTCCTGGGACTTCACAGAGATTGCAATAGATTGATTATTGTTGGGGACAGTGATGCTCGCCTCATAATAACTTATTAGTCTCCCGCCATCTCCACTGTACTTCCCTGGTACAATTTCCTTCCAGGCTTCAGGAAGGTATTAAAAAGGTTTAACGTAATTCAGAGTAGGTTCAAAAGTATTTTAAAGTTCAAACGGAACTATCTGAAAGCAAAATTCCTTATGCAACAGTGGAAAAATGCAGGCTTGGTGTTGGAAGGCCTGGCGGCCATTTTTATATGTCCCCTACTGTGGGGCTCTGGGTCTCAGGCCCTTCTTGGGTCAAACAGAAATAATGGAGCCTGCTTCACATAATGACTGTAGACAGTAAACTAGAGAATACGGTTTTGCATGCCTGGGACAGGGTGGGCACTTAGAAGACCCTCCGTTCTTTTCGTTCCCCGTCTCTCATGCCTTCTCCCTCCCTCTGTCTCACTGATGATCCAATCAATTATGCAGCCAGATTAAGCTGACCCTTCATTTAATCAAACAAATGGTTGGTATCTCTGCTTTACATAAAGTATCATAATAGCAATAACTAATGTTTATATCCTGCCATGTGCTTTAGGTTATGCCTTCAAACACATGATCTACGATTGGGTATTTTGCCTACACCAAACAAGCTAAAGCTTAGTGCCATCGCATGCCACACCCCCTCTTAGGAACTCAGATATGCATAATGAAGCCATCCCTAATCTTGCCAGCTCATCTTGTCAATGTGATTTAGTGGGTGTGAATGCCAAAAGTGCCAATAAGTGAGGAGTGTGGCTTACCAGGGAGTCAGCCCTTTTGACAATGCGGTGTCTTCTTGGCACAGTGTTGAATTACAATTGCTGGTTCTGGCCAGACGATAGTGTGGTTGGAATCTGTCTCTGGGGTCCTCCTCACTCTACTCCTTCATGGATCTCTCCATTTTAGTAATTAAGGTGTTCATGCTTTTTCCTCTCAGGAAAAGAAAGAGGGATAAACACTTTCATACTGAAGAGTTAGTAAGTTAATGACTCATCCTTACCAGGACTAGAACCAAGCCCTCTTCATCTTCATCCTATTTCCAGGTTTCTGTAAATGTCAGTGTTTTTCTAAGTTCTCTTCTAGACACAAGACTTGCCACCGTCTCCCAGGGTGAACATCCTCATACCATCTCCCGGGGTGAACATCTCCACATCTGGAGTCGAAGATCTCCTAAGATCACCTCTGGCCAACTCTTTCTCCTGAGCTCCAGGCCTACCAGTAGATATCCAACTGCCCATTGGCGGCTCCTCTTGGGTGTCACTAGCCCTGCAAATTCAATGAGCTATCACATGTAGCTCCACTCCCGTCATCTTCTGCTGTATGAATGTGGCATCATCCACCCAGATGCTAAACCAGAAACCTAGAGACCATCTCACTCTGCCCTCTGTCTTATTTTCTACAACCAGTCACCAAGTCTTGTCCATTCTTCCTCCTAAGTGTCTTTTGAGCTCTGTTCACATCTCTCCATCCCTGCCAACACTGCCCTAGTCAAACTTTCGTCATCTCTCACCTGGAATATTACAGTGACTCCCAGTTAATCTCATTGCTTCCTGTCCAGGCAATTCAAAACATAATAGGAACCGGGCATGGTGGCTCACTCCTATAATGTCAGCATTTTGGCAGGCTGACACTGGGGGATCGCTTGAGCTCAGGAGTTGGAGACCAGCCTGAGCGAAATGGTAAAACCCAGTCTCTACAAAAAGTACAAAAATTAGCCAGGTGTAGTTATGCACACCTGTAGTCCCAGCTACTAGGGGCTGAAGTGGGAGGATTGCTTCAGCCCAGGATGTCACGGCTGCAGTGAGCCATGATTGCACCACTGCACTCCAGCCTCAGGGACAGAGCGAGACCCTGTCTCAAATAATAATAATAATAATAGTAATAATGATAATAACCACAGTGATTCCCCTCCCCCCATACCTCCTTAGCCTGACCCTCTAGCACGTGAATTTGCTACTTAGCAGTTTATTTCCAATATATCTAATTAGTTCTTGTTTGAAACCTTCCTTTATTACTCTGAGGATATAAATTGTATTTATTTTAAAGCACTGTTCTATGTGTTCTATTAACTCAGTTTCCCTAGGTGTAAGATTTTCTGTTAAGTTTGTTGTCTCTCATGGTGACGGTCACTTTCAAATTGTTTATGATTCTTGGCTGTAGGCTCAACTTTACCCTTGGAAGTCCCTGCTAGGTTGGTCACCCCCTCTGTGCCCAGCATGGAGGGAAGGCAGAGGAATCTGCTGGGGTTTATGGCACACGCTGTCTTCAGGAACAGCAGAAGACAGCCAGGCCAGGTCACTGGGCTAGGGTGACCCATTCCTTGCAGTCTATGTCAGACACCAGGTGCGGCCCCGTCTCTCTGACCCAGGCACTGCTGGATGTGGTAACAAACACTCTTTGCCGAAGCCTAGCTCATGTCAGGGTGTGTGATGCTGGAGTGGACCCACCTTGGCAGTTCTGGCTGTGGAACCCCAGAGACTTTCCCAGGGCCTCCTCCTGGCTTCTACCCATCTAGACCATTGGTGTGGCTTCCACCTTCTGTGTTTGTACTTTTCTGTGGCAGCCAGTGCTGCCATTAATCCAATATCCTTTGCTCCTAATCTTGGAGCCTTTTCGATATCTTAATATCTTCTGAGGAAGAGACATTTTTATTTTAATGGAATTCAGTATGTCATTATTTTTTCTCTTATGGTTAATGCTTTTTGTTGCCTAAGCAGTATTTTCCCTGCCCAAAAGTCCTGAAGATTTTCTCCTACTTTTTTTTCTAAAAAATTTAATTTTTTTCTTTTTAATTTAAGACTCTTATCCAATTCAAGATAACTTTTGTGCTGATTGTTTTCCCATCTGAATAACCAGTTTTTGTAAAGCCGTTTGTTGAAAAAATGATTCATTCCCCCACTAAATTATCTTGGCACCTTTGTTGAAAATCTACATCTCTATGTTGGTTTATTTCTGGACACTCATTCTGTTCCACTGATCTACATGTGTATTCTTACAGCAGTACCACGCTGTCTTGCTTACATAGCTTTGTAATGCATCCTGAACTCAGCTAAGAGTTCCAACTTCCTTCTTCATTTTTTTTTTTTTTTTTGAGACAGAGTCTCACTCTGTTGCCCAGGCTAGAGTGCAGTGATGCTATCTCACCTCTCTGCATACCAGGTTCAAGTGATTCTCGGGCCTCACCCTCCTGAGTAGCTGGGACCACAGGCACGTACCACCACACCCAGCTAATTTTTGTATTTTTAGTAGAGACGGGGTTTCACCATGTTGGCCAGGTGGGTGTCGAACTCCTGACTTCAGGTGGTCCACCCCACTCAGCCTCGCAAAGTGCTGGAATTACAGGCATGAGCCACCACACCCGGCCCACCTTCTTTTTAAATTTTTTTTGGTTATTCTGGATTAGTTGCATTATGTTATCAGGTTTAGAATTATGCTGTCAATCTGTATATAAAAGCCTTATAGCGTTTTGATTGGGATGGTGTTGACTCTATTCACCACTTCACAAGGAGTGTGAGAATCTTTCCACAATACACTTTCATTTCCCCTCCCACTGTTTGCACTATGGTTGTCAAACATTTTATTTCTACATATAAGCCCCATGATATTGTTATTTTCATGTTAAACTGAACATTTTCTTGTGAGAAAGTTCTTTAAAGAGAGAAAATAAAGTCTTTACCCACATATCTACCATATCTGATGCTTTCCATTCCTTTTTCATGATCTGAGTTTCCCTCTACAATCAATTTTCTAAGAAGCCGGAAGAACTTCTTTTAATATTTCTTATAGTATTCTTACCTGCTGGGAAAGAATTATCTCCCTTTTTGTTTGTGTGTGTTGTGAGTGTCTGGGTTTTGTCATCTTCCTTTGAGGAGCATTGAGTTCTGCTTTGGCAATCAGCTAATTTACTTGCAGATCAGTTCGATAAAAGAATCCTCAAAACAAAGTCTTGTTTTTTAAGGATTGTTACTGTGGGTCCAGAGTGGCCTTTATGCCAGTTTAGTTTAGTTCTACCAACTGCCCTGATCAATCTGGGTCACTGTTGCCTGCTCCAAATACTCAGTGATCTCTCTCTATTTTGGCTGATCAGAGCAGATGTCTCTAAGCCTTGTGCAAAGTTGGGGTGTTTTTCAGCTTATAGCTCCCTGGTAGCTCTTCCCACAGCCCCAAGGAGGCTCACCTTCCATGTACGTTCTTAGTATTCAGCAACAGACTCAAGTGGACCCCTATGCAACATTCTTGAGCTCTTTCATTCTGTAGCTCCCTCTTCTCCAGTCCTTTGTTCTGGAAATCCTAACTACTTCATCCTCACCGAACTCTAAGCTCTGTCTCCTCGTGTCAGTGAGATTGCTGCCCTCTTTTTGGGTTCCCCTCCCTGGCCCACAGTCTCACAAATGGCTCCAAGCAGGAAATGAGAAGGTTGTGGGGCTCCCTCATTTATTTCCTTTCTGTCAGGGAGCAGTCCCATGCAGGTTGTTGTCCAGTGTCCAGGAACAATTATCTCCCATGTTAAGTCCAGTTTTCTAGTTCTTTATGACAGAAGAGCTTGTCTGGTAGCAGTTACTTATCATGCCTGGAAGCAGAGGTACCTGTAATATCTCAAATAAGCCTGTAATCCCAGCACTTTGGGAGGCTGAAGGAGGGGGGGGTGGATCATGATGTCAGGAGTTCAAGACCAGCCTGACCAACATGGTGAAACCCCATCTCTACTAAAAACAAAAAATACAAAAATTAGCCAGGCGTGGTGGTGCATACCTGTAATCTCAGCTACTCAGGAGGCCGAGGCAGGAGAATCGCTTGAATCCGGGAGGCGGAGGTTTCGGTGAGCTGAGACTGTGCCACTGCAGTCCAGCCTGGGCGACAAAGCAGGATTCCATCTCAAAAAAAATATATATATATATATATATCTCAATCTCACATAAGTGCCATATATATATATATATATTATATATATATATTTATATATATATAATATATATATATATAAAATATATATATATATAAAATATATATATATATATATATATCACATAGGTGCCATAGCTTGAGCAGTGTCTGCAGCTCCATGGTCTGATCCCTAAGGACAGACAAATGGTTGACATCCTACCCCATGCAAAGCACAATGCCAGGCTCCATGGGGCATTAAATATTGTGAATTAGTTGTGATGTATAAACACATAAATGTGCAAAGTAATTTCTTTGACTATTAGAATTTTGTTAAAATCTTTAACATACTATGGGTTGAGCATCTCTACATTATAGTTAGAGCTACTTCCCAACACTATAGTTTTAATTACCATCACATAAGGTTTTCTCATTAAGGTTTTGTTGCTGTTGTTCTGTGTGTTTGTGTGTGTGTGTGTGTGTGTGTGTGTGCTTATAATGGAATTTTGATTGTGTACCAGTGCAGTACATTTTCTACACAAAATCTGCACAATAATGGGTTGGGTGCGGTGGCTCACGCCTGTAATACCAGCACTTTGGGAGGCAGAGGCAGGCAGATCATTTGAGGTCAAGAGTTTGAGACCAGCCTGGCCAACATGGCTCAACCCTGTCTCTACTAAAAATACAATAATTAGCCAGGCATGGTGGCACACGCCTGTAGTCTCAGCTACTTGGGAGGCTGAGGCAGGAAAATTGCTTGAACCCAGGAAGTGGAGGTTGCAGCACACCATTGCACTCCAGCCTGGGTGACAGAGCAAGACTCTGTCAAAAAAAGAAAGAAAGGGAAGGGAAGGGAGGGAAGGAAGGAAGGAAGGAAGGAAGGAAGGAAGGAAGGAAGGAAGGAAGGAAGGAAGGAAGGAAGGAAGGAAAGAAAGAAAAGAAATCCGCACAATAACAAGATTCTGGCTAAAGCTGGCCACCCCGCCCTCACCACGCTGGGACCCGTGCCCATGGAGGGGATGTCAGCATGTTTGCCATCCAATTCTGGTTCATTTCATAACTGAGGCTTGGATGACCTGTCTCTTGCCACCTCGTGCTTATTTACTGTTTAAATTTCTGTCCCACATTTTCCTTCCATTGGGTTTCTGCTTTGGGTTTTTGTTTTGGGTTTTTTTCCTTGTTTGGCTGGTTGGATTTTTTGGTTTTGCCTTTTGGCTCCCAATACAACTTTGTTCCATTCCAATTTCTCTAGTTTAAAGCTGATGAGCGTTGGGGTTGGCTGTATTTACTTACTTGTTTTTCAAAATTAATTAATTTATTTATTTTAGAGGGAGGGTCTCACTCTGTCGTTCAGACTGGAGGGCAGTGGTGTAATCATAGCTCACTGCAGCCTCAGCCTCTTGAGTAGATGGGGCTACAGGAACGCACCACCATGCCCAGCTAATTAAAAAAAATTTGTAGAGACTGAGTCTTGCTATGTTGCTTAGGCTGGTCGCCATGTCCTGGCCTCAAGTGATCCTCCTGCCTCGGCCTCCTAAGGTGCTGGGATTGTAGGTGTGACGCACTGCACCTGTCCTGGTGTTTATTTATTCATTGATCTTCATCCGTGTCTTCTTGTGCTTCAGCTACATCTCACCAGGGCTGGTCCCAGAGAGAAGAGAAAGCAGGTGGCACCCTCCCCCACACTCATCTCAGCTTTCTTCCTCTGACAATCTTCTTTTTTCTCCATTCCCCTGTTATCAGAATCCAGCTCCCCAGTTGCACACAGAAGGTCAGACCTCCCAACACAGCTTGTAACTGAGCCTGGCAATGTCCTTTCTTTCCAACCTTTCTCATCTCCTCCTCAGCAAAGCTGAGCCATTCTCTATGCCAGTTATTCCCAGCTGCAGCCTCACCCTCAGAAAACTGGACTGATCTTAAGGATAATGACTGATAGTGGCCCCCAGCACACCTAGCTCCTCAGTGGAGGAGAAACCCAATGAAAGGGCTTCCTGTTGGCATTTCAGGCACAGGAATGAAGAAGCTAAAGGAGTCATTCTGGGGACTGCCCTTCATGGGAGCTTCTCTGTTCCCATCTCCATCTCTGCCCCTTTCAGCATAGTACCCAATTCAGATAACCTCTGAACCCACTGAGTTTACCAAAAAACACCCTCTATGAATGAAAGTGGCAACTCTAATAGTACATCTAAAGGCTCAATATCATAGTCCTGGAAACTCTATAGATTTTGCCATTCTTGTTTGATATGGAAGTTGATTATATCAATGAACTAGCTTTAAATTCACCCTTTTCTAGAGACACGGAGCTGGAGTGAGGTCCTTGTCTGCACAGCATAGCCTGGATAACTTTAATAATTGATGTTTAAATAATCTCCCAACTATTTGCATGTCTGATGTCTGTGGGGAAATTGAAAGGCCTTGTTTTGTTGGCAGTGATAATCATTGGATATGCAGCAACATGGTATGAATGACTAAAGTCTACTCTGGGCTCTGCATTTTTGCCATCATCAGGAATTTTGATGAAAAAAGCTGATCTGGAAAAACAATTTGTGCCAAAGCTTTATATAAATGATTGATTTCACTCAAATTCATAGTCAGTGGTATTTAATCAGTCCTTTTCATCGAGATGTTTGACAATTAGTCTTGGGCCAACTAAACATTCAATTGATTTAGATGTTAGACTTTCATGAAACTGAAGCTGATTGTTTTAAACTGAGCAAATTCTAGCCAATGTCTTCCTCTCTAAAATTCTCCCAAAGATATTTATTTTAAGTTTCTCAATACAGAGGGAGGAGTGACTAATTGAGGTACTTGGGCTTGTAAAGAAGCATTTATCCTGTGGAAATTTATTCTATTCTCACGGAGTATCTAAATGCTTATGGCTGTTTTTCATGCTGTGTAAAATATGACTTGCTCCATATAAAAAGCAACAAATATAAGGAACCAAAGGCTTGGTATAATCAACAGGAGCTGCTTTGATGTAAACTCTTAAAGGAGACAGGACTTCTCTTTGCATCCAAGTCTGATCTTGAGTTTGACAATGCAGGTCTAGGCGTGGAAGGGGTGGGAGGACAGTTGGTAGAAGGAGAGCTGCTTGATGTGGACAAAATGCCTTAATGTTAAGATTATCCAGAGGCCCTGGCCATTTAATAAGGAGGCTTGTTGCTTCTTATTAATGGAAATGAATGCTCTTCCTTCCCCCAGTCAGGTTCCAGCATTGCTGTCCATATGCTATTTGAAGTATCTGAACCCTCCCAGATGCCAGTCTCTGTGGGTGTAAGACAGGAAATGCAAAGTGGGTTTGGCCCAAGTACAAAAATGTGAACTGTAACAGAGAAAGCTCTGTGGGATGGCCCCTATTATTTTTATACTGTTTCGAGCTAGGTGTTGAATGATGAGTAGCCCGGCTCTGTGGAAATTTTGGAGCATCAGGCCACTTTGTGTCTTAAGTGACAAAGTGCTAATTTAAGGACTAAGATTGAACTTGAGCAACTGATTTAAGCAAGCAACTAATTTCATTCATTGGGAAGATTATGGGATATCTCACACAGGATCAAGAAAGTCACAAGCAGAGCCCAACCAGGTCCCTAGGATGCCCATTCTCATCTCTCTGCTTCCTCTGTGACTTCATCCTTTCCCTTCCTGCAGACTGCGTTCTCCACAAGATTCCACCAACAGGCCCTGGACTTTCCTTGCACAGCTTCAGCTACATTGAGCAATGCTGTCACTGGCATGGGTCTGAGTGTCTCCGGGAAGGGACTTGGATCAGCTGTGCATTCCTGGGTGGCTCCACGGAGGCTGAAGAGAAGGTCACCCAGGAGGGGGAAGCACAGGTTGGAAGAGAAGGGAGTCCCTGGTGGAAGCAGATAGGAAGAGGAGCACCAGCGGGCATGGGCAAGGCAGAAAAAACAGCCCTGCAATGCACGGGGCAAGATAGGCACTTAACTCACTCTGGGCCATTAATCCAATCGTGGTTGGCCACAGGATTTCTATGGTCTTTTAACCAATATAATTCTGACATGGTTGTCATTTAATGGTTTAAAACCAAAAAACAGCAAGCAGTGTCCTAACCTACCTATAACTTTCCATTATACAACCATGGAAAGAGAGACAGAATTTGGTGGGTTTGTTTATGTGGTTGTGAGTCACAGTCTGAAGCAAAGACATAGCAAAATGCATAATTAAAATAGACTATGCATTTGTTGAGAGCAGGGGGCATGTCTTGTTCATCTTGGATTCCCTAACAGTGCTTCGAACACATAAACACACTATAAATGCATACTAAATTAAATTTGGGGGGAAAATACTCCAGCAATATTGAGGCAGGAAATCAAAAGCAACGGCTACAGATGCAGTGTTCTTAGTAGAAATAGAAAGAAGCAGTTCAATGCTGGAATAAAGCCGGACTTAACAAAGCACCACCATAACGTCACAGCATGGAGTTCACCATGCAGAGGGACCAGCGTACCTCAGGCAGGCAGGGGCCTGATGACATCTCTTTTAGCGGCTGAGCATTGTGACTTTGCCAGGAGTCTGCAGCCACCGGCATGCCCAGAGGACCGGGCATCCTGTAGGAGGCTGGAATGTGTTTGAGGTTTGACTTGCTGTGCGGCTCCTGGAGTTTTATTGAGTTCCTTTGGTTTGAAGTCCTCATGACATTACATTAAACTACACATTATCACAAAAAAGTTTTAAAATACGCTAAGATTACTGTAAAGGTAAGATGATAAACTTATGGCAAAATTTTCCCTATCCGGGAAGCTAAAGGTGCCTGTTAACCTGTGTTGTCCAGTTTCACGTATTTTTAAAATACTGCCATCAGTACCAAAGCATAGATTTCTGCACTCAGCTGCAAGTCACAACTGAGGCTTCCCTCAGTGTGGCCACCCTGTTCTTGGTGCATTCCCGTCCATATGGCCCACACAAGCCCGAGGCCTTAATTCATTCAGCAAACACTTTTCCCTCCTGCTGTTTTCTTTCCCTGCTGCTTAGTACCCTCCTTTCTCACCAGGGTCTTCTCAGACTCACCCCTGCCTCTCCTCCCTGCTGGTCGTCTGTATGTCTGTTTCTCAGGACTCTGCCTCACAGATCCCCTGAGGGGGCCCCGAGCCCAGGCACTGCCTAGCCTTGTGGTGGCACTCAGATTAGAAAAGACTGCTGTTGGGCTACTTACAGCTGCATAACGAACCACCCAAACCAGTGGCTTGACAACAGCAACTCATTATTTCTCACAATTTCTGTGAGATGGGCAGCTCAGCTGGAGGACTGTGCAGCTGGTCTCTCCTGGACTCAGTCAAAACTAAGAAGGGGCTCTGAGGGTCACAGGCTGGGTGGAAAGGGTTAGGCTTACTCCAGACAGCACTGTCAGCTGAGAGTGACATCGGCCCCCCCAGGGAAGAGCTTCCTTACAGTCACAGAGCAGTGCCACAGTGGGGATGGCTTCCTGTGGCGTGGTGAGTCCCTGACGTCAGGATCGCACACGCAGGGGAGGGTTGGCTGTTGCTCCGAGAAGCCTGAATGACATGGGTTCTAAGAACCCATTCCATTCACTCTCTGTCTCCTCAGGAGCTGGCACTCTTTTCTGTGAAATGGCCTCCCCGCCAACTGTCAGCCCCTTGAATTGGCTTTGAGTTCCTCATGCCTTGCCTGGCACAAGTCGCTCAATGCGCACTTGGGCAATGAATTGGTGGCCTTGCACATCCTCATTATCTCGATGGAGGTTAAATAATGTAGATAAACACAAACTACCACATTGCTCAGCCATCGTCCTCCCATGGACCTACCAAAGAGACAAGAAAATGTGCCCACACAAAGACACAGATACAAATGTTTATTGCAGCTTTATTTGTAATGGCCCCCTAAAATGGACACAGCACACATATTCACAAATTGGTGAGTAGATACATCAATAAATGGCCTATGACGGGACGGGATAGTTCCCTTGACTCCCTTCACGGAGGAAATTGGAATGTCTCATTTCACTCGGCCCGCTGAGTGCAGGAACCGGAGCAAATGAACTCTGCAACGGGCCGGGCCGGTCTCTCCTCTCCAGGGGGAGCAGGCTCTGTGCAGGCTCCGCAACAGCATCCAGGCGTGTGACAACCAATGCTCTTTCAGCTCTGCCGTCCGGGGACAACCAAGTGCCAACCAGCTCAGTGGACGGTCAGTGTGGCAGCCCCTGCCCTCTTGGCATCCAGGTTCTTGTCTGGCATCCAGGAAGAATTGAGTCGCACGATCTCTTTGAAAGATGATAAATGCGGAAGACTTTATTGACCCATGGGTGGCTGTCAGCGGAAAGGGAGGCTGGAAAGGGGATGGGAAGGTCTTTCTCTGATGCCTAATCGGGCTCCTCTTGGAAGCCGCATCGTCTGAAGTTAGCCGCGTCTATCCTTAGTGTCGACTGTTAAGTTGCTTCCCTAGCTTGCGGCTCAGCCGCTCGATCCTCGACACTCAGCCGCTTGTGTTGCTCTGCCAGCTGAAGTCTTTCATGGGCAAAGGTTAGGGGTGGGGCAAGCCAAAAAGGCAACATTTGGGTACTGTTTTCACTTAGGGCCGCGGTTCCAGGCTTAAGGGTGGAGTTTAGCCAGGAGCCCAGCCCTTCTGTATCAATACAATGGAATCATCAATAAAACTCCTCAATAAAGGAAACCCTCCTGATACAGCAACGCGAATTTGAAAACACTGTTCTAAGTGAAAGAAGCCAGATATGAAAGACTTCATTCTTACGATTCCATCCATATGAAATTCTGGAAAAGGCAAAACTATAGTTGGTAGAGAAAGTAAGACAGCGGTTGCCAGAGCCTGAGGGGGTGGAGAAGGGAATCACTACAAAGGGAAGGGAGGAACATTTTGGGGTGATGGGAGAGCCATGCTTATGTGGTAGTTATGCAACTGCAGACATTTGTCAAAACTTGTTGAATGAAAGAATTTAAATATGAGTGATTTATTGTACTTAATTATACCTCAATAAAGTCACTAGAAAATGTGGATGTGATTAGACTCAGTTTTCAAGCTTGAGAAAGTTGGGAAAAGTCATACTTAAGTATGACTGCAGATGGGACTGCATAATGGGAAGTGGGGCCCCGATCAATTCTTTCTTTAGGGCTGGGGTCCCTGGACTGTGTTTCTGGCGACTGGTGCCCAGGGTCCATCAGATGGAAGGAAGAAGGATGACAGCACCCACCCACAATGGCTGCAGGGGGGACGACCTGTGGCTGTGCCTTGGCACCTGTCATTCCTGCCTCGAGGCAGGAGCTTCCCCATTCCTCGGATCCTTAAAGTGAGACAAGACTAATGGAAGGGCTCTGTGAGAGACACCTCTGTGACAAACCCCTCAACCAGTGCATGTGGCGCCTCTCCAGCAACCAAGGCTACTCCACCCCTTCCTGCACCACCAGGCAACTCTCAGAGGATGAAGCACACCAGTCAGGTGGTAAACAATGACTCAGGACTGTATACCCAAAGCCAGAGGCTCTAACTAATGCAGTATGAAAAATGACTTAAAAATACCTGCCCTGCAACACACTCAGGGGAAAACAGAGCAAAGACTAAATCTCACAAAGGAAATACCTCAATTATTTCAAACTAATATGCTAATATGATACAAATGGCTTTATGAGCACCAAAGGGGAAAGAAATCCTGGAGCAGAATCTCAAGCCAAAGAGGCACATTTTGGTAGAGGAATGACCTCACCCCAGAACCATGAGTTTGAGATAATGAACTCTCCATGTAAGGTATTTTGTAACCTGTCAATCACTTTTATGAATCTTTGTCATCTTGTTTCCAATAATACGAACCTTGATTGATTTTGGTCCTTAAAATACCAGTTCTGCATTGAGAACACACGGACACAGGGAAGGGAACATCACACACTGGGGCCTGTCGGCGGGTTGGGGGCTAGGGGAGGGATAGCATTAGGAGAGATACCTAATGTAGATGATGGGTTGATGGGTGCAGCAAACCACCGTGGCACGTGTATAGCTATGTAACAAACCTGCATGTTCTGCACATGTATCCCAGAGCTTAAAGTATAATAATAATAATAATAAATACCAGTTCTGAGACAGCTTTCAAACAGCTTGCAAATCGAACTACAGTCACCGCTGCTTGTCACATTAGAGTTTGTGTGCTGTTGCCCAACTAGACAGACAGCCTCCTGAGGGCTGGGATTCGTCCTCACACTCTCCCAAGCACAGCACCCAGCACAGCTTGTCCTCTGGAAGCCCTAAAGATGCAGACTGGGTGGCTGGAGCAGAGGGTAAGAGCCCGGGACTGAAAGTAAGAAAACCTAGATGCTGGTGCAAACTGCTGACTGGCAATAGCATCCCCCAGCCCTCGGGTTCCTTATCTGTAAATGGAGGCTCTATTCCTGCCCACTCTGCAGGACCCAGGGAGGTCAATCTGGAAATCATAAAGTACCATTTATACCAGAGGCTTTACATGAGCGGGGGCAGCCATCGTACCTCATGGGTGCCTAGACAAGTTTTGGATAAAATGCTTAATATAGATACGGTTACCTTTGCTGCTTTCTCCTTTCTGCAATGACTGGTGGCTGTTTTACTGTTACTATCTTATCAAACTTTCATTTAAACAAAGTGTCTTGGTGATATAATGCCTTAACAGAAGGACTGGATCTCTAATGCTGACGTGCGCTTGAGGGGAGCTGGTTTCAACTGCATGTTCACCAAAACCACAGGATCACTACATGGTCACACTTGCATATAAAGTTGCATTTACATTGGCAGCCTTAAAATCCTGTGCACAATAGACATAAATTTGTAAATAAACAACATAAACAAAACTAAATATGTAACAAAACAACACACAAAAAGAGAACATTTTTTAAAAGAATGAAAAACGAAAACTATCTGAGGGTGGCTCTGTGGCTTGTGGTGGGTGTAGTCTGCACTTAGTTGGAGAACTGGCTCTAATGACTTGGCCCTGCACAGAGCTGAGAAGGGCCCCAGCAATGATTCTCCAAGACTGTCAGGAGCAGTGTGTCTACAAGAACCCTTTCCCACTACTTGGGGGATTGAAGATACCTGTCAAAGCTGAAGGGACTGGTTTGGTCATTCAATAGGCAAGAAATCACTTAGGTGACCCCTATGGGGTCTTTTTTTCTCTGCCTGCTCCCCTGGTGCCAGGTTGCAGGCTGATCTTGCCCAGTTCCTGACTAACTAGACTGCAGGCTGGTGAATCATGGGACCCACCTTTGACAGCAGCCATCTGGCTATTGGCCTTGGGTGCCCGAAGGCTGATGCTCACCATCCATGGAGCTACAAGCTCCTGCTGTGAACCTATATGATTTGTGTCCAGTTGGTTGAGTGCTGCTCTGAGTTTTAGACGAAGGAGTCCACCGTGGGCCTCTACCCCATGAGGAAAAGGAAATCAGGAAATGTATGTGGGGAGTGTCTTAATGAGGGAATCCGTGCTTCAACCATGGCAGGCTGGATAAAGTCTTCCTATTCTCCTCAGATTTTCAGTACCTTTTTAGTTAAAATGCTGAAAATTAAAGTTTGAAAGAGACTAGAAACTGGCCTCATTCCATGTGTTAATCTGTTTGAATAATGTCATCTCATTTGACCAGAGAACCCTTACAGCTGCGATGGCCATTTATCTCACAACTTCTTTGGCTGTGTCCAGGTCCCCTGGCTGGCAATTTATGTTCATACTCACTCATGGGCCACCCCTCCCCATGAGGTCCTGGGCCCTGTGACTCAGGGGCCACATCTACCCGTGGGGTCCTGGGCACCTCTTTGCCAATCCCACTCACAGAACCCTTCTGTGAACTAGAGCCTTACATAATAAGAACTTTGTGCTTCTCAATATTTTTTTTAGACTGAAAGGAAATGTTCCCCCTTTCCCTGACTTTGGCTTCAGTTAGTTATTTCAAATGGCAAATGGCACAAGTTATTAAAATTCCAACATGGAAATTTGCTTAATAAACAGGAAAGGAGTTTTGAGGGCCCACCACTGAGCATGAATGTTAACCCTGTGGTTGCCGGCCCGTTGTTTAGGCAGTTTTCGGGCTGGCCTTGGGCAGGGTTCTCCCTCTGTAGTGGGCCTTCTTTGTCACTGTTCCTGGCTGCTGCTGTGAGCTGTTGTTGTATGTACCACATACTTTTCTAATATCAAACTTAAGAACACAAAATCAGGGTCATATGAAATGATCTCATTTATACATGATTTGTGTAATCATAGATCCACTTTTAGATGACATTTATTCCCTCATCAACTAAATACAGGGCGTTTGGTTCTATGAGGTAATTCAAAAAGAGAACAAAGAAATTAAGGAGCAAAAACATTAAAATCCAAGGGAGAAAAGAGAAATAAGGCACCAAATACATGTAAGATAGGAAAACACTCAGGGGAGCAGAAGATTTTTGGGCCAGGACCACACTTTCTTTTGAAAAAAAGAAAGAAAGAAAATGTGGTCCTGGCCCAAATGGAGAAGCAGGGAAAGCCCCTGGAGGAGGTAGCATCAGAGCTTGGTCTTGAAAGGTGGGTAAATGTGGCAGATGAAAGATGTGCACAAATCCTTTGACATCTTCCTCTTGAGAAATAGAATCTATACCCCTCCTCCTGAATGCCTGTAGGTTTTGTGAACTGCTTTGATCAATATAATACAATGGCATTGATTTGTGTCAGTTACCAGGCCAAGACCTAAAAATACTGGCAGCTTCCTCTTCTTGTCTTTTGGAGTATCTGATCTTGGAATACTCTCTCTGGGATCCTAAGCCATCATGCTGGAGAGGCCACATGTAGGCACTTCAGTTGACAATCTCAGCTGAGTCAAGCCTTCCAGCTATCCGTCCCAAGGTGCCACACAGGTGAGTGGAGCTGTCTGGGACTCTCAAGTCCAGCCCATCTGCCAGCTGAGTATCATTGATGATCTCTGTCAATACCACATGGAGCAGAAGAACCGCTCACTTGAGCCCTTCTTAAATTCCTGATCTCCAGGATTGTGATCATAATAAAATGGTGGTTGTTCTCTAAGCCTTTAAATCTGGGATCAGTTTTGAAGCAGTGATTGGTAACTGGAACGGTAGGGTTTTGAGTAGCAGAGATAAGGGCCCAAAGGCATCCCAGAGACTAGGAATGTTGTAGGTAAAGCCATGAACCTGTGAAGATGCAGAGAATTGATGCGTGAATTTTGAGTTTTGGGGAGATGAGGAAAACCATAGGAAGCATAAGAAAAAAATCACTGTTGTACATGTTTAAGGGCTAAATAGAGAGTCTGAAGGTCTCTGTGTATGTTATGTATTCTTACATATGTATAGCTAATGAAGTGCCACTAAGAGTCTATATTTTAAATTTTTATTATGAAAATGTATAAACATGTACAGAGAATAGCATAATAATCCCCTGTTGTCTCAGTCTGTTTGGGCTGCTATAACAAAATACCATGACCAGGTGACTTATAAACAACAGAAATGGATTTCCCACAATTATGGAGACTGGAAGTCCAAGATGGAGGCACCAGCAGATTTGGTGTCTGGTGGGGGCTCACTTCCTGGCTCATAGATTCACAGATGGCACCTTCTCACTGTGCTCTCACATGTCGGAAGGAAAGAGGGAGTTCACTAGAGGACGCTTTTTAAAGGATACTAATCCCATTCATGCAGGCTCTGCCCTCATGACCCTATCACCTCCTAAAGACCCCACCTCTAATACCATTACTTTGGGGGTTAGGATTTAAACAGATGAAATTTGGGAGGACAGAAACATTCAGACCATAGCTCCCAAACATATAATAACTGGGAGTCAAGGACAGCGTAAGTGGTTTCCTGGCAAAAAAATGATCTCTGTTTGCCAATCTTTTTCCTGAACTATTTTAAGTGAAATCCCATACATTGAATCACTTTACCCATAAAAATTCAGTATATAGTTCTAATAGACAGGGCTTTAAAATTGCAAATACAATACCATTTTCACACCTAAAATATTTAGCAATGTTAATTAAAATGAAGCCCTCTCGGCTGTCGAATCTCTCTTACTGCTGGCTCCTTGGAGGCAGAGTCAAGATGGACCTGGCCTTGCTGTGGTTGTTCTCTCTGAGGCCTCTCATAATCAAAGGCAGCTCCGTCTTAGACCCTGCCCCCTTTCCCCTGTGTGCATTCAGCTCACGGCACGCTCGCAGAGTGATGGCACTTCCTACAGTCCTCTATCTGCTATTGCCAGGTATCTGTGAATTGGAAGCCACAGAGGGAGGACCACTGAGGCCCCTGAGTCACGTGGAGGAAGGGAACACCATGTCTGGACTGTGTTTGAGAAGGTCAGTCTGACAATGTGTGACAATGGTATGTGGAGTGGATTGGAATCGTCTACAATGAGAGCTCCTGGCCAAAGGAAGGGAGGATCAGAGAGGTGTAAGAGCACTGGGTGGGGAGCTCAGAGGCCAGAGGGAGTTTGGTCTGAAAATAATTTCTAACATTTGTTGAGTGCTTACTGTACACCAGGCTCTGTGCATGTGATCTCTTACCCCAGTGTGATAGATAATATTGCCCCCATATTACCTCTGGCCTAGAGAGGACAGGTGATCTAATTACACAGTTTGTGCATAATGCAGAAGGAACTGGAACCCAAAGCCCACGTCCTTAGCTACTGTCACATGGCAGAAACGAAGGTCCTGGGGTTCATTTGGTATGGTATATCAAGGGAGAGAAACTGCATTATTAAACTGAGTGAGGCCAGGTAGAGACTTTAGGAAGCAGGTGCGTTTTGGTGGAGAGCTGAATGAGCTGAGTTACTCAAAGTGCAGTCTGAGGACTACAGCATCCTCTAGGAGCCAATAAAAACAAAATGGAGACAGCTGGGCCCCACCCAAGACCTACGTCATTCCAGGGGATTTGACTCAGAAATCTGCACTAACAAGCTCCTTGGGATTTTCAGACTAAGTTTGAGAAACACTGGAATGAAAAATCAGACCAGACTTAGCAGCGGGAGAAAGGAGGGTCTTGTACATTAAAGGGGTGAAAAATTTAAGCGACTAGTAAGAAAAGGACCTTTAATAGTGTCTCACATGTAGCTAGCATTTTATAAGTGCTACAGACTGAATTTTTGTGTCTCCCCTAAATTCATACATTAAATCCTAATTCCTGAAGTGAGGTGTTAGGAGGTGGGGCCTTTGGGAGATGATCAGGTACTGAGGATGGATCCCTCATGAGTGGGATTTGTGACCTCATAAAAGAGCCCCAGAGAGCTCCCTCACCCCTTCTACCGTATGAGGACACAGCAAGAAGGTGCCATCTAGGAAGCAGGAAGCAGGGCCTGACCAGACACCAAATCTGCTGGGGCCTTAGTCTTGAATTTCCAGCCTCCATAACTGTGCAAAATCCATTTCTGTTGCTTATAAGCTACCCAGCTTATGGGATTTTGTTTAGCAGCCCAAATGGACTAAGACAGTAAGTAAATACCGTTGAACAAATAGACAGATGAAAAGGAACTTAGATATCAGCATAAGAACTGACATAGTGTCTCCAGGCTGAACACATGAGTTTAGCGGCCCCTCTGAAGGCAGAGTGAGACGCTCCCTGCTACAGAACACTCTCTGGTCATATCCCGATTAAGTGAAGATAATTTATTTTTTTTTAGATAGTGTCTCGCTTTGTCACCCAGGCTGGAGTGCAGTGGCGCAATCTCGGCTCACTGCAACCTCCGCCTCCTGGATTCAAGTGATTCTCCTGCCTCAGCCTCCCAAGTAGCTGGAACTACAGGCACGCACCACCACGCCTGGCTAATTTTTGCATTTTTGTAGAGAGGGAGTTTCACCATGTTGGTCAGGCTGGTCTCAAACTCCTGACCTCAAGTGATCTGCCCTCCTCAGCCTCCCAAAGTGCTGGGATTACAGGCGTGAGCCACCATGATCCCCCTTAAGTGAAGAGAATTTGAATGTCATATTAGAAGTAGATATTGGTAGCAATTTGGGGTAAGGGGGATGATCTCCACAGGATAAATAAGATTACAGCCATTATGTTTAATGTATGTTCTAAACCAATCCAAACAGAATATTGGCTTTTTATGTGCTTTGATTTTTCTTTCTAATGATAAATTTCTTGTCCTCAGGCAAAAGTAAATATATGCCTGGTTACTTTTAAAACTCCTATCCCCTATTCTACAGTTTCCTCAAGGGTTTAGAAGCACTTCCCCAAGATAGCTAGATGTGTAACATTATCCTTCTGATTCTCTCTGACACCCTGGGCAGTATCATGATCTAACTCAGACCCACTTTGCACTTTTTTCTTTGGTTGGCCACCATCTGTCTTTACTAGCTCAATGTTAGAAGACTTCTTTCTCCTTCCTGCTGGAGAAATTCAACTGCATTGCATGGAGAGCTAATTATATGGAGAGACAGTAAGTGCTTACCACTGGAGGGTATAAAAATACTGGCCGGTGTGGTGGCTCACACCTGTAATCCTAACACTTTGGGAGGCCGATGCGGGTGAATCATTTGAGTTCAGGAGTTCAAGACCAGCCTGGCCAACATGGTAAAATCCCTTCTCTACTAAAAATACAAAATTAGCTGGGCCTCGTGGCACATGCCTTGTAATCCCAGCTACTCAGGAGGCTGAGGCAGGAGAATCGCTTGAACCCCGGAGTTGGAGGTTGCAGTGACTGAGATCCCATCACTGCACTCCAGCCTGGGCAACAAGAGTGAAACTCCGTCTCAGGGAGGGGAAAATAAGTGAGAACCTTGGTGAAGGAAAGAGGTAATCAGCTCAGTTCAGGGCAGATCTGAGATGGGAAGACAGGAAAGGTAATCTCACATCTCCATCCTTTTGTAGCCCAGGCCTGGAGAGAATAATTAGGTGACCCGCTCAGAGTCCGTTGGGATAAAGTTGTTCTAGTTTTTGTTCACTACGCCTCCTTTCACGTGTCCTCTACAGTTGAACAGGCCAGTTACTGGGATGCAGTTCTGCGTTTCCCTTGGGTCTCACCTTAACATCGCTCGCTGAAGTGTGCCCAGATTACAGAGCGGGCAAAGGGAAGCAGTGGTTTTGCTCACAGCTGCAGGGCACCAGGTTCCTGGTTTCTCAAAGGCTTTTCTATTGGAGAAGTTTGGGTGAGACGATTTCCCGGACTGCAGCTCTGAACCCAGACTGTGGAATCTTTCAAACTATCTCAAAAACAGCCCCGCCTAAGGCATCCTTAAGAGCAGCTCTGAACTAAGGAAATTCCAAAGCCCACTTTACAAACCAGGCAGAAGCAAGGCCCCCAAGCAGGGAGGGAGGGAGATAGGGAAGAAAGGGGTGAGGAGTAAGGGGAACAGTGGCGCGGCTGGGGCGGGCGGAGGAAGTGGGGGAGCCAAGGAGACACCCCAGCGCTGGGATCCGGCAAGTCCTCCCTCTGAGTGGCCAGGGGGCCTCGTCCCTTCTCCCGATGCCTTCTGCCCTTCCTTGGGTCTCCGGAACCCAGCTTGTCCTAACCGCTTTCGCTGCGGGCAGCGCTGGCCACGCGGCCCCCGCCGCCGGCGGTTCTCCGTGGCCAAGCATCCTTGGCCTTGGAGCCCAGGGGCTGCGTTCCCCTTGGGGCCGGGGCGGGAGAGAGGACCTCGGTGGTACTCGCCCGTGCGCTGGGCGCAGCCGCTTGGCCCTCAGCCCTCTGGCGCGGCGCCCACCCGCTGGGTCCCGCCCCGGCAGCGACGCAGGGATAACCCGCGGCCGCGCCTGCCCGCTCGCACCCCTCTCCCGCGCCCGGTTCTCCCTCGCAGCACCTCGAAGTGCGCCCCTCGCCCTCCTGCTCGCGCCCCGCCGCCATGGCTGCCTCCCCCGCGCGGCCTGCTGTCCTGGCCCTGACCGGGCTGGCGCTGCTCCTGCTCCTGTGCTGGGGCCCAGGTGAGCGGGGCGATGCCAGGCTGATTGATAGCGGCACCAGGGGTTGGCCCCATGTGGCGCTTCCATGGTGCCCGGGGAGAGCGATCGGTGATGGGGTGGCGGCGTAGGGACCCATCCTTAGCCTAGGCAGGGCCAAGGGGTGGTAGAGGACCGGGTCTGGGGTTTTGCACTCGCACAAGTGCGAAGTGGTGCCCTTGTGAGGGTGGAGAGAGTACCGGGGTCAAGGGGAGGGTCTCAGATCTCCCGGGCAACCTTGGGCAAGGAGGGCCAGGCGTCCGAAGGGTGGGCAAGTAGTGTTTCGTGGCTTAACGTAAGGGGCAAAAGGGTTGTGGGGGCTTTACGCAGCTGGTAACCCAGAGGAGGCAAATGGCACCATCACCGCCATTCCCTTCCAGGCAGTCGCTTAGCAACCAAGTTGACTTGCGCTTCCCAGCTGGGTCAAGTTGCAATTTGCAAAGCTGGGCACAGGCCTCACACCCCAGAGAGGGGAAAGGCTCTTAAAGGAGTAATGCTTAATCTTTCCTGCTTCGTGGAGCTCCCAGCGAATCGGTTGAAAACTCTGAAATTCTCTGCTCGCTCTCTGTAAAACGTGCATTCACACGCACACCCAGAATGATGGGTGCTCCGATATCTGATCGCTGGGCTCCACAGGCCCCACTTTAGGAACCATAATCTGAAGCCGTGGTTTGTCCTGAGTTACCACCTTCACTGGGTAGGAGGAACATTTATGGTTCACAAGTGGCCTCAAGGACACATGACTGCCTTTGAAGCTTACAACTAGGGGAGGCAGGGATTGTTACCTCAGAGTTACTGGTGTATGAAGTGACTTGCCCAAGAGCCTGAGACTGGCGCTGTCCCACTGCAAAGCAGCTGGGCACTGCCTAATGTAAAAGGGAGGCTCACTCGGTTGCTCAGTTTCTGTATTTTGCTCATTCGAAACAGGTATGGAAACTGAACTCGAGGTGAGAAGAGGCAGGGGACATTCAGTAGGAGCCCTGGGATGGAGCCCCGGGGTTGCTAAAACAGCAGGAGGCGTGGTGAGGTCTGTTCAGGTGGGGAGGATTATTGTTCCACCTTAGAATCACAGGCGAAGCTAATCAGTCATTTCCCGTTGTATGGTTTACCTGCCTCCCACTCTTTGTTCTTGCCACTTTAAGAAGCACATCTGGGCCGGCCTTGGTGGTTCATACCTGTAATCCCAGCACTTTGGGAGGCCGGGGGGGGGGGGGGGGCAGATCACCTGAGGTCGGGGGTTCGAGACCAGCCTGACCAACATGGAGAAACCCCGTCTCTACTAAAAATGCCAGACGTGATGGCACGTTCCTGTAATCCCAGCTACTCGGGAGGCTGAGGCAGGAGAATTGCTTGAATCTGGGAGGAGGAGATTGCGGCGAGCTGAGATCGTGCCATTGCACTCCAGCCTGGGTAACAAGAGTGAAACTCCGTCGCAAAATAAAAAAAGAAATAAATAAAAGAAGAAGAAGAAAAAAGCACATCTGAATAAGTCAAGTGAGCACTGGCTACAAGCCATTTATTTTCAGGACTTGTATTTTATTTAGTTTATACCAATAACTCAGTTAAAATATCATCACCGAGCTGGGATGTGAAAGTTCTTATACAGTGAAAATATTTTTTTTTTTTTTGAGATGGAGTTTTGCTCTTGTTGCCCAGGCTGGAGTGTAATGGCGTGACCTTGGCTCACTGCAACCTCCGCCTCCCAGGTTCAAGCGATTCTCCTACCTCAGCCTCCCGAGTAGCTGGAATTACAGGCATGTGTCACCACGCCCAGCTAAGGTTTTTGTTTTTGTTTTGTATTTTTAGTAGAGATGGGGTTTCTCCATGTTGGTCAGGCTGGTCTCAAACTGCCGACCTCAGGTGATCCACCAATCTTGGCCTCCCAAAGTGCTGGGATTACAAACATGAACCACCATGCCCAGCCTACAGTGAAAATCTTTATGTAATCCCAAAGGTGACTCTTTATGCCACCTCCAAACTTTTTTTTTTTTTTTGAGACAGGGTCTCACTTTGTTGCCTAGGCAGGAGTGCAGTGGTGTGATCATAGCTCACTGCAGCCTTGATCTCCCGGACTCAAGCAATCCTCCCACCTCAGCCTCCCGAGTAGCTGGGACTACAGGTGTGTTGACTCCACGCCTGGCAATTTTTTTTTTTTCTTTTAATTTTTAGTAGAGATGAGTCTCACTATGTAGCCCAGGCTGGTCTCGAACTCCTGGGCTCAAGTGATGCTTCTGCCTCGGCTTCCCAAAGTGCTAGGATTATAGGCTTGAACCACCACGCCCTTCCTCACTCACAAACATTTAATAAAGAAAATGACCGTGACCCCTTCTTGATCAATTTATTAATATTAAGCACCTTCAAAGGAGCATTTTGCAGCTCTGAATTTGCTGGGAGAGCTAATGCTAGGCAACTGGATTGGATAAATTAAGGAGTGCTTATTATTGCAGCCTTGAATGAACAACTGATGATATTGGGTGAAAAGTCCTTAATACAGAAAAAAATCACAGCTATTCTATTGTTCCTTATCCTTTTCCTCAAACAAATTTAGTGTAGTGTCCAGTTATATGTACTGATATGGAGTTCAGTGTATAGTACCTGGCACAGCAGCAACATTCATAATTCATAATTTGGGACTTATTTGTGCTTTTCCATCTATAGCTAAGGTTTGGCGAGGCTCTCATTTCTGGAGTAATAGTGACATACATTTGCTGCAAGAAATTGCAGCCTCATCGCAAATGCCTACACGCAGTGTCTATTTCAACATCAGACCACATTTCATTCATTAATTGTTAAGCACTTTCACAGAAGGCAAACAGATGGAGGGGCCATACTTAATTCTGTATGTACTACCCTGTGAGCTGTTAGAGACTGACAGATGTTAAGACATTAATGAATGCTATTATTAGTGCCAAGGAACATATCTGTCTCCCTTGGCAAATATTTTCATAGATTTCTTCATTGAATTTAAGTTTGGAAGGGAAGTAGAGCGTTAAACAGTAGTCCCACCCCCATCTAATTAGAAAATCCCCTCTACAGTAGCCTGGTCAAGTGCTCATCTATGTTTATTTATGCTCAGACGCCTCCAGCAACTCTTAATCTCAAACCCCCCAAGGCCATTTGTCCCATCTTGGGTGGCTGTCTATCTGGGCGTTAGAAACCTTACTTCATGCCCTAACCTATGGCCCAGTGGCCCCTCAAAGCATTGGCTCTCCTCCCACAAGTTTCCTTCCTCCCTTCCTTCCTTCCTTCCTTCTTTTTCTTTCTTCCTTTCTCTTTCTTTCTTTCTTTCTTTTCTTTCTTTCTTTCTTTCTTTTTTCTTTCTTTCTTTCTCTTTCTTCTTTCTTTTTTATTTTCTTTTCTTTCTTCTTTCCTTCTTTCTTTTCTTTCTTTCTTCTTTCTCTTTCCTTTTTCTTTCTTTCTTTTTCTCTTTCTTTCTTTCCTTCCTTCCTTCCTTCTTTCTTTCTCTCTCTCTTTCTTTCTTTTTTTTTTTTCTGAGATAGAGTCTCACTCTGTCACGCAGAATGGAGTGCAGTGACGCTACCTTGGTTCACTGCAACTTCTGTCTCCCAGGTTCAAGCGATTCTCCTGCCTCAGCCTCCTGAGTAGCTGGGACTACAGGCATGCACCACCACACTAGGCTAATTTTTTGTATTTTTAGTAGGGACGGGGTTTCACCAAGTTGACCAGGCTGGTCTCAAACTCCTGATCTCAGGCTATGCGCCTGCCTTGGCCTCCCAAAGTGCTGGGGTTACAGGTGTGAGCCACCACACCCAGCTCCACAAGTTTTATTTCTCTAGGTTAAACACCTAAATTCCTTTAATTTCTTCTCATATAACACATGTTTGGGCGCTAGTCCTCTCTGGACACTCTCCTTTGACCACAACTCCGGTTTTTCTATGACCTTCTTCAAGTGAGATGATGTGAACTGAACTAAATAGTAGAGGGGAGGTCTGTTCAGAGCTGTGATGGAACAGCGACAGGACAGTTACTTTCTTTTTTTAAGTATCCTTTATTAAACAGCCTAAGATTGCAATTGCTTTTTAAACAACTACATCACTATAGACCGACTTGAGCACAGACAACAAAAACCACTGCAGCTCTCCCACAGGCTGCTATGCACTACGCCGATATCTTAGCTGGCCACCCAGCAGACTCCCAGCTCTCATAGGGAAGGTGTGAGGGAAACCACCACCTCTCCTCCCTGGCCCTTCAGTGTGGTCCCTAGAGATCTTATGAAGCCATTTCCATGCCATTAAACCTCAAAAAATTGGGAGGCCATGTAATTTATCATCCAAGCTGAAACACTTTTGAGAGCAAAAGGAGGCACTATCATTAATTTACAAGGACAAGAGGTATATACCAGGGCTGTTCCTGGACAACCAGAAAGTGTGGCCACCCTACCCGTGAATTAGAAGGGAGGCACTTAGCAGGAAATAGACTTAATAAGTTCTAGCAGGTTCCCCGTCCCATCCCAGAGGGCAGGCCAGCAGGCTCCCTGGATGGCCCAATGACTCTGAAGGCAGCCAGGTAGCACTTTAATCCAAATGCTACAGGAGGCTAGTAGGTTAGGTGGCTGCTTACGGACCATGAGTGTGCCAAGTGACTTGGGCTGAGAGGCATTCAAATTCAAAATTTGTAGACACTGGGTATGCTAATAAAATGCAGCCTCAGGTGAGGCAGCCAGCTTGTGACTCTTGTTTATGGATATATTCTTCGCCCCAACTCCACAGTAAATTCTTTGTGCAGAGGTTCTCTTTTAAAACATTTATTTTTTCCCCCAGCTTTATTGATGTATAATTCACAAACAAAGCAGGCATTCTTAATTTTATTTGGGTCACAGACACTTTTAAGAGTCTGGCAAAAGCTATGGTTCCTATTCCCAGAAAACTGTGCCTTGGCAGATGCAAACGCAATTTTACATGCCTTTCTAGACCCCCTGGAGCCTGTCCATGGAAGGAGAGGCTAAGAACCCTGCTGAGAAAGTGGTCACCATTACCTCCATCCTGGGGCCTGACTCCAGTTCCTTACACCCGAAGTTGCTCTACTCACTACTTACGATGTCATGCAACAGTTAAGGGTCAGAGGCTCCTATAGGTCTGCAAGCCAGTTCGCTGGGTGGAGGCGTGTGTTCTATCAGGCCAGACAAGGTATTTTCTATTAAAAATGATTGAGCTGATCAGAAACACTTTTAAAAGTGAATACAAATAACAGCAAGTGGTACAAATCATACTTGATTTTAGGGTGATCTGGGCAAGCTACAAAACTGGGCTGCACTTTTAGAGAGCAAAGGCAAGTTCCCCAGTGTGTGGGAGCCTGACTCCCATTTCTGCCTGCCTCTGTCTTCACATGGGTGACCTCCGTGGATCCTCTCTTCTTCTTATAAAAACACCAGTCACTGGATTTCTGTCCATCTAAATCCCGTATGATAACATCTTGAGACCCTCTCAGTGATGGGTAAGGCTGTAAAAAAAAAAAAAAAAAAAAAAAAAAAAAAGAAAGAAAGAAAAGAAAAGAAAATAAAAAAAAAATAAAAATCTTGAGATCCTTAATGGATTATATCTGAAAAGACCCCATTTCCAAATAAGCTCACATTCAGGGGTTTCTGGTGGATAGGGGTTTCAGGAGGACACTATTCACTATTCAACGTATTACACCATGAAGTGAAAATTTGCAGGAAGATGCGCTTGACAGATGGCTGCGCCTCGTAGTAAGACACAGGGCTAAAAGAACAGCATCACTCTGACTAGCTCAAATAGTAATACCCTTGGTCGGCTGTGGTCATTATCACCAGTATTAGCCATGGGCAGCCTGAATTGTTTGTCCTGCAGGACAGGGAATACAGCAAGTGTTAAATACTGTGATGTTACCAAGTTGCCAAATCAAGGCAGGGGCCCGCAGTTCTTTTCTCCCACTCTGATTTTTGCCTTTGATAAATTGAAGGGAGCAGTATAACTCTGATATGGATTTCAATTTTCATTCCTTTAGGTGGCATAAGTGGAAATAAACTCAAGCTGATGCTTCAAAAACGAGAAGGTAAATATACCCCAAATGGATAAGGGATGCATTCTTAACTGGATGGAAATGAAATGGCAATATGGATTGTGCTCACTGGAGTCTTGTATTTGGAAAATCAAAAGTGTTTACTCCTTAAAAGGTTAGCAGATATGAAGGGCTTATTCTGTTGGTATGTGGTGTGGTATCTTATTAGATAAATATTATTGCCAGTAAATGTCTGAAGGTTATTTTTCTGAAACCTGTCAGTGTGGACTCAAAAATAAAAGAAACAGTAGTACAGTGTTAATTGCATGCTATTTATTTTAGGACCATGGAGCACTTTAGAGACTATCTTTGGAACACATAATCCTCAGTTGGTGGGGCAGGCGTGGAACAGCAGTGTTGCGGTAGTCCGTGTATCCAAAGAGCTCTTGGGGAAGGGTTTCAAACAGGAAAGCCTTTCTTGTTATTAGCCTCTGTTTTGAATAATGCATCTAAGATAAATGTGACAGCAACAAAATGTCATAGAAATTGAACAGTCTGGGGGTCACAACACACAGGTTCTGGACCTGCTGTAATCAGATCAGGTGGATCAATTGTGGGGTCTCGTGAATGTCATTTTCCCTCTCCCAACTTTCATCTCTATCTGTAAAATTAAGAATCCCTTAGAAATGAAAAAGTGTGACCACACTTCTGATGTGACCATTTAGTCAGTTATTCTTTCCCTCCTAGTTTGTGGGGGATTCTAGCAGGCTGAACTTCCTCCCTGAAGTGGGGTCCTCAGTCATTCTTCCCACACTCCCCAGTTGCTGCTCAGGGGCCCTCCCACAGGTGGCTGGAGAACAGGCTTGGGGCGGTCCCAGCATCTTTTCCTGGGGTTCCAGCCACCCAAGAAGCCCTGGCCCACCCCCAATCTCTGAGGCGGCTCAGAGGGCCCCCTCCCTGTGCTGTGTGGTGGCCAGAGCCTTACCTCACGGATGCCCAGGGATCAACAACGCCCTCACAGAGCCAGTTTGTCATAGGTGAGCAAGCTGCTGAGGCAGTCACAACTCCTTGGTGTGCATCCCGCAGCCTTGACTCAGTTCAAATCAAGAAACACATATTGAGCAACTACTGTGTACAAAACAGTGTTACAATCCCTCAAGGGATTGTAAACAAACAAACAAAAACCCCTGCTGGTATTTGTCCATACGACCAACGAATGCACCAGGCCTGCATTTCCATGATCCTGTGCATTTTTCCTAACGTCATCGAGAGGGACTGTCCACCCACTTTTATAGATACGGGGACAGAGGCTGAAAACGTGACAGCAGGAGAAAAACGCCTAATGGCACAGTGGCTTCCTCGAGCACATCCTGCGGAAGTGGTTCCATTTCAACAATTGAGACTGTGATGGAAAGACGTTAGCAGCAGCAGTGTGAGGGTGCGGGTCAGTATCCTGCATCAATGGTCAGACTGTGAGGCGCAGAGAGGCACTGGCTTAAGGGGATTCTGTGTCCCAGCAGCCTGGTGTGAGAATCAGCTGTACTGTTGGGCAGGGTCTGGTCCCTGCTCACCCGGGGCTCATCATTCCAGTTCCTTTTTCTTACATAATCTCCTGAGCCAAGCACAACCCTCTTGTGTTGGCATATGCAATGGACATGCCCGTATACCTGTGTGGCACTAGATATCCAGTCTGTTTCCTGAATGCGGAGCCTGAGGGGTGGGCCATTTGCCCCGGGAAAGGCCTGGGCCCTGGGTGCGAGTGGGCTGCAGGAGATGAGCTGAATTTCATTTCTACCCTGAGGACCTAGAGGTTGAAGTTTAGTCCATGCCCCTTTATAGGGTTGTACCAAATAACACTTACTAACAGGAAGCATGGTGACAGAATCTACGAGGCTGTGTCACATTGTCACATGCAAGTAAGAATGAAGTTGAGAGTCAAAACCCTCCTACACATGGTGGTGGGGGATGGGATGTATAACAGGGATTCACCGCAAGTGAGGAAGGAAGTCATTCTTTGTGCTTTGGGGATGGGGAATTGATGATTTCAGCACCTGTTCCAACTAAGACTAAAGTGGCCGTTGATGAGAATAAAGCCAAAGAATTCCTTGGCAGCCTGAAGCGCCAGAAGCGGCAGCTGTGGGACCGGACTCGGCCCGAGGTGCAGCAGTGGTACCAGCAGTTTCTCTACATGGGCTTTGACGAAGCGGTAGGTGTTGCCTCCGGCTGCAGGCCTGGCTTCCACAGGGAAGGGTGGCAGGGAGGAGGCCTGGCTCGGGGAAATAGGAAGCAGAAAATTCAGCTTTGCTGTTCATTCCTAGAGTAAGAGCCCCATCATATGCCAAGTGCTATCAGGCACTGGATCATGTTACCTATGGTGTAAGGGCGATGGCTGGAAGTTTCCACCAGGGTACATTCAGGAGGCAGAACCCACGGCAGTCATGAACCAAAACAGCGGGGACCTAGATTCATCGAGAATCTGACTTTCTCGGGAACCCTTTTAACTTGGCTGAACAGTTTTGCCAGGGTATTCTTAAAATAACTCACAATCCCCCAAAACCTATTAACTTTTAACTTGAAGACTGTCAGAAACAACAGGGATGCCGGGATCTATGATGATAATGAAAAGAGATGAAAAGGGACCTGTAAAGAGAGGATGGGTCTTTGTAGAGGTTTTGGGGAAAATTTGTCAATGCACTTATAGGAAAAGATGGTTTACAGTTCATGCGCCTAGATGGCATTGGTGGACGTATTCATTGAATGAAAGACAAAGAGTTTATGATCGTAGGCTCCCAGCTGGGGTGCACGTGGAGGTGAGACGGCAGCCCATGGAAGTCATAGATGCTGCCGCATGGGCATCCATCCATGGTGACTGAGGAGGCTGAGCTCCCTGTGTGAGACGTAAAGGGAGGACCTGTGGCCTGTGCTGCCCCACCAGGGAGCAGATGGGCTTTTCATAGGCAGGACCTCCAAATGGGCAGTTGGATGTGTTTTTCAAAATGGGCACATGATTCATTTAGACGGTGTATACACAATACTGCAGTAGGTGAAGAAAAAAACTAAACCCCTTAGACATATCATTTGTAATGGCTACATAAAGTGAAATCATGTGGCTATACCAAAATTTCCTTCACATTTCCAACCATTGGACATATTACTTGTTCCCTAAGTGTCTTTTTGCTTTTTTTTTTCTTTTTCTGTGCAAATAGGTAAACATGTATAGCCAAACTCTGAGCCAAGCATGATTCTAAGTACTTAGAGGTACGAACTTACTTCACATTCACAACAACCCAAAAGGCAGGTGCTGTTATTTGCATCTCTGTACAGTTTGCCTTTTACTTAGACCACATTCTTCCCAGTGAGGTTCCTGGGGCAAGGGTGGAATCACATTTAAGTATCTCTGAGTATTGTCAAACTGCACATTCCTGTGAGTCACATGTAAGAGCAACAGTTTTCTGGCGTCTTCAGCAGCATCTGGTGTTCTCATTGAAAATTAAAAGTATATGTTTGCTTACTTGATAGATGAAAATGCTATATCCTCCTTCAGTAATTTGCATTTCTTTGATGACCATCATTAAAATGGGCATTAGGAGTTTAACATGCAGGGACGGGCATGGTGGCTCATGCCTGTAATCCCAGCACTTTGGGAGGCCAAGGCAGGTGGATCACCTGAGGTCAGGAGTTCAAGACCAGCCTGGCCAACAGGGCAAAACCCCGTCTCTACTAAAAATACAAAAAATTAGCCAGGTGTGTGGCTCACGCCTGTAGTCTCAGCTACTCAGGGGACTGAGACAGGAGAATCCTTCGAACCCGGGAGGCGGAGTTTGCTGTGAGCTGAGATCGCACCACTGCACTCCAGCCTGGGCAACAGAATGAGACTCCGTCTCAAAAAAGAAAAAAAAAAGAGAGTTTAACATGCAGAAACTACTCAAATAATGTCAGGTGACAAAACCAGAATAAAGATGAGGATCAAATAAGATTACAGTAACTTAATATGCATTAAAAAGAGTACAATGACTACATCCAAGTGTCACTAGTGGTCTCTGGCAAAGGAATATGATCTTCTTTTTCTATGCTCTTCTCTCACATACAGATTTTAAAATCTTAATCTATATTATTTCTGTATTCATCAAAGATTTTAAAAAATTTTTGAAAATACATATTTAAGCTAAAACTGCAAGCAAACTTGTAAAATGAGAGGCTGGGCACAGTGGCTCACGCCTGTAATCCTAGCACTTTGGGAGGCCGAGATGGGTGGATCACCTGAGGTCAGGAGTTGGAGACCAGCCTGACCAACATGGCAAAACCCTGTCTCTACTAAAAATACAAAAAAATTAGCCAGGCGTGGTGGCAGATGGCTATAATCCCAGCTACTCGGGAGGCTGAGGCAGGAGAACCGCTTGAACCTGGTGGGGGGTGGAGCTTGCAGTGAGCTGAGATCATGCCACTTCACTCCAGCCTGGGTGAAAGAGTGAAACTCCCTCTTAAAAAATAAATAAATGAATAAAATAAAATGAGAAAACCCAAGAGGCAAGATTGTTTCACCATGGCCAAAAATGTTGTATTATGGGAAAGCAAAACTAGAGATGGAGCCAAAGAAGTCGGTGTCCTCCTTCCCAAGGCAGAGGCTGAGGTGGGCTCAGATGATTCAGACCCCAGGTATAGAGAATGGCAGTGAGAAATTGGAATCATGCTCTTTAGCCCAGCACTAGCTGGCCCAGTACCCACCAAGAGTGGATGACCACTGAGCCCCAGAGACCACAGACACGGGCTAGGCTGGGGATTCCAGCCTCACAAAGTTCTCAATATTAATTAATGTTCATTGGCAGTCTTGTTAAAATAACAACAGGTTGCTGAGTCCCAAACATCAGAAAGTTCCATGCAGGAGGCATGGAGTGGCTGGTGCCTGAGAACCTGCATTTGTGATTTGGATGTTGGGGTGCATGGGCCACGCTTGGAGAAAAACTGGCCCTGCACCCCAATGGCATGACCCGTTCACCCAGCCCATCTGTCATCTCCCTGCCTTTTTGCTCTCACACTAAATCTCTTGCGATGTCCTGAGCATCAGCACACGAGTCCTAGTCTAAATTAATCTTGCACCTTCACCACCACCAAAGAAAAATTAGTCTCTCCTTTAAAAAAAATGTATTAATAGCCAAGATCAGTTGCCCAAACCAAAACCTGACCATCATTCTACACTACTTACTCAGCTTTAGCTTCTCTATCCCTTTTATTATCTGCAACTGTCTCTTCTCATATCTGTCACTCAGGAACAGTAGGCTTCTTGAAGGCACAGACGACTGTTTTTGGCAGCCCTCCAGTGCCCAGCACAGGGCATGACACACAGTGCCCATCTCAAAGCATTTGCAGAATAAATAAATGCATCTGTGTACACTCTAACCAACAACACAGGTATAAGAGTCACCATCAAATGTACCCCCAGTTCTCTGCCCTGGCACTATAATAGGCCAATGCAGTGGTTGATCTAACTCAGGCAACATTTATTAAGCATCTACTACATGCAGTATAAAGGGCCAGGCACAGGAATGGGGTAGGAAGATAAGACAGTGTTTGCCACAGTGAGATGTGGTCTGAGGGTCAGGCCAAGTTGTTATGGTATTTGGGCACCTGTCCATTTGATTTACCAAGAGAGAGAAAAACATTTAAGTCTGGAATACACTTAGCAAATATTTTACAAAAGTTTGCAAAGGTATGGGCCTGCACTCCTTTGGGAAAAGATAGCTTTTATCAGAGTGAATACTGCTGACTGTTTTGGCCTCTGAGCACAAGAATACGGTAACAGGGAGTTACTAAGGGTTGTTAATCGTTGAAGAAAAACCACCATGAAGAAAAGCCATAGGTAAGATTAGGTCTTAGGGGACTGCATGACCTTAAATCCATTCTCTATCATTCTCTCTCTTTTCCTCCAGAAATTTGAAGATGACATCACCTATTGGCTTAACAGAGATCGAAATGGACATGAATACTATGGCGATTACTACCAACGTCACTATGATGAAGACTCTGCAATTGGTCCCCGGAGCCCCTACGGCTTTAGGCATGGAGCCAGCGTCAACTACGATGACTACTAACCATGACTTGCCACACGCTGTACAAGAAGCAAATAGCGATTCTCTTCATGTATCTCCTAATGCCTTACACTACTTGGTTTCTGATTTGCTCTATTTCAGCAGATCTTTTCTACCTACTTTGTGTGATCAAAAAAGAAGAGTTAAAACAACACATGTAAATGCCTTTTGATATTTCATGGGAATGCCTCTCATTTAAAAATAGAAATAAAGCATTTTGTTAAAAAGAAAAGTCTTAGAATTCATTTGGGTGCAAATTAAGCTGGTGACATTTCTCGTTCCCTTGATGTTTTGAAGTTGCGTCTGAGAGGCACCTCTCTGTTATCACCGTGAGATTCCTCACCACCACCCAGGCAGACCACAGGACTGAGTGAGAGGTCTTCAGTTTGTTAGAACACAGTCTACATGAAATGCAAGGCACACGATCAGCAAGAAAAGCTAGTTGAAAATAATCTGTGGTTACAGAACGTGGAGGATTCCAATCATTTGACAGAAAACCCTTCTGGTTCTGAGCTACAGCTGGACCTGTTTAATGTTACCATCCAGGAAATGAAGGGCAACAGAAAAAAACCTGAAATTTGGTTGATTTCAGAGCCACAGTTATCTAAAAAATAAAACCTTGTTCCATGAATTTAAGACATATTTAAGAATATTCTTTGCATTGTAAACAACCTGAGTGAATGAAAGAAAAGGTGGTATTTGGGTGAGGGAGAGGGAGGATAAGAAGACGGGGGAGGTGAGTGAAGAATCTGAGCCTTTGCTGATAGGAGGGGGTCTGGTCCCAGACTACGCAGAACTGCAGGGGGTGAGGTGGGGGAGGAGATTAACAGCATGAGGGGGGCAACTCAGAATGGGTCTCAGACTTTTGTATGTCACAGACTCCTCCGACAGTCTGAAAGCTTTTTGCTCTTTTCCTCAGAAAAATTACATGCAATTTTGCAGATAGCCTCTGAAACACACCCCCATTCACAAACCCTATGTAATCAATAACCCTAGGCCCAGTAGGAAGCACTGGATTCAGAGCAGCGGTGTTACGGACAATCATAAACAAAGGTCATTCTTTTCTTCTTGGGGATTCATATAAATTAAAATTGTAGTGAAATATACATGAAAGTTACCCTTTTAAGCATTTTCGGGTGTACAATTCGGTGGCTAAGTATATTCACATTGTTGTGCAACCGTCACTACCATCCGTCCATCTCTGGAACTTTTTCATCTTCCCAAACTGATACTGTATCCTTTAAACACTAACTCCCCATTTCTATCCCCAACCCCTGGCAACCCCCATTCTACTTTCAGTCTCTACGAATGTCCACTCTAGGGACTTCATATAAGTAGTGTAATACAGTATTTGTCTTTTTGTGTCTGGCTTATTTCACTTAGCTTAATGACCTCAAGGTTCATCCATGTTGCAGCATGTGTCAGAATTTCATTCCTTTTTAAGGCAGAATAATATTCCATTGTATGGATAGGCCACTTTTGCTTATCCATTCACCCATTCATGGATACTCGGGCTGCTTCTATCTCTTGGCTCTTGTGAATAATGCTGCTATGAACACGGGTGTGCAAGTATCTTTTTGTGTCCCTGCTTTCAATTCTCTTTGGAATTGCTGGATCATATATTCATTCCATGTTTAATTTTTTGAGGAACCAGGCCAGGCACAGTGGCTCATGCCTGTAATCCCAGCACTTTGGGAGGCCGAAGTGGACTGAAATACAAAAATTAGCTGGGCATGGTGGTGGGCGCCTCTAATCCCAGCTACCAGGGAGGCTGAAGCAGGAGAATCGCTTGAACCCAGGAGGCAGAGGTTGTAGTGAGCCAACATTGCGCCACTGCACTCCAGCCTGGGCAACAGAACAAGACTCCATCTCAAAAAAAAAAAAAAAAAAAAAAAATTTTGAGGAATCCTCCATGCTGTTTTCTACAGCAGCATACCATTTTACATTCCCACCCTTAACACTTTTGTTTATTTTTCTTGACTATACTGAGCTGGCTCAAATCCCAATGCAATCTTAAAGAGGAGTGAAGTGGGTGATGGAGGACATCTTTGCTTCATTCCTTATCTTAAAGGGACTGCTTTCTATGTTCCTCCTTAACTATACTTGCTAGATTTTTTTTTTCTAGATGTCCTTTTTCAAATTAAAAAAATTTCCTTCTAAAAATATGCTAAGACTTTTTAAATGTCATATGTTATATGGATGTTTAATTCTATTTTTTTCTTTACTAAGTTTTCCTTTTAAATCTGTTACTAAGGTGAATTTTATTAATAACAATTCTAATAGTCAAATTGCTGGAATAAACCCAACTTGATCATGATGTATCATCTTTTATTTTTCATTGCTGGATCTGGTTTGGTAATATTTGTTCAGAATTTTTGCATCCATGTTCATAAAGTGAGATTGAATTGGCCTGTAGTTGTCTGTCTGGTTGTGTTCTTGCAGTTTTGGTATCAAGGTTATATTGGCCTCATAAAATGAATTGAGAGTGTTTTGTTTTCTATTGTCTGTGTAAGAATGGTGAGAATGAAATTGTTGTTTCCTGAATGTTTAGTAGCATTCAGATTGAGCCATTTCGACTTGGTTTCTCTATGGAAAAAATTTTGACTGTTGGTTGTATTTCTCTTACAGGTAAAGGATGATTCTGATTTTGTGTTTCTCCTTGAGTTGGTTTTGCTAAGTTCTGTCTTTCTAGGAAGTCATCCACTATATTAAAGATCTGAAGTGTGTTGAGAGCAGTTCTTATTCCCTCTTGCATTTCTCTGTAGCATCTGCATTTATGTTCTTTTTTTCATTCCATTTGTGTGTTTTTAAAAAAATGAATCATGCCTTTTCAAATACATAGTTTTTGTGTTTTGTTGATCTCTTGTGTGTTTCTCTGTTTCATTTGTTTCTGTCCTTTTAATTTCTTTCTTTCTTCTTCTGTGGGTCTTTGATTCAATTAGATCTTAGCTCTATTTTGAGCCTTCTCTTTTTTTTTTTTAAGGCAAGCACTTAATGCTCTACGTTTCCTTCCAAGTATTGTATCCCATGTGTCTGATGTAAAAAACTACATGGTGAAATCTTTTAATTTCAATTACGATTTCTCCTTTGACCCATACATTGATGTGTTACTAAATTTCCAAGTGAGCGGACTTTTCTAATTATCTTACATGCTTTGTTTTCCAACTTAATTGCATTGCAGTAAGAAATGTGGTCAGGCGGATCTCAATCCTTTGAAGTGTATTGGTCGTGCCTTATGTTTGGGGTGTGTCAATCCCAGCATCTGTTCCATGTGTGCTTGAATGAAGTGTGTCTTTTCCAAATGTCAGATGCAGTAAAAGCCCATTAATTCAAGCTCCATAGTTTTACGTTCACATTTTCTACTTTCTTACTGATTGTTTTTGTCTGTTTGATCTACGTGTGTTAAAATCTTTTACTATGATGATGGATTTAAAATTTTTTCCTTTTAATTTTGTGAGTCTGGCCTTGTATATCATGAGGCTATACACTATTCATATACATACATACATAAATTTAGAATCAGTACCTTTTCCCAGTAAGTGGAATTATTATGTAAGAAATTTCCTTATTTTGAGTAATACTTTTTGCCTGAATTCTCCTTTGATATTAATATGAGTATACTTGCCTGCTTTGGGTTAATATTTTCCTGGTCTATCTTTTCCACGGTTTGACTTTTAATCTTTCTGTGCTTTAGGTGTTTCTGTTGTAATAAGCACATAGCTGAATTTTGTTTTGTTTCTAAAATATAACAAAATGTTAACTGGAGAATTTAGTCCACTTATGCTTATTGTGATTAGTGATTTGGTTTTATTTTTAACATCACATTTTGAACATTTGATCTGCTCCATTTTACTTGCTCCTTTCCCCTCTCTTCCTTCATTTGGACTCTTTTTTTCTCTACTTCTACTGAAGGTATACACTGATCTATTCTATTGGTGTTTGCCTTATTTCATACATATTAATAAGTTAAAGGGACTCAATAGCCATAGTGTTCTCCTGGACAATACATGGGCCTTGCATTCCCCCTTCCAACTTACATGTGACTGCAACTTGACATTTTAAATCTAGTCTGCTTTATTTTCCCTGCAAATTATCTTTGTTTCAAAATCAGTGGTTTGTTTAGATTGTTTCATAATTATCTTAGCTCTACTGTTTCTCCTTAAAACTCAGCCCATGCATCTGAGATCATTTTCCTTCAGTTTGAATCATATCCTTCAGAATCTATTTAGTGAGTGCATTGGGTGGTAAACTCTCAAATTTGGCACTTTCCCGTGTTTTACTTGGCATAAAATTCTTGGTTATTTAATCAATACTTTGAATTTATTTTACCGTCTCTGGTTTCCATTGCCGATGTTAAGAATTTCATTATTCATCTAATAGCCATTCCTCTGTAGGTGATACTGTCGTCTTAAATTGTTTTGATACCTACTTTTCTTCTTTGTTGTCTATATCCACATCTATGCCTATAAATATTAATATGTTTGAAGTTTGTTGGGCTTAATCTGAGGATTGGTGTCTTTCGAACAATTTGGAAAATTCTCCATTTTTTTTCTTTGAATGGTGTCTCTCCCTCATTCTAGTAGTTCTTTCTGGAATGTTTTATTCAAGTATGTAAATTTTAATTATATTTTTCCTTTCTTATTCAAATATGCTTGGTTATATCTCTTGTTCCCTGTTTAGATTTTCAAGTTTCTCTTTTCTTTCTTTAAATGTATAAAACACTTTTATATTTTTGTCATTTCCAGTATCTGGGGTCTTTGTGAATCTCTTTCTGCCTACCATCTACGGTTTCTCACTCATAGTGACTGTCTCCTTGATTTTATGTAATTTCTAACCATGAGCTGCTTATTCTTTTCGGAATGTTGTTTTTAAGACACACTTGAAAGCTGAGTTAAGTTGAAGTCCTCCAGACAGCACTTGCATTTTCTTTTGCTAGTGGCTTGGGGTGCAATGGAGTCTACCAAACTGGGACCACCTTAAATTCTGTGCTTGTGGATTTACAGACCAAATAGAGACACCTTGTACTTACTGTTCTCAGTCCACTCCCACCAAACTGAAATTTGGAAGAAAGCATCCTCACTGCCCCCTTTTGTGTGATGGATTTATTTCTCATTGGCCCGTACACCAAGGTAGAGCCTTTTGGGAGCTCAGTCTGATGCAGGGTAATCTGACCTAAACTTTATCTCCTGTCCTGAGCCCTTTGCAGCTTTCAAAGATTCTCAAGCTCTACATGATTCTGCAGACATTTTCATACAATAGCTGGTTTTCCCTTCTTTTTGGGACTCTGCAGATTCTTTATTTATCATCTAAGGAAAGTGTATATAAAATCACATCCAGCATTTCATTTGTTCCCATTGAGGGGTTTATTCACATTAATTTGTCATACTGCTGGAGACAGAACTCCTATTTGGTCATTTATTTCAAACCAAACATTCTTTACCTTTTTTGTCTCTGAAAATCTTTAAGAATAACATTTGTAAATGCATAAAACCAAGTACACAGGATTACAAAGGAAATCAATTATATTGAAAAAGTTTACAACCTTTTAAAAGACAAATTTACGAGATAGTAATAAATGTGTTTCTTCACGCTGTAAGTAACAAGACTTACTGGTAGGTCTACAGCTATTGTAATTTCAAAGTAGTGAAAGTAAATGACATTTTGAGACAATTGTAACAACTATAATGTGATAATATATCTGATTTCTATATGTGGCAGAATCCCGGCTAAGAGCTATTTCCATCACAGTTTGTTGTCTACATTTATCATTGAAGAAAAGGCTAAATTTGAGTTAGGGGTTAGTAGAAACAAAAAGGTTCATTTTTTTTCCCATTCAAGTTCATGAGACCCCTTATTTAAAGGGATTTCCATTCCAGTTCTTGTAATATATCCAGAGTGAAAGTTTCCAGTTATTCTTAGGATAAAGATGAAAACCCTTGATGTGTTTATGAGACCTGGCCCCCTCCCTACCTCTTAATATTCCTGTTTTCAATCTCCCTTGCTCTGCACTTCAGCAAACTCTGCTAGACTGTGAACCCCAGGAAAAGCTCACACCTGTTTCTGCTCACTATAAAACTTTCAGAGCATATTATAGAGTCTGTCAGAGTAAGTGAGCTTTAATACGTGTCGAATGGATCCTGACTACACAAAGGAAGGATCTAGTCTCATGTTTACATATGGATCTAGTCTCATTTTTACATATGAAGAAGATGATGGCCAGAGAGGTTGAATGCCAGTCAGCTCCTGGGATACAAGGTGAGTTAGGAACAGAGCAGGGATTACGACTCAGATGTGGACATCTTTCCCACACCACATTATTCCTCTCCCTTGTCCCCACCACCCGTTAGCTTATTTATGCCCCACCACAGCAGGGTCTCACCTTCTCCCTCCAAAGTATGCCTCTTGGGCCCGGAGTTTCTTGAGCCTATACTTGGTTTGGCAACAGCAAACTAACATTTTCTCCCACTCAACCACTGCCCTTGCAGCTAGCTGCCTGTGAACAGGAGTGCATTGTGACTACAGGTGCAATTTCAATCCTGTGAGGTGTGAAGCTTGTTTGTTTTCGGAGACAGGGTCTCATTCTGTCACACAGGCTGAAGTGCAGTGGTGCGATCATCGTTCACTGCTGGCTCCAACTCCTGGGCTCAAGCCATCCTCCCACCTCAGCCTCCTGAGCAGCTGAGACTACAGGTGTGTGCCACCATGCCCAGATAATTTATTTGTTTGTAGAGACAGGATCTCGCTATGTCGACCAGGCTGGTCTTGAACTCCTGGTCTCAAGCGATCCTCCTGCCTCAACCTCCAAAGTACTGGGATCACAGGTGTGAGCCATAGTGCCCGGCAGTAGTTCATTGAAGCTTGGCCAGAGACCCTTGGCCATGAGCTTTTCAAATCATATCACCTGCTCCCCTAAGGGCCCATTTTTAACAAGCAGCACTGTATTCTTCTGTGGATCAGAATTACTGACCAGCATTTTGTAAACCAGACATTTTATATAAAGCTGATTCTTCAACAGAGGACAAAAACCCCTACTGTAATATACTGACCAAGAGCCACAGATTAAAGACAGAAAGACGGCGTGTGAACAGGCATTGCTATCCCTACCGCCATCTTTTTAAAGAGAAGACTGAGTCCCGGGGAACCCATGCTGGGGACGTCAAGCCTAGAAGAGCAGAGTCCAAGGACTGGACTGACTGCTCGTCTTCAAACATCTGAAGGGCTGTCAAGAGGAAAGTCTTTGTCTTGTTCTTGGAGAGCCCCAAGGGCACAACCAGGCCCCATGAGTGGCTGCTCAGTGAAGCCAATTTTTGCTCAGAATTCTGATAATGGAATGGGAGCTTCACAAAGCTAAGTGCTTCCAGCAGGGCGAGTGAACAGTTGTAAAAACTGTTTATAGAAATTCCTGTGTTTGAAGATGAAAGTTTCTTAAAGTCTGAGCCATGGGATACCCAATGGTGATTTTCAAGTACAACAGCAACTCACTGCTCCATCCCTGCTGAGGCTTTAGGAAGAGATCTAGTCCTCGATTCTTCTGAAACTTTCACTAAAATAAAACTAGTGTACAAACGTAAGGAGTGGTGGCAAGGCTAGATACAGTACGATCCACCGCCCCCTTCAGGCTACAGACAAGTAAACGAAGGCTCTGGGAAGGCAGCTGACTTGCCTATAAACCAGGCCGATGCTTTTCTAGTAGTTTCCTGATCTACCCTGCTTCTCCTGTCAGGTTACTGCAGCAAACAGGGAAACAGGTAAGCACAGTTGGGAATTGGGATTTATAAAGAGTTGTGTCTTTCCAGTGAGGTACATTTTTTTTCTGCCTGTGCCTAACACACCTAACATAAGATGACCTGGAGAGAGAAAAGCACAATACTATGTCATTGCACCTCCCTCAGGGTTAAAATGGAACCAAGAAGCCCACGCAAGCAGCAGATGTAGCATCTATGAAGAAAGTGTGAGTCAGAATCCACTTAAAATGATGTGTCGTACCTTTGATGTGATTTGGCACTTTGCTGCTGCTTCTGTTGTTTTTAAATTGGGTTCTCTCACCTTACTCTTTTTTGATTTCGAGTTCCCTTTCTCTCCTCGCTGAGAAACAAATTTTGTGAAAATAAACTGGGACATGGGAAGCATCTATTACCGAAGACGCCCAAATGCAGAGAGGAACCCCATTGAGTGGGTCCTTCCTGCACTGACAACGGATGGATTTTGCCTCCTGCCATTTGATCATGGATTTGGAAATAAAGAGCGTGGTTAACTGTCCAGGGTGACCTCTCCAGCTGCCCAGCATGCTCAGACACAGTTGTTCTGGGAGGTAATGAAGAAACACCATATCACCATTTCTGCCTCACATTTGCATATTACATCACTGCAACCTATCACCTTTCAAAGGGGGAAAATAGGTGTTATCACCTTTACCCATATGTATTTTCATTTTCAATGACAAGCTTTTAACACTTAATGAACAAAATTCCATTTTTAGTGATTATTACCAATTCCTTAGTCCTTTTCAATGCCTTTTAAGTTTTCCTCCCTTTATTTAAACCTAATCTTTAAGATTCAAGCTTTGTCAGATAGACAACAGGCATAAAGCAGAGACCATAATACAGGTGATTTTTCAGCATTATTTGCTATGGTCATGAGATTTTTTTCTTTAGCCTATTAAAATGATGGATTATATAAAGATTTTCAAATATTGAGCTAGTCCTTGCATCCCTGGAATAACCCCCACTTGGTAATAATTCCTTTTATATACTCCTGTATTCAATTTGCTAACATTTTATTAAAAATTTTTGCATCTGTACGAATTTGGAATACTGGTCTGTATTCTCTTGTGCTCTTTGGTTTTAGTATCAGGGTAATATTGGCTTTATACAAAGAGCTGGGTAATGTTCCTTTCTCTTCTAGTTTCTGGGAGAGATTGTATAGGATTGGTGTGAATTCTTTAAATGTCTGGCAGAATTCTCCAGTCAATCTCAGAGCCTGGAGTTTTTTTTTTTTTCTTCAGATTTTAAACTATGAATTAAATCATTAAATAAGCTATTCAAATTACAAATGTCATACTGAGAATTTCCTAGGATACGTTTCCTAGGAATTTGCCCATTTCATCTGAGTTTTCAAATTTATGTATGTAGAGTTGTAGCTAGTATTCCCTAGTTATCCTTTCAATGTCTATTAAGTGACATCCCTTGTTTCATTCCCATTAATGGTGTTTTCTGTTTTGTCAGTCTTATTAGAGGTTTGTGGCTTTTATTATTTAAGGAGCCAGTAATTTGTTTCACTGATATTCTCTATTGCTTTTTGTTTTCAATACTGATTTCTGCGCTTCTTATTTCCTTCCTTCTGCTTGCTTTGGGCTTACTTGGCTCTTCATTTAAATTTCTTGAAGTACAAGCTCAAATTATTGAGATTTCTTTCTCCTCTACTGATATTAGAATTTTAGTGCCACAAAGTTTTTTCTCAGCACAACTTTAGCTGCATCTCACAAATTTTGACATTTTTATTCAGTTCAATATATTTTCAACAATTATTGAGACTCCCTCTTTGGCTCATGGCTTATTCAGAAGTGCGTTGCACTGTTTCCAAGTGTTAGGAGATTTTCCTGTTATTTTTCTGTCGCTGACTTCTAGTTTGACCCCATTGTGGTCTCTCAGTTTTATTCCAGTTCTTTTAAATGTGTTGAAGTTTGTTTTATGACCAGGATATAGTCTACCTTGGTATATGTTCAGTAGGCACTTGAAAAGAAGGTGTATTCTGCTACCGTTCTGTGAAGTGTCGTATAAATGCAAATTAGATCCTGTTGGTGGTTACTGAGTTCAATATCCTTGCTGATTTCCTGTCTAGTTACCCTATAAATTATTGAGAATGGTGCTTAACTCTCCAACTATAATTTTGGGTTACCTATTTCTCTTCTAAGGTCTACCAGTTTTTGCCTCACATTTTTTGCAGCTGTGTTACTTGTTGCATGCACCTTTATGATTGCTGGGGTCTTTTGGTTGGACTGATCCTTTTATTATAATGTCATGTTCCTCTCTGACCTTGGCAATTTTTTTTCTTTTTGCTCAGAAATTTATCTTATTTAATATTAATGTAGTCACTCCTGCTTTCCTCTGATTTTTGCATAGTATATATTTTTTTATCCTTTTACTTTCAACCCACATATATTGTTTTCACTGAAGTTTCTCATAGCATATAGTTGGGCCATTTAAAAATATACTCTGCCAATCTCTTAATTGGTGCTGAGACCATTTACATTTAATGCAATTATTGTTATGTTAAAGTTTAAATCTGCCGTTTTACTTTGTTTTATATTTTCATTTTCTCTTCCCTGCCTTCCTGCAGGTTGTACTTTTTTGGCATTCTATTTTATTTGTGCATTTGAGTACATTTCTTTGTATAGCTTTTTTTGCTGGTTGCTCTAGGTATTACATTAAACTTACCAAAAATCTACTAGTGTCAACTTTTGCCCATTTGGGTGAAGGATAGAAATGTTACCTCCCTTTACCTTCTGATATGTATAATATAGTTGACTATTTCCTCTACATAGACAGTCACATGAGAATGTTACAATTTTTGCTTCAAACTTCAAACATAATTTAGAAAACTTACAAGGAAAAGGAAAGCCTATTGCATTTATTGATATTTTCATTCTATGTTCTTTCTTCCTGCTTGATGCCACAAGATTCCTTTGTTTCCTGTTAACTGTCGTTAGAGGTCTGCTCATTTACATTTCTCATAATTTTCCTTCATCTGAGAATGTCTTGATTTCCACTTCATTCTTGAAGGACATTTTTGCTGGATATAGAATTCTGAATTAACAGTTTTCTTTCAGCATTTGTGTCACTTATTTCTGGCCTCGGTGGTTTCCACTGAGAAACCTGCTACCACTCTAATTGCTTTGGCCCTAGGGGTAAGGTGTCATTCTGCTCTGGCAGCCTCAGGGACCATGTCTTTGCCTTTAATTTTCAGTTTAACCATGATAAATCTTGGCATGTATTTCTTTGGGCTTATCTTCTTTGGTGGTTACTCAGCATTTTGATTTTTTTTTTTTTGGTCAAATTTGGGAAATTGTCAGCCCTTCTTCCTTAAATTTTCTTCAACTCCATCCTCTTTCTTCTTTCTATGACCCCAATGACATGACAGATGCTTTGTTCCACATATCTCCAAGGCTCTGTTCATTTTTGTCAGTCTGTTTTCTATTTGTTATTTAGACCGGGTAATTTTGATTGTTCTATCTTCTGTTCTCTCCACTCTGCTGTTGAACTTATCCACAGAGCTTTTTATCTGTTACTTTTTCAGTTCTAAAATTTCCATTTAGTTCTTCGTATCTTCTCTTTGCTGCAGTTTTCTATTCATGTTTCAACCATGTTTGTAATTGCTAATTGAAGCATTTTTACAATGGCTGTTTTAAAACAATTTGTCTGATAATTCTAATGTCTGTGTGATCTTGGTGCTGGTATCTGTTCATTATCTTTTCTAATTTACCTTGAGATCTTCTTGGTTTCTGGTGTGGTGAATAATTTTTGATTTAAACCTCATCAGTTCTGAGTGCTGTAAGACTCTGGGTCTGATTTAAATCTTGAATTTTAGCAGGCCTACTCTGACTGCTCCAGGGAGTGAAGTGGGGAACCTGCCTTTTTACTGCCAGGTAGCAGGTGGAAACCCAGGTTTCCCTCCAGGCCTCCACTGGTAACACTCAGGCTGTCAGGGGTGGGGAGCTTGTTACTGCTCCCCATGTGGCCTTCACTGAGGTTGCCTTATTATTGCTGATTATTGAAAGTGCTGAAAGCCCTGACTCTCCACTAGGCAGTTGATGCCATGGGGTTGGGGTCATTACTACCCAGTGGAGATGCAAATCTCAGCTCAGGCCTTCTAGTCCCAAGCCCCTACAGGCCTTTGCTGACAGCACCAGAGCAAAGAGTGGGGGTAGGGGCAGGTTGAGGCATCTTCTTAACGTTAGGTGAGGGTGGAGCTCCAGGTCCCACTTGGTCTTTGCTGGAAGGGATGGGGAGGGGCTGTAGTGTTTTTCATGTGGTGTTTGGCTACAGTAGAGCCATTTCTGTTTAAAAGTTTTCCTTTTTACTAGGTTGCCCTTTCCCTGGTATGCTGGCAGCAGTGAATAGGTTTCTGTTGGGGTTTTTGACTGTGTCTGTTGGCACTCTTTGGTTAGTAACTTATCCAGCTCCAAGGCTGGCATATAGAAGGCAAAAAGAAAACCCAGGGAACTCACTACTTGTATTAGTTTGCTAGGAGAGCCGTGACAAAATACCAGAGACTGGGTGGCTTAAACAACAGAAATTCATTTTTCTCACAGTTCTGGATGCTAGAAGTCCAAGATCAATAGGTGTAGACAGGTTTGGTTTCTCCAAAGGCCTCTCTCGTGGGCTGAGATGGCTGCTTTCTTGCTGTGTTCTCACGTGGCCTTCTCTCTGTGTATGCATATCTCTGTTGTCTAAATTTTCTCTTCTTACAAGGACACCATTCAGACTGGATTAGGGCTCACCCTAAAGACCTTATTCTACCATAATCACCTTCAGAGGCCTAATCTCTATAGTTACCTTCTGAGGTCCTATGGGTTAAGACTTCAACATAAATTTTAAGGCAACACGGTTTAGCCCATATCACCACTGCATTCTTCCTCAGGTCCTGAGGTCCCTGGCTGGTCTACCTTTTTCTATCTACTTTCAGCATATTATGCTTGTTTTACATATAATGTCCAGAATTTTAAATTGTACTTAGTAGGAAGATGAGGGAAAGTATGTCTACTCCATTTTGTAAAAACGGTAGAGTCTCTTCCTTGCATTTTCCTTTATCTTCATTTCTTTAAAAACTGACCTCCCCTCATTAGTACATGGTAGAGCCATCTACACTGACTCTTACATCCTGGAATTCTGTACCACATCACATTAGTTTTACTTCAAGTAAAATGTATATGAAATACAGAAACTTAAAATTCAGCAGCACCAAAATAGCAGGACTTTTTAAAAACATTGATGTTTTTGATAATAATATCTTTACTTTTTTCCTTCCCACAGTACAGTTTTAGGTAAAAGTGACTCTTGTTCTCCAAAGTGGCCAAGGTACAAGCAGGACACAATCAGGGCTTTTTAATACAGAGAAAACATGCGGGTTAATCATGGTGATTAGAACCAAGTCTTGCTGCTGTCTCTGAAGCTCAGTGCGTCACACCCCAGATACTATGGTATCAGTTCTCTGGGTAATATAACCTTTCAACTCCCTATCAAAGGTAACAACCAACCACTGAGAATATCTGGATAAAGTCAACAAACCACTTTAAACAGATGAACTGAAACATTAAAACTCACAACTCTTCTGCCCTAGCAAACTGCTGAGGATTTTCTAGATTTCCCAGTCTTAAGAGACCAAACTGTAGCTCAGTTATCACCAGACCAGCATTTCACTCAACACACCTTTCAGACTGAGAACAAGGTCAAGCTCATACATAACTAAGAACCATGAACCAGAATGGTGGCCCATGCAGCACCAGAGTTGTGATCAGAGATGCCGTCAGGGATGGAGCAGAGGCAATGCCACAAGAGTCACAAGAGTCCACCTGGGCCAGTGGGCTGCGCTCAGTATCTAAGAGGGTGTAGTGGAAATCCAGTGTGTTCACTCTCTAATCTGCACCTTGCTTAAGCCCACTATGACTGTCACTGAAGTTAATAAGAGCAGCTGTACCAGTGTTGTCCCTGTAAGCAATAGCAGTGATGCCTCAATCGGGAGCCAATCCTGAGATGCAGGAGCACCACTGTGTTAGTTGGTTCAGGGTACTAGAACAAAATACTTCAGATTGGGTAATTTATAAATAGAAATTTACTGCCGGTAGTTTTGGAAGCTGGGAAGTCCAGGATCTAGGTGCCGGCAGATTTAGTGTCTGGTGAGGGGCTGTTCTTCATAGATGGCACCTTCTTGCTGTGTCCTTAAAACATGGCAAAGATGCAAAAAAGCTCCCTTGGGCCCCTTTTGTAGGCACTAAAGGGCTCTGCCCTCATGGCCTAATCCTCTTAAGCACCCCAACTCTTAATGCTATTGCACTGGGGATTAGGTTTTAACTCATGCATTATAGGGGGACACAAACATTCAGACCACAGTAACCATGCTCTGTCTACCCATTCATCCCTTTCCAAGCCCCTCAACTCCACTTCCCTCTCTTCCCAGGACATTCATGGAAATTAACCTTACACTACATCCTTGATGCATTACTTCTTTCTTTAGGATGAATTAGATAGAACTCCTCTTTCCCTTCCTCCTCTCTCCCCTGAAAATATTTTATGAATATCACAGACAAGAAAACCAAAGAATGAATCCCATGGAAGAATTCCAGATACTAACTAGCAAGTAACTAGGAAAGAGAATTCTGGACCCTGGGGCCTTTATGTTCTCCCAAATTGCACTGCAGAACTTAGTCCCCGCAAATTCTCAGCTTTCCCTGTCTACACTCCTTTTTCAATGTCTTGGTTACCATTAGTAGTTCCCAAATGAGCTTGCAGCTCTGTTAATCCCATCTCGGTACATGGTATATCACTTACTTCTGGTCAAAATAATTAAAATTATAAATAAGAAACCATCTTTGATTCCTCTTTCTCTCTCACACCACAACCAATCTAGCATTGACCCTAGTTCCAGAATGTTCTGGAGAATTTAGCATGACAAAGAAACAAAACCACATCGTCCTCTGCCCTGCCCAAGACTGGGATTCCAAAAATATGTCCAATTAAGAAGAATCCCAAGGTGGTTGTACAAGCACAGGCAAGTCTAGCTTACACTGGTTAGGTATCTTAGGATCTCTCATTTTTAAATGCTTCTGATACATAGAAATCTTTATCCTCTCAGCGCCTGCTCAGGTTTGTGTTGTTGTCACGCGGAGCCAATCTTCAGCGCCTGCTCAGGTTTGTGTTGTCACGCGGAGCCAATCTACTTGGAAAATGTGGAGCTTTAACTTACCGCATTGTTCTTCCATTTATTAAGAGGAAAAACAAAATGCTAACACTAAACCTTGAAAGGGTTCTTATTGAAAACAAAAGCTCTCAGAGTTTTCACTCAATAAGCCTAGTTCACAGATCTCTCCAGAGGGGACAATTTGCACCTTTTTTTTCTCCATCTGGTCTGTGTTGCCAAGGAAGGGCACAAAACTGATTCTAACCCTGGCTAAGATCTGAAAACTTTACATGGCAGTGAAAATTATATGCATACACTCAGCCCAAGTAGCATATAAATGCTTTCAATAGCTACATATCAAATTATATAGTGCACAAACCTGAATGTTTTCAGAATTTTCTTTTAAAATAAATTCTCCAATATTTTCCTTAGCACTCCAACAAGTGCCATGCCGAAGCAGAAAGACAACCTTTAAAACTGGAAGTCCATGACTGGTGAGTTTCAATAATTTATTAAAATAGCATATTTAACCATGGTTAACCAAGAATATGTTAACTTTGTGCCCCCCAACCTGCCCCCGCCCCAGATACGCAGCAAAACACAGTAGTGATTTCAAATATCCTTGATCATGACCAACAGGAATATTTCAAAGTCAAGTTTGCAACTCAAAAGTAGACCTTGGAAAAACTCTGAATTAAAAGAGAAACATAAAGCTCTCACACAGAATTCTTTTATCTGCCCTAAAATCAATGCCGGCGCACCACCACCTGACAATACTGCTAGGATTTTTCTTTATGCATAGTATAACGACTCATTTATTAAGTACCCACTTTCATAAATAAAATCGGCATTTTTTGTCCCGCTTAATGTTCCTTTTCAGCTTCACAAAGAAACCAGTAAATAAAACTGTCAACGACAGTCACAACATATGCTCTCACAGCAAGATAAAAAAACTTGAAAATACGCAGAGATGCATCTACGCTATTTTACATAAAAAGAGAGATTCAAAAAGTGCAAGGCAAAATCTGCAGTTTTTTGAGGGGAGCTTTTAGGCACATCCATTTCATTAAAGCAAGCTTCAGAATGAAATTCCAGTTTGTTCTTCATGACACCTGTTAAAGTCTTTCTTTAAACGACAACAAAAAAAAGCCAAAAATACATCCCATCAAGTGTACAATGGTAGTCTTGTGTCCTAAAAGTGAGGAGTTCAGCTGTGGCGAGTCCGTCCTTTCTTTATTCTGGCAGGCTTTGGTTTGGGGATGTACTGATTATTTGCCTGGTACTCGAGTTCTTTACGGAAGTAGTGAATTGCTTTGTTTAAACCTTCCTCCAGCGGGACCTGTTTAAAGGGAAAGCAAGAAAGGGAGACAAGGTCACATTGACAGAAGGGCATCGCAGGAAGGAAGTGCCACCTTGCAGGAAGGAAGTGCCACCTTGCAGCCAGTCAGGCCTCCTTCAGAGGAACACTCACAGAACCATGCTTTGGTTGTGACAGCATCCAGCATCACGGCCCACCGAGAGAAGCCAGAAGTCCTTCAGGGCCGCTTTCAGAATGTACTGTGGAGCTGACAAGTGTCACTCTTACTGACGTAAAGTGAGCTCCACCTCACAAAAGACCCCGACTACCTCTTGCTGGTATAATGTCTACTCCAGTTTGAATCGGCTGGCAAGATTGTTTTTCAGATAATGCCCATGTGCCCCATTCTTTCAGAAGAAATCCACCTTGGAGTGGCGGGAAGATGCTTTGGGAAGGTGATCTGCATCTGATCAACACGCCTGATTCTCCCACGTGACATCAACCCTTTGCACTGCCTAGCGGATCATGGCCCACTTGCACCCCCACCATACTAAGAGGCTGAGTCTGAGAGGGGACCCACGGCAGCCCACACCACAGAAAGCAACCTTCATCTGAAGCTGCTTTGCAGCCAACAGGAAACCAGCCAGATCAACTGCTGATTAACAGCAGAAAGAGAAAAGGTGAAGGGAGGCACTGCTAAGGGGTGCTGGGGCACCACTGGGGGAGAAGGTCTGTCAGCTTGACTGCAGCGATGGTTTCACAGGTGTCAAAATAGATGAAAACTTATCAAATTGTATCTTCTAAATATGGGCAGTGTGCAGTTTGCCAATTATATCTCAACAAGCTGTTAAACACACACACTTGGGACAATTAAGATGGATAATGCCTGTAAGTTTCTTTGGATCATATCCCTCAAAAATTTATTATAAATTAAAACTACTACTAGAAGAGAAACCAGTGGTAGATGGCTCACATTCCAAGAATGTTAGAATATTATAGGTCTAAATTCCAGAAAGATAAAGATACTGAGCATACACACACCTCACATAAAAAGCAATAGTTAATACATAGTGAATGTATATTTAAATCTTCAAAAAATATTTTGTTTAAAAATATAGGCTCTCCTTACAAAGGGACCAATGGCCCCTTACAAAGCTTCAAAAAAACAAGAAACCTAGGCTGCTATAACCTGTTTTGCACAGCTTGGGATTATTCGATTTTGTGAAGTCTGGGTGTAATTGTATTTTTATTTCACTCAACAAATTTCTGCAGTTTTTAGCAGATTACGTAGACTTGTACATGACAGAATGAAATAAGGATCAGGCTGGAACTCTCATGTCCCTTTGAAGTTCAATATTCTAGGATTCTACTCACTCAGCTCTGACTATGCACATTTTAAAAAGGTAAACTGAGCTCTCAACTGCGTCCCTGACTCTCTGACTGCGCCACAACCCAAGGGCCATGCCAAGATGCTCCTACATTTGTTGAGCACCCAGTGTGTGTCAGGTCTGACAGGTGCCGGGCTCCTGCTGGACACAGGGCTACACTACACGCCTCTGCCCGAGGGGAGCCCGAATTTCAGTGGGGCACATGAGGGTGGGCAAAGAGGGAACAGCCAGGCAGAGGTGACAGTAAATGAGGTGGGCTTGCTTCTATAGATGGGGCCAACCCAGCCAACCTCCCTACACAGGTGGTCTCTGAAGGACACAGGCAGCCCTGAGGACGAGCGTTCTCTGGCGGGGAGGAGCCTGCAGTCACCCAAGGCAGGAAGGGCACAGCAGGCGGCAGAGCAGAAGCAGGCGGGGTTCAGGCTCAGCCCCAGGGAGGCAGCAGCCGCCCCACCCTGCCCCCTTCAGTAGACACACTGAAGACAACAGGAAGGCATGCAGTTCCCCTTCCTCCACACCCTTCAGTCTCGCACGCTTCCAACCAGGGGCTCCACTGCGGGGCTGATGGGGACCACTTGCCCCTGACCTGGCCCCGCACACTCAATAGGCAGGCAACTGGGGCTACGCAGGGCTCTGAGCGTGTGCTGCCAGCGCCCTTGGCACAGCGTTCACAGTCAGGGGTGTGTGTGTGTGTGTGTGTGTATGTATGTGGGAGAGGGAGTGTATGTGTGAATGTGAGTGTGGATCAGTGAGTGTGCGCATGTGAGTGAATGTGAGAATGTGTATGATAGTGTGAATGTATATGTATGTGTGAAAATGAGTGTGTGTGAGTATACTTGTATTAAGTGTGTTTGTATGACAGTGTATATATGACAGTGTGAGTGTGTGGGAGACAGTGTGAGTATATGTGTGTACAAGTGTTTGTATGGCAGTGTATGTGTATGAGAGAATGTAAGAATGTGTGTGTGCATGAGAGATTTTACGAAAACAGAGCCCAGAGCAGGGGCTTCCAGCCGCTTCCCAGGTAACATTCTCTGAGACTCCTGATACAGGAGAGGCTGTTTACCACTTGGAGAAAACCCTCTATCTGCCTGGATGCCGAGCCCACCTTGCTCCTCCGGGGGCTGTCTGACAAGGGTCAGTGCCTACAGGACAGCAGACACAGGACACGGGAGGCCCCTCCCCACAAGGCAGCATTAACTCCCTGCACTTACCACGGGCTCCCACCCCAGCATCAGCTTTGCTTTTTTGATGTCTGGTTTTCTTTTCTGTGGGTCATCCTGGGCTTCGGAGAGAAACTGAATTTCACTTCCGCTACCTGAGATGTTTAAAGAAAAAAAAGGTAGGAGAGAATCACAAAGCATGGGTAAGCACAGCCTTACCATCCACATCAAAGGCAAACCCCATATGTGGTGTGAATAGGGTGCAGGCGGTGGAAATGCAGTTCTCTGAGAAGCCCCGGAGCTCCCGAGGGACTGTTCTGCGTGGAAGTCCAGGGAGTGCTCCTGCAACTGCTGTGGCCAAGCTGACTGTGTGCAGGCGCCCAGCAAGAGCTCGGTGGGGGGCAGGTTATTCTGTCTCAACAGGCCTGAGTTACCGCCCACTACAAGAGGGTTGCTCCAAGGCAGACCACCCACACCAGGTAACAAGTGCAGACGTGCCCACCGAGCATGACCCCGGTGTGAGACCACAAACGTGGTGTGGGGCCATCCCTGAGGTGGATGCCCCAAGTGGGCCATACCTGGGTGCTCGGAGCCTAGACAGCCCTGAGACCCAAGATGTGCAGCCACCCAGCTGGAGGGACCTCTCGGAGGACGGCAAAGGCTGGCCTGTTCCACATCCTTGCTGGGCCCAGGCCCCACTGGCCAGCAGTACACAGCCCCACCAGTGACTGTGGGCCAGACCTGCAGAAGAAAGCCTGTGGAGGCTTTCCCTGCCTCCGTGTCATGGAGGCCACATTGCAGACTCTGCAGCGAATCACCACCACAGGTGGTTCAGGATGGTCTGTCACAAAGCTATATACAGAAGCACAGCAGGGAAGCTGCACGCCCCTCCCCCCAGCCTTAGGTTTCAAATAGTGTTTCTCAAGCGTCAGCACGCACGGATCACCTGAAGAGCCTGTCAACAGGCAGATCCTGATCTGGGGGCCTGGGCTAGGGCATGAGAGTCTGAATTTCTAACACACATCTGATGATGCTGCTGCTGCGTTGGCCCACGGGCCTCACTCTGTGCAGTGAGGGTGTGAAGGAGTGGATGGCACAGAGCTGTGATCTGAGCCTGCCCCTTCCTCACGCAGGAGGAACACACAGATTCAGGATGGAAAAGCTGGGAAGTGCATCGGAGCAGCTGTGGGAGCCACAGATGATGCAGGCTATGTCTGAGGAAGACCGCTGCTTCTACTGCCACGAGCAACGGGAGGATTCCAGCCATCCGGGTCGATTAGACCAATGCCGATGAATGGCAGCCTGATGCCAGGAAGGGCACACTGGAGGAATTAACCCAGCCAAGCGGGGTCTGAATGGTCACCTCAGGACACACTGTGGCATACTCCTCCTTGGCCTACCTGCCAGTCTAGTCTGGTTGTGACTTCACTCAAATTTCAGGATCAACCCCAGACAACAGACACCCTCCAAGAGTCTGACTCCTCAGAGCTCCAGGAAGTCTGAAGATGAGGCCAAGGGCTCATCCACTCTATGTCTGCAATCCAGGGCTGGTCTGGAAGACCTGACCTTCTCATGGCCTAAGAGTCCACCTTGATGGGGTGCTCCCAATGCTACACTGCCCCCAGTGGGTGGCAGCCAGGATAACCAGAATTGCAAACAGAATTTCAAACCTGCCTGAAGCACGCAGCTGGTGGTTGCTGTCTCTTGCTGTCTGAAATTCTATGCTTGACATGACCAGTTCGGAAATCCAATAGTTGTCACCCATGTAGGATGATCTAATACAATCGTGCCTCAAACACTGGGAGCAAATCTCCTCCTCCCTCCCACTTCATGCAAACCTGCAACGAAAACTGAGGAGAAACCAATCCTGCCCTCCTTTATCTTTCTATTCCTTAAAAATTAGAAAACACTTAAGTATTCCTGATAAAAAGTTCTGCTTTGATCCAATTCAATTAGCTTGTATTAATTACCCACTTTCTAGTCAAGGTGTTATTAACAGATAGGGCAGGCACAGTCGATTTTACTCAGGAAATGACTTATCCTACTTACCAACAAGGTTTTTAATTAACTGAGCAAATTCTAGGATTGTGTGTTCTTCTGGGTTCCCCTAAGAAAGAAACGGTTTCCAGTTATAAGCGTCATGACAACAGCAGCAATCCACCACCCAGACCACAGGCGTGTCTGCAGAGACGTCTACTGGCCGAGTCTGACCTCCCTGCGCTGCTTCAGCAGAGCTCCGTGTGCCAGAGGGTACTCCGCTTCCAAGATGACAGTTACTCACCTGGCAGTGCTAAACTGCACCATCTATACCTTCAGCCTCTAGGCTGCTGTGTACAAGGCTGGGCTTTGGATAGGTCAAGAGTTTCTGATGAAGGCACACACTCACTGAGTATCAGACAATTTCCATATCTAACATAACTTCAATGTCACTTTTATAAAAGCTTGGGTTTACAAAATTAGCTCTCCTAACACTATCTATTCCCGTCTGGGTGAGCTGTGTTAACCATGTCAGTGATGAAGGACTTGTAATCTCACACCCAAAAGCTAAGGCAGAAATGAGTAGGCTCACAGGCGAGTGTCCCCGGCAAGCCAGAGGACAAACTCCATGCATTTCATGAAGAGAGAATACTTGTGTGGGGGCTTTAAGGAAAACCATTTGCTCTTTTTCTCCCTCCCATCACACATCAGAGCACCTGTTACTCTTACTCTGCCACCACTGCCCTCATCATAAGAGACCACCATAAAGTCTGATAATTCTATACCCTAAAGCCTCTTCATGCCCAGGTCCTCGGTTAGCCTGAAGCTAGATGGTAAATGTGGAGGGAGAGACCCTGGGCCTCAATGGAGCACAGAGGGGATGACTAGCGAAGTGGAGTGACGGAAATTTGCAAGAAAGTGATTCTGCCTTTCTCCTGGCAGACACACGATTCCAATTTTAGGAATTGTCCCTGTGCAAAGGCCCTCCCCAAAGAGGGAAGGAGGAACATGGTATCTACAGAGAAGAGCCTGGCTGCCCAGGGAAGTCACTGACAACACCCTTGCTAAAGAACCTGCAACAAAAACGCAGAGCAGGGGCGCCTCGGGCCTCTCCAGTGTACACAGGCAAATGCTGCAAGCAAAATGAGGCTTACAGTGTGAGGCACGTTCTGGTCTGTTTTAAGTGAATTTTTTTCAAAAGTGGCACACTGTACCCATGAATCAGCAACAGTCCCAGAATGGAGTCAGCACTCCAGGGCAATTCTTTCCTACGTGATGAGAATTCCCTTTCACCTCAGGGAAAAATGCATGGTCTGCAATGTATTTGAGATGGCTGGTTACAAAGACATGCATAAGCAAAGGTGACATGGTTTGCAAGAAATAGGTCACATGGCCAACATTTTAGAGTTCCCTGAACTTTAGAGTGTTGTGTAGGAACCAGGAGAGGTAATTTGGGAGAAGCACCTGAAATGACCCCAAGGTAGGGTTAAGGGGGAGGTCTCTGTGAGCTAAGAGGTTCTTGTGTCCACTGCCATCAACAGAAGCAGAACATCTTGAATGCTGGACAGTCCACATTGGAAACCTTGCATTTTAAATGAGATGGAACAAAACTGCTCAGAAAATCACTCAGTGACAGAAAGGGTAAGAGGTCCTACCATGACCTTGGCTGATGCACCAAGGAGGAGGCAGCTTAGGGGGTAGGACCATCTCCTTCAAATCCTTGGAGAGTTACCACACTGTAGAGGCATCACACTAGCCATGAATGGCCCCAGGTGGAGAAGTGAGGTCAGTGGACAGGTGTGCAGAAAGTGAGATTTCTGGTCCAATATGAGGAAGAGCTTTCTGCCGGCCAGAACTGTCCAAAGACAGGGTGAATTTCTCTGAGCAGAAGCAAGTTCACCAGCACTGAAACTGCTCAAGGCTGGATGATCCCTCCAACAGGGAGGTTCTGGGGCTGTGGGCAGGCATGCAGGGAAGGCGAGAAGCCATGAAGGTGGTCTGTCCGGCTAAATGACAGACATCATCAGCAACCGGAAAATTTTCCCTCTGAACAACCTCCATCTTCTAAAAATGCAATCAGGCCTTATAATGATGACCCGCCTGTTAAATAGAGAACGAGATGCACACACACGTCCACCTACTACCACCAAAAGGCTTCACACAATCTTAGACCCAGGCCCTTCAGAAGGTGGAGGGACTGATTACATCACTCACCCGTGCCTTGCAGATGTTTTACTTCTTTGTATACTCTTACTTTGTGTTTGTTTGTTTTTCCTCTAGTATTTAGCAAGCAACAAACACAAATGTCCTAAGTGTGCCGATGGCAAATGAAGCAAAGCCTGGTGCTGCTCATGGTTTCACAAATGAACGAAAGTCTGAGCTGTCCTGCAGAGTGGAGGGAGAGGAGCACTCACCAGGTTGACCGGGCTGCTGACGTTGCTGTTCATGAGAGCCACGAGGCCATTCACTAGATCGCTGGAAAAAAAGGGGAGGCAGGTGAGGCTCTGCCTGCTGGAATATGCTAGTGCCACGCACCACATAGAAGCCCTCCCAGAAGAAAAATTACCACCCCCAGGAGAAAACAAAAACCCAAATGGAAAATTGAATGTCGAAACAAAATCCTACAAACTAAGATGGTGTTTACAATGCGAAAGTATTTATGGATGAAATGATATATTTGATGTCTGGGATTTGCTTTTTTTGGGTGTGGTGGAGATAGTTAAATAGGATGGAAGCTGAGTGATGGGGCTGAGTTCGCCACTGCATTTCTGAAGTCCTTTAACAATTAAAAACTAAGCATAAGTTAAAACAGGCATACACTCAAAAAAGATGGAGTTTACATAAGTTTCCAAAGAAAATTCATGTTTAATGTGAACCCAGTAGTTGACCTGTACGAAAGCACATGATTACTTTTAAAAACAAGATCCACGGAAATGAACGAACTCCAGTATGTGATCCCCATACTGGCAAATCACAGATAAAGGCAAACAATACTGAGGGTTGAAATAAACAGAAACGTCACTCCCTACTCCCCCAACCTTAAAGTCGCCACCCCCCAAAACACCTCGTATGAAACGGTCAGGGATATTTGGATGTTTCAAATGGATTGTGATCAACTAGGCCATGAAGGTGAAGATAAGTAAGCAAACTTTCGCTTACCAAGGTTTGGTTCTTATTTTCAGAAGCTTTAAAGTGTGGCTCTGTTAAAACAAAGTTACTTCGTAAAAATGACACCTCACTGCTAAGCACAAGCACTTTTTCTACGCCAATTTTCCATGAGCTACAATTCTTAGAAGACTTTTAAAGCTCTGACCCTTCTCCTTCTCCTCCTCCATCGTTACCAGTGAGGAGCAGGTCACTCTGGGTCAGGATAAACTTCCAAAAGAAAACCGCAGATAGGTTTTGCTTTCAATTGAAAAAACCTATTGGGGTATTTCGTAAATCAGATATTTCTGCGTTTTCCTTTACGACAAATGCGTATTTCATATGAACATGCTTAAAATGTTCTATTCTCAAGGATCAAGCACAAATGCAAATCCCTGCTAACCTTGGATGATTTCTCCTTTATAGAAACTAGCAAAAAGTCACTTCATCACTATGGCAGTATTGCTACATTACAATAGTGCACTCATGACATACATCTGTGCAGGTTTATAAAAAGACATTAAAAGCTGCCATTCCATTGCATCCACAATATGATTTAATATTGAAACTGGGGGGTGGGGTTTATCTGAGTTGGAAGAAGGGTGACTCTCAGGCAGTCATCCTCAGTGGGGCAGACGGGAGAGCCATGGGCCTTTTACATGACAAACTGGCAACTTTTAAGGTCAAAATTGCATAGATCACATTCTTTAACCTGAAGCTCTTTACAAGTGTCATTTTGACAAAGTGACTTTTAAAAAATATAGCATGCCTTTGTTATGTAAATGAGGACAAAACCGGCCATGAGAATATTAAACAGAGTCATGCCAAAATGCCGATGCGGATGGCCACCTAGACCTCAGACTCCCTGCACTGTTGTTTCGAGGCAATCATGGGTTTGGGGAATGGTTAATTTAGTACAGTAACTATATGGACCCAGACATCGTGCATTACTAAAAGACGCTCAGTTCCTAAAAAATTGCTTGTGAAAAACATCAAAACTTTGGTCAGTTAATGAACTCATCTGAGTCCTCAATAACTAAAAAGTTTAAGTCAGGAAACCCTTGCCCAAGTATGGCAAAGTCCCTGAAGCCTCATCATCTCAGACTCTGCTAATGTGAAACCAGAGAGGATCACCAGAGTGGGGAGTAAATAAATACTACTGAAGTGTTATGAAATGGGTTTTCTAAAAGGGTTAACAACCATGTGTCTAGGGAAACTGCTCATGCCCTCTTTTCAAGTAGTCAAGTGGTGTGGGAGAGGACGATGCATGTGATGGCAGCTAGGAGCATGAGCCACGACCATCAAAGCAGGCACAGGACAGTGACCAGGCCATCAGAGCGGGCCAGGGTGCATTTTGTCCTGAGCTGGGACAGCACATAGCACAGGCATCACTGAATGCTCAAAATATTTTAGTCCTAGCAAAAAGAAAAGTCTCTGAGGCTATTTTAAATGAATTTTGCACACAATGCCCTTGAGATAATGAGAGCAGAAAGAAGAATGGGTCCTGACTGGTTTCCTTTTACCGCACAACATCTCATTGATATTCCATGTGGTGTGGGGGCTGGAGAAGCCTGGGCGCCACTGGTGAGGCAGCCCGAGGCAGGCACACATAACCGAGGACAGCAAGACTCCCTCAGAAAAGGGCACAGCTGGGTGAGTGGAGGAGGATGGGATAAGAACGCGTCACTATGGAAAGACGGTACTCAATCCAAGGGAGGCCCACAATTTGGTCCCCATACAGAAGTGTGCCATGATAGTTTCCTCCAGGGACATAGTGCCTACGTTAAGTGCTTTGAAATGAACACAGTCCCAAAGCGGGGGCAGCTGCCATTTCCCTGTTAAATCGCTTTTTAGAATATGCATGCCTATTTGGGCCACAAAGTTGGTTATAGTACACTTCTGGGCTTTTGCCCCTTGAGGCAAGATATTAATGGGTGGGGAGGAAAAAACTACTGGCTGTGTAAATGTTTACTCACAGCTTTCTTTTGGAGTAAATGGAAATTCACAAATACTTTCAGCAAAAATCTACAGTGGTTATTTTGATTTCTTTTTAAAATTTTATTTTACTACCAGTTCCATTTCTCCACGGGACTCCTACCCAGGACCCCTACCTAAGGGTCCTGGGTAGGTACAATTTTATGTGGTTGCTTTGGCTGAGGTGGGACTTGGGGGCTGCCCCGACCTGCACAACAGCCACCATCTCACCCTAGTGCCCCTGGGATGGCCCTAAGACAGCAGGAATAACACTTCCTGATTGACAGGCATACTGGGGTATTTGCAATGAAGAGTGAAAATATGTGGGTTCAAAATATAGAACTGGGTTTTACAACAATTCAGGATACCAGAAACTTTCACAGAATTTACAATAGCCACATACTGGTGGATGCACTTTGGCATACACAACTGCTTCTATCCTAACTACTCTGAGAATCCACACTGCCTTCTAAAATTAATCACCAACGGAATGGAACAACAGAACAGTGGGTTTATAAGGGCTGCCAAGAAAGCAATAAAAATCACCACGTGAATCTATTCAAAAAATATATTTTTATCTGCATTTAGTTTCAGCGTGAAATTCAACATAAGAACACTATCTACCTTGTGCCCTCCACAAGGACTATCTCCTCCACCCCGCGAGCCATGTTTGCAATGGGTCAGATTCTGGCATTCACAGGTCTGCTGGATGCAAAAGGCCATCTCTTAACTCCACCTGCGCTGAAATCACCCAAGTCACCCTCAGAGCTGGGCAACTTCACCCACACACCGCTAGGTGGCAGTAAAAGATTAGCACATGAGTCACGATAGTCATGGAGATGAATGCAAATTTTAACTTTTAAACAGAGAACAGCAAGTTTTCCCATCATAAAATTAAAAATTTTTAATCAATATATAGTGTTAGCGTTGTGGAAATGGTTAACATATACAAGACACTGAACTGTCTGTCAAGTTGGCATGACCCCTGCTCCAAAGCACTGCTAAGGCTGGGGCAGGGCAGGACAGTCTTACCTGACGTACTGGAACGCCCTTGTCTGAGACCCGGATCCGTATACCTGGAAGGAAACCAACAGTTAGGCCTCCTGATAAAACCACACCCGTCCTGCGTAGGTGTCCTTGAAACTCCAGGGGACACAGTCCGACCTTGAAACTGATCCCAGGGGGCAGTGATGCTGACTCAAAGCATCTAGCACCACATCCCGCACTCTACTTCGAGACCATGCCTTGACAGTGAGATGGTGGCAGCAATACCTAAAGTGTGCACCTGGTATAGCTGTGTAAAGTTTTCCCTCAAAAGACAGTGCCTGAAGGAATTCGCTTCTGCTGGAGTCTTACGATGTGTCAGGCATCATGTGAGGCTCTGGGGGGCTGTGACCTCAGAGTCCAGCTAGGTGACAGATCTACACACAAACATTAATACATGCATTTAACTGGGGTTCCTCACACTGACTGCCCAACAGCAGAGCTGGGGATGCCGCCCAGGCTGGTTCACAGACTGTTTGGGATGAGGCCGGCATCTCCTGGTATTGTTACAGCTAGCTCCCCAGGAGATTCTAATATAAGGCCAAGGTGGAGAGGCATGCAGGAGACTCTGAAAGTGATGCGGAGGTGGCAGGAGGAGGGTCACATTCCCCTTTGTTTCCACTGCACATTTGCTCCACACTTCCATAGCTTGGCTTGTGTTCTTTGCTCTGCCAGCTGAGACCGTCTTGTCTACTTTCCACCTGGCAGAGTGCTACTCATCCTTTAGGGACAAGCTCTGATGCCACCTCCTGGAGAAGCTTCTCTGGCTCATTGCCCAGGGAAAGCCCTTTGCCAACTGCCCCCAACTGTGAACTCCCCAGAAGGACTGGTGTCCGAACCCCCTTTGCCCTGCTGGAGCCCAGCACGATGTGAGGTGCGATACCAGCATGGGATGAGCATCTGCTGAATGACCTGCGGAGCGCCACGGATCACGCCACTCACTGAGGCGGAGACGGCAACAGAGGTGCTTGGGGAGATCTCCTAAGCGCGGCATCACAGGAACAAGAGTGCCCTCGGGGGTTTTGTTTGCTTGTGTACCTCCCTGTGGTGGAAAGCAGGCAGCTGGGAAGAAGGGACTGCCTTTGGGAACAAGCTTGATTATAACAACCCTGGGGTCTCTTCCCGCCTGACAGCAAAAAAGAGCCCCTGCCAGCAGCTCTGTGAACAGCACCAGCCCCCTCAGCACCAGACACTCAGCCTGGCTTTCCCAGAGCTCCCCGCTCCAGCTCTGAGAAGGAAAAGGGGAAGGATCAGGTGGAGAAGAAAAGCACACGCATGGCCTGGCGCGGTGGCTCAAGCCTGTAATCCCAGCACCTTGGGAGGCCGAGATGGGCAGATCACCGGAGGTCGGGAGTTCGACACCAGCCTGACCAACATGGAGAAACCCTGTCTCTGCTAAAATTACAAAATTAGCTGGGTGTGGTGGTGGGCGCCTGTAATCCCAGCTACTAGGGAGGCTGAGGCAGGAGAATTGCTTGAACCTGGGAGGCGGAGGTTGCAGTGAGCCGAGATCGTGCCATTGCACTCCAGCCTGGGCAACAAGAGTGAAACTCCGTCTCAAAAAAAAAAAAAAAAAGCACATGCATCAAACCCCCTGAAAGCCTTATTTATTTATTTAAAAAGCAGGTTCAAAGGCTATCTCTGTTTTCTTAATAAACATTTATATGCCAATTCCACAGGTGTATCAGTTCTATCTATGTAGGTTCTGTTCTTGGGGGGAAGGCCTTACACTGAGAAAAGGCTGGGGATACTGAGGAATGGGGATTCCTGTCAACACAGAAACTACAGCTGCAACAAATCTCAGTAAAGGAACATTGAGGAAGGATGGGCATGGGCCTCTTGGAAGCAGAGGGGAATTCCTTGACAGTTCTGCCTGAACCTGATTCTCTGGCCTGGCTGATACTTCTGATACATGTGAGGAAGGTAGGAAGCAGTGGGCCTGAGTTGGTAGGACAGGAGGTCCACCCACTGCCAGCTCCCTCAGCCTGGAAACTCCCCTCTACACCAGTGCCGTAGGTGTAACTCTTTTTGTTTTTTACAACCTTATTTTGGAGATGAGGTAATGGAAGGTCAAAGCGCTGGAGTGACCTGCATTCAGCAGAGTGAAATTTATCTTGACTCCAAGTTCAGAATTCTTTTTCCTGCCCTATTGTGTTCATAATTTCAGAACTACCTGTAGATTTTTTTTTCTTTTTTCAAACTGTGGCTCTCAGGCTGGCACCAGGCCATTCTCCAACCTCACTGTAGTGAGTATCGGATTTAGGCAACTCCCGCGTCACAGGCTCCTCCACAGGTGGGTTTGGGGCTGTGCTGCTGTCCTGCCCATTGCCTCTGTCTGCATCCGGGGCTCTGCTCTCAAAGCTGAGCGCACAGATGCACCTCTGCTGCTTGTTTTGCACCTTCCCACCACACTCAGTCAGGGCCACTGTGATGGTGGGCTCACCAGTCTGCTAGTGCATTCCAGCCACATTCACAGAAAGCCCACCTTTGTCCAGAGCGGCAGTGGCCTTCAACAAGCCAGCCGAGGCCAGTCTTCAGTCTGATCTAAAGCCCAGGCTCACTCATCAGAGCAGCGGTGTCCACTCACACACCGTCTCTCAGAGAGGAGCCATGGAAGAGCACAGTGGCAGCTTTCCATTCCACCGAAACATGCTGACCCCAAGCCCTGGAGGAACACAATCCAGGGCAATACATGCTGGGTAAGCCCCCCGACCGGGATGGGTTAACTAGGCTGCCAGGGTCAGGATGTGAAGAACCACGCCAGGTACCTGCTCAACCAAACAAGGGACTTGTGGTGGAGACATTCAGCAGCTTGAATATCACTTAATCCCAAAGGGCTGCAGCCTGGGAAGTCCAAAAGGCTCCCAAAATAACCTGCAGTCTGCTGGGTATTTCCCACCGTTGACTCATTCATAAGTGCACTGGAAGGAGAGTTACGACTGTGGGTGCATTTCCCTGCGTGACTCGCCAGGGGCAGCTCCCCACCCAGCCAGCACCGACACAAGGTTCATCTGCAGGCACCACGGTCACCGGGTAAGCTATGCTGCCTTCAGGTACGGTGACAAAAGGTGCTCAGCAGCACTCCCTCTGAGGTCCCACCTGAGGCCCAACTGGGCCTCAAGGAAATAGTCCCTAGTACAAGAGGAGGCTGTTCTGCCTGGGCTGCAGTGGAAAGGCGTGGATCCCGTGGGACGCCCACTGCATACCCCCACAGACCTTGCTGACACAGTCCTGAAAGTTTGTATGCTCCAGTGTGTGCATTAGGCTAAGATGCAATGTCAGTGGCAGCCTGGAATACTTCCTTCCTCATGTCCTTAAGAGTCCTGCTGGATTTCAGTTTCTATAGCATATCACATCCATCATCTGTACTTTGGTTTAAATTAGCCTACCTATTTCACTAACACAGTACTTTGCAACATGAGGATTTGTAATTCATGTGTGAAATATTCACTGTGTGCGCTAATGTGAAAATGTAAAGTAAAAGAAAGGGGTGTGTGTGCAAGAGAGAAGATGCTATGCAATTATGCCCCATCCAAAATATCTGTCTTCCCTGGGCTCTAGAATGCAACTGCAGACCCTGTGTACAGCCCTCCCAGCATGGTCTGAGGCCTTCCATCTCCCCCACTTCAAGATAAGGCCTGCAGGGACTTGGCACAAATTGAGTGTGCAGCAAAATCCAGGGCATGAGTATCACAGGGATCTGGTGTGGACAGCTGATGGCAGCAGAGCTCCCTCAGCCTTCTCATTGTTCTTCTAACAGAAGACAGTGTGAGATTCGGTCCCTCTGGCTTCATTTCACAGAACAGGAGAGATGCCAGGAGATTCGTGCAAGAGTCAAGGCTGCTACTGGGGGCCGGGGAACGAAGGGCTGTGTGCAGGTCAAAGCAGCATGATGATCAAGGAGTAACCAACAGGGGAGAGGACCGGCCGGGGGTGAGGGGCAGCGAGGAGCTCTCATGATCACTTAGCAATGTCCCCAGCCGCTGTGCTTTATGTGTTTAAGATGTAACAAAGATTCTTTGCTTGGCCAAACTTCGTTCAGCCTCGAGTACCTTCTCCTAGGCCCATTTGTGCACTTCCTTGTAAAATGTAGTTTTGACAAGAACCCTGCTAAGTCAGTTTCACAAGAAACCCTTACCCTCGATATCTGATCACCCTCGACATCTGACATTCCTCACCCCCCATATCCCCTAGAGTGTGTCCGACCACCCTGGCCTGTTGTCAGCAAGAATCCTGTTAGGTTGGTTTAGCTAGAATCCGCCTTACCTCTGATGCTTCCTCTTAATAATTTTCCATCCACTCACCTCCTCCCTGCTCCTTGGCTGTAAATTCTGCTTGCCTGTGCTGTATTTGGAGTTGATCCCAGTCTTTCCCCCCCGAAAAATCCCACTGCAGTGATCCGTATTCCTGTCATGATGGTCCTGAATAAAGTCTTCCTCACCATACTTTAGTACCATTGAATAACTGTTTAACAAATCCTATGGCTTTCCGCCACAAACGAAGGCCCAATGTAAGAATCACTTAACATACCACAGTATCAATAAAAAGGCTAAACATCATACCAGCTTTGAATTGGTCTTAGAAGTATGATTTTTCCACAATTTCCCTTTGGAAGAATAGCAAGGCTTTTAAAATGATATAGCACTGGATTCAAACCCCAATTCTACCACATCTGACCTGTCCTGGGCAAATCCAAACCTGGGATAAATCACATAAGGTGGAAAGCAGAATGACCCCTCCTGTGAAGGTGAGTGCCATAACTGAACTGTGGACCAAAGCCTCTTCGAAAATAAACTTAGGACAATAGCTCTACCTGAACCATACTCATCTATTTTCTAATCTGAGATGCAAACTTTGCTGAACATGATTCCACTTAAAATATAGCTTTGATGTATGATGCACTTAACCCAGCGACATACTCCCTGAGTCCTCATCACAGGCATCTGGTACAGCAACGAGTGAGATGCTAAGACAGGCATGAGGAATCTGCTCAAAAACACGGCTGCAAGGTAAGCAATCATACCCATCCAGCTTGGAAAGGGAGAACGAGACGCTGAGCTGTTTCTGGCCACCCTCAAAGAGGTCTTCACCTCAGAAGTGACTTGTCGGAAATGTAGCAGAAAAGGAAATAGGTGGACACACCTCCTTATTTCCCTTCCTCAGTAAGCCGAGTGTTTCTAAAGACAGGCTGGCTCAGGCAGGCCTGCGAGTCTCTCCCTAGACTGCTCCACAGAGCCATCTGACAAGAGCAAGGCATGATATCTCAATTGGACAGAAAAGAATGAAGTCAGTGACTTCATCAAATTCTTGCTGGGAAATAGAATTCTGTGTGACAAAGGAAACAAAACACATTCTGAAAGGCCTCCCTCGGGACTTCTGCCTCCTGCCACCAGAAGCTGCCTACAGAGACTGAAGCCCACCACGTTCTCGATTAACTGCAGTCATGGACGGCTCCAGAGATCTTCTCCCTTTTGTCTCTGGCACAAAAGCTTGCTCGGTGTGAAGACAACACATGAGTTATCACCTCTGCCAACAATGCATGCATTCTTGGGGAGGCTAGGGGACACTGGGAGCCCTGGCTGTGGCCAAGGAGGCACTAAATCAAGCTGCTTCTTGGAGGCTTTCATGGTTTCCTCTAAACAAAGCAGCTCTCATCTCACAGCATGAAGGAGTTTCTGAACACAGTTGCTAAAAAGGCACCAGGCTGTCCTCGAGATGTGGAATTCTCAACTGAGCAGGTGGACTAAGGGGTTCGCAGGTCACGGCACGAGCTCCTAGGAACCCCAAGTAGCAGCAAGAGGGTTACATGAGATGATAGTAAGTTTCACCACTTTCACTTACCATAAAGGAAAGCGGCCACTACAAATCCAATAATTAGTCCACTCAACATTTCTCTCCTGCGCCCACGTACCTGGTGGTCTTCTGGAAGCTGGGGACGCAACCATGAATGAAACAAAGTCCCTGGTTTTGAAGAGCATACACTGTACTAACAGAGATTGGGGCTGAAAAATTCGTATTTCAGTTGGTTACAAGGGCACTGAAGACAACTAACATGGTTATGGTAACTAGCCTGGTGCCATAATGCAGAGAAGCATCAAGAAGGTTCCCTTAAGGAGAGGATGAATGAACAAGAATGCCTGGAAGAAAAGCAAGACGCTGCTGGGACAGGCAGGAGCAAGGGAGCAAGGAAGCCCGGCCTGAGGGAAGGTGCGGAGGCAACAGGGCTGTGTCCCGTGCTCTGCTGGAGCTGCAGAGCCACTTGAGCTTCCGACCCCTCTTTACAAGGCTCCCTCCAGCTGCGGGGTTGAGAGTACACAGGACAGGGAGAATGAGAGTGGCTCCAAGGCTACGGCAATAAATAGGGGTGGGGCGGCAGCAGTGTAGACCAGGGACTGGAGTCTGGATCTACCTAGGGAGGGCACGGCCATTAGGATGTGCTGGTGGATCTGTGCAGTGAAGGAAGGAGAAGAGCCATGTGTAGTCACAGAGCCTCCATTTAGGGGCACCAAGATACCACTTAGTGACAGGGGGAGGTGGGAGAGCTGGCATGGGCTGTTGGGAGCCTAAAGCTGAGTTTGGACTCACCTCTCCCCAGGAATGCACTCAGCGAAACTCAGCTATACAATGCAGTTGCCCTTGGAGAGTCATCCCACTGTGTAACAGGCTAGGCTTTTGGTTCTACGTTGGTAGCGGAGCAGCCAACACAGACAAGGAGACACACACCACGGAGAATGCTCATGAAGAGCGGGGGCTCTGGCTTCAAAACCCAGGCTACCACTGTGTGGCCACCTAAGCTTGGGCAACTCATATAACCTCTGCGCTCCAGCATCCTTGCCTGAAAAAGGAGGGGAATAATGTCACCTGCAGATCATAGGACAGAAGAGTGAGCTAACGTGATCAACCAATCAATGGGTAGATGCATATGTACTACACAGAAATACACAGAGCTATAATTCTTCCCCCTGGAATACACTCAATTGATAACAAACCATGCCACAGGATTTTCAGAGTAACAGGATGCAAATCGACTCGAGTCCCACAAAATGCCATGCTGGAAAGTGCTCTAGGAGGCTACAGATCAGAAGAGCAAAGCAGCCTGGGCAGACAACCACGAAGAGGAGTGACCGGGGAGCTGGGGGTGGGAGGGAGGATTAGCAAAACCAAAGATGCCGGCAGAGCCTCTCACCAGGCAGGCCTGGGGTGCTCCTCCCAAGGGAGGCCAGAGGGCTGTGGGAACAGGTGTGGAATCAGCAAACCCACCCTGACCCCAGATGGTATCTGAGGGTACCAAGCAGTCAGTGTCGGCACAGACATCTTTGCCACACACTTGGACCACCGACCACAGATCACTGGGACCTCTGCTGGCTCCAGAAGTCTCCCTGGGTTGAGGGTGGCCAGTGGAGGATGGTACCGAGGGCCTGCCGGCATTGTCAAGGTGACGGCCCAGCCTGACCAGATGTGGCTCACCTCCCCACCCTACCTGTCCAGGCTTCTCAGCCATCCGAGGACACCCAGTACAGGCACACCCCTGGCTACAGCCAGCAGGCCAAAAGTATGTCGGAGAAGGTCTTCACAGGCCGGCTGGTACAGGCAGGCAGACCTGGAGGCATGGGCAGGGACCCCAGTGGCCATGGAGGGCAAGGTGACTCTAGTTTCGTGGAGCAGCCATGCATCTGGGTTATGTCCCCGTGCCTGCCTTCCCCTTAGTGGAGGGTAGCGGGTATACATGGCAGCTTCAGAAGTGTCACTCCCTGAACCAAGATGCACTTATCCCTCATCCTTTGTGAGCTGACTTCGATTTGGGTTGCAAGGTGCTCCCTGAGCCGAGGCCAGCACCTACCGTGAGTGGCTCCCCCTGGAGCGCCTGCAGGATGAAGTTGCTGACTACTCGCCCATCGTTCATGTGCATGCGTGGCCCAAAGGTGTTGAAGATTCTGGCCACTCGCACTTCCACGCCTTCCTGGAACAGAGAGAAGAGGAGGTCAGGTGTGCTCCCCTGTGTGGTCCACGCATCCACTTTGCATTTCCAGTGCCCTGCATGCAATGCAGAATGGAAACGTTCTGCTTTCCATTCCAAAATGGAAATGGCTTTTTTGTTCTGATTCCATAATGTGCTCATTATAGACCAATCGGGAGACTACACAGGGCTATACCAAAGAGAGTCAAAGCTGTCCCAGATCTCGCCACTGAAAGGCCACCAGCATTAATATTTTGGTAGAAAACCAGCCAAACAGTACAAGGAGGAAAAACGTGTATTTATATAATTTTTTTTCCCAGTTAAATATATATTTTCCAAAATGGGATCATGTTATGAATATGCTTTTCTAATCTTTTTCACATAATATATTGTGCAAATTAATCACTCAATAGAGATTTAGATGTCAATGAATATTTAATAGCTAGGGAGAAATACAAGAAAGCTCTCTATCTTAGGAAAAGGGGACACAGAAACGTTCTTACTGAGTGAGCTTGCATCTACACTCCCAATCTATTTTACTAAAAAACATCTGTTTTAGTGAGAAACTAAATACAACTTAGTGCCCAGTATAGGTTATTAGCTAATGGCCTGGAAAGAGAAACATACTGACACTGTTTAAATAGTCATCCCTCCTGTTCATTTTCACCTCTATGTTCATTTTCAAGTATTTTTAATGCTTCTATTTTTACTACAATGAACATGTATTACTTTTGTAATCCAGAAAAGCCTGTTTTCAAATATGCAATCATGGAAGTGCATACTTGAATAACAAAAGCCTGCTCTAAGTGATCGTGTTAATTATTAACTTCACAGACTGCTTTGCCATGGATGGAAAAATTAAATGTTTTTATCACAAACTCTGAATTAGTGGGCTTTTACAGTGTATACGTATCTAATGTTTGATCCACTGCAGAACAAACGTGCACTTTCTGGGCACCTGAGGGCAGGGAGCCTGGGGCGTGAGGACCTGGGCTCTGCTTCTCACTGCGCCCATGTGTCCGCCGTTCCCGCTCCACCGCTCACTGCCCAGGCCTGCCACTGACTCGGTCGCAGCAAGACTGGGAAAGAAGCAGTACTCACCTGACCGCCTCAGTGTTCTAAGACTGAAGCACAGGCCCAGTGGCTGTATTTGGTGCCAGTTATCACTACCAGCTGAAACAGTTCTTTTTTCAATTTCGGCCAACACCTTAGGCTGGCATGGGTTGGGAATGGGAATCCAATGAACCCTTAGCTAACAAGGCTTACTTAGCACAGAATTTCTCCACCAGTATAGCGAGTTAAAGGGCATGAACCACGAGCCCCAGAGGCCCCATCAGCCCTCTCAGTGGCTGGAGTGACACGGCCGCCACCTCGGCCCACAGCAGGCTTGTCAATTTCCCTAGGGTGTTCCACAAACCCAGGCGGGTTTTTAAGTGTGCTGTGATATGAAAAAGGGTGAGAGGCATGGAAGCACACAGTTAACTTTTAGAAGCCAGAGTGCTTTATTTGTGCTAATTCTTCCTAGTAATACACTGTAATACTTCACGTGAGCCACTCAGATACTCAGGACAAAGATATGAGCTAAGTCCAAGAATAAATCAACCCTTTTCTCCACCGAACTAATGAGTGTATTAAAAAGGGTGGGGAGCAGAGATGCTGCTCTCAACAGAAAATGACTCAGAAGTACCCACTTGCATTTAATTGATAAGATGAGGAAAGAAAGTGAATGGATGTGGCTTTATTCTAGGAAAAGACTGGAAAAACCTCAGCAAATTTACAATAATCAACGCAATGTGCCTGGCAGGGGAAAAGCTCAATGGGTTAGGCAAAATTTGCAGCAAATCAAATGCTTTTATCTTCTTGACGTTCCCTTTCCACAAAACAATATTCCGGAACATGGCCTCATTAGGATCAGCAGACATTAAGTGTCCAACCCATAAACAGGCTTGCTTGCTGTGGCTTTTCTATTTGGGCCTGTAATGGTTCAGCAACAGAGGGCAGCCCTTCTATACAGGTGCAACAGCCGTTGAGTGCAACAACACTTCCAAGAACACGAGCTCTCAAGGCTGGTCTACACCAATAAGACAAGCTACTCATGAAGCCTAAACTCCTTACATGAAATAGACAGGAACCCGAGGCTCACTCCAGTTAAGCCCTGCTCTCCTCTGGGATGATGGTGTCTTCTGGAGTTTGTATGCCCATCTATCCCTTTCTAGGTAGCATCAGGGAACCCTTGGCCTTCACACAAAGGCGACCCCCAGTCAATATGTATAGTCCACTTGCTGCTGAATCCTCATTCTCACTGGTCCTCACGGTGGGACCATGTGGGCAGGCAGGGGGACAGTCGATGGATGCTGACACCACTGTTGATGGTGGCAGTTCAGTTGCCACCCACATGCATGGATTGGAGAAAGGTATTCCTCATCTCAGATCTGAGGCAAGGTCCAGGGTCTGACCCAAAGCCACCTTCCTAAGAAGGGAAGAACCAGGCTGAAAACCCAGGAAGTACACACCAGGCAACGCTGTCTCATTTAAGGAAGAGCCCACCTCTGAAGGACCAAGAAGCAAACACATTCATGAACCCCTGACTCCCACACAATGTTCTGCCTGCGAGTGGTCAGGCCCTGCTGACACTGAGCTGGTGCCTTTGAGCATAGACAAAGCTGTCAGTCAGAAAGCTAACTGCTGATTCATCCTAGGCATGGCTGGATTTCACTTTATGCTCTGTGGTTTTGTCCCCTATGGTGGCCCATGAGTCATGGACAGCTCCAAGCATCAGGAAGGTCAAGACAACTCCTACAAGCCTGAGCTGCACCAACATAGAACCAATGGAAACTTAGGATGGATGCTGAGGGACCTGCAAAGGGTGGAGGCTGGAATGCCTGGATGGCCTCGTCTCATCCTGGGATTCATTATCCCAAGGAAGTCACTTCAGTTTCTAAGACTTAAGATCCTAATCTTTGAGATGAGGACAATAATATCCATTCCACCTACAACACAGGGGTTAAAACACTGAAACTATTTTGAAAACTGCCATCATTATTATCTACCTCCAAGGGATGGTTCTCAACCCAGTAATTGCCCTTGACCTCTGTCCCCAGTTTTCTGATGACACTAATTTACTTTGAAGTGACAGTGACCACGTGTGGAATAGCTCACAAACATTGCCACAAGGACACTAGGATTGCAAGGAACAGGCTGAGGCTCCCAAAGGCCCTTTGGAAACACGAACTAGGCTGGAACAGTGTAACTGGCATCAAACGCCTCCTTGCCTCATTCGTAGCAGCTGAGAGAGGGGTGAGGGCTTGGGTATGCAGGTCCTGAGACGTGGAGCCAACTAACAGCAGGCCTGACAGGCAAGAGGTGACCCAAGAGGAGTAATGAAGGTACAGGGATTCCTCCCTCCCCAGATATCTCCCAAGGACAGAAATGTTACCAGCAGGGATTACACGGTGTACAGAGCACCTCTGACAGAAGTGATTTTATCTTAGAAAATGACTCCATTTCACATTTCAAAAGGCATCCAGCCAACACGGTCCAGATATTTGCATAATCAACAGAGACAACACCCAACCAGATTAAGGGCATAACCCTTTACTGTCAGTCCTCACCAAAGGACTCAAGGGCGGTAATGAGCAGGACTTCTACAACTCGAGATGGCCATCTTGACAGACTCCATCTTGCTGTCACTCATGATCAGCACCCAGCATCTGCCGCCAAAGACTGCCCAAATCAAGGGCTCTTCCATGCAAGATGATGCTGCCTGTCCAGATAAGCCCAGGACCCTCTCTTTGTCCATGTCACTGTCCTTGGACTAGTTCATTAACCCCTTTTCCTCTCCCCGTGTCTCTTGATGTTAAATGTTACTCTGTTTGATGTGGACTGCTTAATCTAAACATTTATATATTAAGTACACTACTAGGTATGGTTTGCAGTACTGACTGAGCTGTGGAGTGGCTTGAGCCTGTGTGACCACAGCTCTGATTACCGAGTGAATGGAAAACACTAAGAAGTTCCTTCTGGGAAACTGCATGGAGCACATGGATTTTATGATGGAAATAGTATCAATAAAAGCCTGACCTTGTGGAAAGACACAAACGTTCATGGACCTGGTTATGTCTGACCTTGCCCTGCTCACGACACATGGGTTCTCCCTCAAAATTTCTTTTAAAATGCAACCATTCAGTGGAGAGTACAACAGGTCCCCAAATAATATCATTTCATGATAATACTGATGAGAAAAAAAATCACCTCCTGGCTGGGGCTACTGTCTGCACGCAGCTGGCATGTTCTCCTCTCCCCACGTCTGTGTGGGTTTTCTCCAGGTATTCTGGTCTCCTCTCACATCCCAAAGCTGTGCATGTCAGACAAGTGGGCTGTTCCAGTGGTCCCAGTGTGAGTGAGTACGCCCTGTGAGAGGTTGGCATACTGTCCAGGGCAGGCTGCTGCCTGGAACCTGGAGCTGCTGCGATAGGCTCTGGCCACCTGAGAGCCTGTCAATAATTATCTTGCTTTTATTAATCTTCCTTAGGTGGATAGCTCACATTTATTTCAAATCCTTAATATTAGAAGTGTTTTAGTCTTTATTTAGAATTTTGGTGATGTTTTTGTGACCAGAAATATGCCTGGGAACTTAACTCTTGTTATAGCAATTAGCCTGTGGTACTGCTGATTTTGTTCTATGTCCTTCTGCTTAAAGTAGCAGTTTCCAAGAACCTGCTGATGGTGTTAAGTGATGACTTACTGTGCTATATCAAGCCACCGAACACTGTAACGTGATCACTATATTCGCTGACGGAAGGTTCTATTGATAGAAGGTGGAACAGAGCCCTGCATAGTGGGAGCAGGTCCTGAAGGAGGTGCCTGGGCATATTCACCTGTAGGGAATGGAATGGAGAAATGCCAGGAAGTGCACCAAGGTACAGCAGCCCAGGCTCTCTCTGACGCTTCTCTCAGAGAAGTATATGCACATCCCTAAAGCAACGGAGTCAGGCTGTGAGGGCTGAACCCCCTAACTCCCCTAGGGCCTGTCATGCATACATCTCGATGGGTTCTGCTCCCTACCTGTGGATAAAACTAAGGCGACTGCAGAATGCACAGCTCACTGTGCTGAAGCACGATTCTCAAAGGTGCTAAAAGGTTCAAGTTGACTCGAGGGGTTGGCTGAGGAAGGGGGTCCAGGAGGGGTGTGTCTGCATCTGTTTGGCCATCTTCCTCAGCACTCCTGCTTCAGCATCAACAATCAGCTGACCTTCCTGAGGTTTGCTCTGCAGCAGGCCAGGAGGGGTGGATATCACTCTGCCAGTGTCTAGGTGGGACACCTGGGATGTGGCCAGCAGGCACCCAGTGAGTCACAGGGCCAGGAAGCCAAGCTGCTACTGGGCAGGTCCAGAGGACAGGACGGGCCTCCTGGGGTGTGAGTCCTAGCCATGGAACACTGCACCTGGTTTGGCTGCTTACTTTTTTTTTTTTTTTCCAACTCAGGTAGAATATATATACCAACTCCGACTTTTTCAAAAGTACTTTGATGCCAGGAACTAAAACAAAACCATACCTTCAGGGCCATTAGACTAGGTGATTTCTGAGTTTGCTTTCTTTCCACTCTGCCATTTGCTGGTTTTATGAATGGAGGCTTGTTTTGCAGATCCAGCCCAGTGGGTGGGCCACAGACCTCAGAGTCAGACTCATGAGGGGGCGAACTCAAATGCACACTAAGCACTGACCGCAGCCTACGGGAGAGGCCCCCACATTTATCAAGCCACTGAGTCCAAATGCACACAGAGGCGGCAATTTAATTCCTCCCTGGCAAGTTCTAACTATTCGGGAAAGGCTCTGCCCTTTGATCTCAACCTCCATCTCACTCCATCCCACGAAAAAAAATTCCAGGGAGCTTCTCTTTTTCTAAGGGGTGTGTGGTAGATTTTTCTGGAAAGTAAAATTCTATTTTGACTACATTAGGACATTTCATTCATTAAAGAAACTCAGAAGAGAATCCTTAGGAAAAGAGAAATTTTTCTATAAAAAAATTATTCCTACATCTATCTTGTTTATATTTTCAATCTTTACATATTATTCAGAGTAAGACATATCCACATACTATATAGGATCTTGACAATAAAATCACAATTTATACTTAAGGGGGATATGTTATTATGTATAAGGAATTAATTAAAGTTGTTAAAATAATGAATTAAAAATATGCCAGACGTACTATTCCACCTGGTTCATCCTCCTTGATTTTATTTGTCTCCAGATAGCATAAATCCTAACACACAAAGTTTTAAATTTTCTCCCCAAACTATCTCAAAAGATCACACATTTAGAACTATAAACTGACAAGGTCACAGTGCAGCTCCTGTTGCTGAATCTCCCAGCTGAGAGGTGCAGGGGTGATGCTACTGCAGGCGCATGAACCACTCATTCTGGGCACTGTCCCACAACTGTGCGAGCTGCAAAGGAGCCTTGGCGCCTTTGGACTTGGAGCTGCATGGTCTCCTCTTGCTCACTCACGCTTCTTTACCTGCTTCAGCCTGCAGGGACAGCCAGGGAGTGTGGGGAGGAGCAGGCCCCACAGGTAGCCAGCTGAAGGTTCCAACCCCACTTATGGGCTAGGGACCTGGAAACCAGTTTTGGAGCCCATCCTCCCATCTGTGAGATGGGCTGACCACTCCCACCTGAGGGGGCTGCGGGGAATTAACTGAGATTAAACGGACTGAGCCCTAACAGAGGCTGAGCACGCAGCAGGCATTCCAGCCCCCAGTTCCTGCTCTCTCGCAACACCCACAGCAGGCACGCAGAGCATCCTCAAACAATGTCACCTCCAGACAGTGACACATCCAGAAAGGCACAACATCCTGCAGGCCGCTGTGCTCAGAACACAGTCATAGTCCCAGAAAATAACAATCACTTTGGAGTTGTTGCCCCAAAGAGGTCCAGTGATTTGCCCCAGATCAAGCCACAGGTAGAGGGCAGACCCAATGTGGCAGGAGGTGCTTGGACCCACCCTTGCTGCCAGCTGTCACAAAATCCTGGGTTAAAGAATCATCTCAACGTCTTCATTTCAACGTTTTATATCTCTCACAATCTTTATATAGTGGTGTTTGTTTTATTTTATTTTTCCCCCTTATGTTTGTCTCTAGATGGGATTATGCATAGCAATTTTTCTTTTTTCTTGCTTAATCAGTATTGTCTTATTTTTCTATACCTGGCAAAATATCCTGCCATAGCAGGAACTGAAACCTGTCTCAGCTGTGAGGTGTCTGCTCCTTTGCGCAGAGAGGAAAGGCACCATTTTCCTCCCTCCTCAGCACCCATTCAGAAAAAAGTGGGAATGAGTATTCAGGTACCAATTTTAGGGCCCAGAGGGGCTTGTGGCCTTGGACCCATGGCTCTTCCTACAAGGGAGCACAATATTTACAACATGAATAACGGGACGGAAGGTGGGAAGAACACACTGCACCTTCTTCACAGGCCTCCTGGAGCTCAGGCAATACCACAGTGACCCTCACAGGCTCACTGCTCTTAGTCACGTCATTCCTTCCTCATCAGGAAACTACAACCTCCTCCTGTCTGCCTCGCAGCCACCAGAATTGGACAGGGCCCCAGGACCCCTAGGGTCAAGGGCACGGTCCTCCCTGACATAATGACTGCACAGTGGGAACGGGTAGGGTCCGTGGGAAAGGGTGGCAATATCACACCTGCTTACATGCCTCCCTCAACGTGCCCCCAGAGGTGGGCCTTCCTCGGTGCCATTTCTCACCTGGGCAGATGCAAACCCTCAGCACATGTGCTAAGTAGAGTGTGAGCCCCAATGAAACTACAGTTTACTGACCTGTTGGCCAAGAGCCCAAGTTCCACACTCTCCTTCCTAGAAAGTGCTGCACCTGTCTTCCATGGGCCAATTCTCAAGCCTCCCAGTGTGACGGAAAGCAGCAAGCGTGGTTCCCACATGAAGAACCCACGACACCCCTGTGTGAAGTACACTGTGAACCTGGCCACAGAAGTGACTCTTGCAGCCATTCTGCAACTGTCTGTTAGGGACTCCAGGGTGGAAGGCACATGCCTGGTGACTCCATAGAAGGCGTATCATGCCAACGGAGTGACAGGGACACCTTCCCGACAGGGTTCACGTCAGGGATGCTACCTTGAGCAGGAGGAACCAGCTGACCACACGGGGGGCTTCTAACAGGTATATTACTCACAGTTTTCAGGGCAACGCTGCCCACGCCATTAAGCTCCCGAGACCTATGTGAGCAGGAATTTAAATGCTGATGTTCCAGAGTTACTAGGTGCTACCTTCCGGAACCCCCAGGCACAGATGACACGAACGGGTCCAATGTTAGCATTTGTGTGAAATGCAGATCCTGGCTGGAGCCCAGGCCCCTAGAACAGTACCTAGCATACAGTCGGTGCTCAAGAAGTGCTGCTTCTATTATTGCCAAATACCTAGAACAGTACCTAGCATACAGTCGGTGCTCAAGAAGTGCTGCTTCTATTATTGCCAAATACCATAATTATCGCAAGCTTATACTTAAGGCAATAGGTATACCCATAAAGTTATCAACTACATTAGCCGAATAATCATTTAATGAAAACTAAAAGCTCAATCAAAATGTCCCATTTGTCCACCAGCTTTACCTATATAAAAATTCACTAGGTAAGAAATACAATCATAGGACTGAAAGCAAAAGAAAACAGTTGAGAATCATATCACTCCTGGAACACATTCTAGAATAAAATGCAATGATGTACCCCTGACACTCTAGTCAGTACTCCTAAGTACCCATGCACACAGAGTGGTCCTGTGTGTCTGGAAGATCATCTGAAACTTTTGAGTCAAGATATTCTGGGCCCCAAAATGATGAAAGTATGTTCCTACTAAAACTGATCGGCATTTCATAGAGGAAGTGGATAATGTAAGCCAACAGACTAAAGTCGCTTAGAAGGCAATTAGTTCTGCTTCTGGCCAAGAAATAAAGCAGAAAAGTTTAAATATAAACAATAGCATAAGGTTAATTTATGCATCTTTAATGCTGGCATTTCATTAAACACATGATGAGAAAGAGAGTCCTCGACATTCTCTCCTACCCCTCAGAGAGCCTACCTGGCTTTACATTGCCCTGTCCTCTGTGGTACCACGGGAAGGGAAGTCGATTAAACTCTCATCCCAAGGTCAGGAACAGGAGACCTGGCCCTTGGCACATGCTTGACTGGGGCTCTGCCGGGGCCTGAGACAGACAGTCAGGAAAACTCCTGGATGCTGGCCATGCTGATGACACTTGCCCCTCCTACAGAGCACATAGCCGACAGTTCCCCAGGCTCACCTGCAGACTGGGCCCTGGGCCTGACAGCATTGCTCCCAGAAACAGACACTGCATCTACCAACAGCCTGTCCTGGACCAACGTTCCACAGCCATGTTGATTTACCTGCATGTCCCACTATACCAGAGGGCATTTTCATGAGGATGTGAAAATTCAGACCCAAGCCCAAGGACACACTCAGTGAGAACATGAATGGGATATCCTGTGCCCAGGCCTCCACCTTCTCTGCACAGTTCATTGGCTCCTGCACCACCCTGAGATGGGCAGGGCAGGCTTCACAAACCCTGTGTCAGAGATAAGAACTGAGAGAATGACGGCTTAAATCTTGGAGTCACACAGCAGCACAGCCAGTGTGGCAACCTCGGCCTCTTGGTCTGTGAGCAATTTCTGCTATAACATGCAGGTGACCAAATCTGTCACATAAAATATCATCAGCACAACAATGACTAATGAAGAAAGCATGAAATAACAGTAAATAAATATCAATAACAATAAAGAGGTTCAAATTACAGCAATAACGCATCCATTTTTTTACTTAATTGATAGAAAAGTAAAAAAAGAAGATCCATTGATTTGGAGGCTTCAGGAAAAGAGGTACTTCTTAGCTGCTGGTGAGCAACTGGCAATGAAGAAGCATTCTGTTCATAGCCATAAAATAGTATTCCAAACCCAAGAATTGATCTCTAGGAAATCATTTTTAAAATAAGGAGATACATGGAAAAAGCTGTTGATAATACCATTAATTTATAATACTGGGAAACTGAGCTTCCCAAACACCTATCCCCAGACAAAATCAGTCATGGCATTCATTCCTTTACAACACTTTACATCTGAGGTCAGGGTGCTCAGCACGCCTAAACCGCAAGCCTAGACCCTGGTGAAATACCTGCTTCATGTAGGCATAGCACATGGTCTCTGCAACACGTTTGCCTTCATCGTAGCAGGCCCGAGGTCCTATTGGATTCACGTGGCCCCAGTAATCCTCACTTTGAGGGTGGACTTCAGGATCTACGATGGGAGAAAAGTGAGACTGTTTTCATCTTTCCTTTTTCCAGTTCATATCAATAATGCATATTTATGATGCAAAAGGGAACTTCGGAAAGACCCATTTAGAGATGGAGAGATGTATTAAAGAGGCAACCTCAGGTTTCCAGTCCATTCTCTTGAGTTCCAGTAGGATATGATATTAAGCAATGACAATATTTTACTTACAGGGGAAAAAAAAAAAGAAAAAGATCAGGTCTCCCAATTTTAAGTCTTCCCTCTCTTCCGTAAATTGTTCTTAACTTTCAGAGTGCTACACAAATTACAATTAAATAGAATCTATGTGAAGAGATATGTGGTTTTGTTTTATATTTATAAAGTTGATAACTGGAGCAAATCATGTATTTATTGAAAAAAAATGAAAAACGCAGCATCTCTGGAACATGATGACTTTGACATGTGCCATCAGCAGAACAAATCTGGGACCCGTGACAAGTCAACGTGGAGGCTCCTGTAGGGCAGGTGGAGGGACGGGGTGCCCCTGGCAAATGGGTGCCTGTTCTTCTAGCCCTCATTTTACACTCCCAATTCCTGTTTCTCTAGCGTATAAATCAATCACACTTTAAGACATACCAGGGGAAGAGACTATTGGAAGAAAACACGTAACAAATTCTTTTATTCACACAAGTATATTTCTGGAATATGAATATACACCTAATTTATTTAGTACACCAAGAATTTTATACATACTTGAGTACAACTATGATATAAAATGTATAAGTCTTTGCCACGAAATCTGGACAAAAAGATGCATTGTTATAAATTCCCATCTTGTTTATCTTACCCCTGAAGTCTGACTTGGGACTCAGTGGGCCTGAGCAGGTGCAGGGAGGTAAACAGACAGGTATCCTGCCACTTGTCTGCTCAGCCGATCCCTCTGGGTCAGCACAGCCTCCGCAGCAATGCAGAAGTGTGCTGCAAAGAAAGGTCTATGTATCTGCTGCTGTGGTTTAAAATTCCCTTTCAAAGAGCAAACTTCTCACTACTCAGTGAGAGAAAAGTTCTAAGGAAAATACTTCCTGAGAGAAAGGAACCATTGACTTAAATTCACAGAATGTACCAGATGATTGATCCCAGACCTTTTTCTGGGGATCTTTAACAAGAGCTGGGCAAGCTACCCTCCAAAAAAGATGGTCATAAATTTGACAAAGGACAAGAAAGAAAAGGCTGGGTACGCCCATCTGTCCCTGGACTGGCACCGTCTGGACTGAAATGCCCAGGATGCCAAGCTTCTAAATAAGTCCCCTCACAAAATCACCGTGGAATAAAACAGGGACAGCTTACATTGTTAATACAAAAGTAAAGACCTAGAGTCAAAAATAATTTCCAATCATCTCCCCTTTCCAGCATTCTGTGAGGCTAAGACACTAAGCAAATACTCCACAAAAGTTTACTTTGGTTATTCAAGGTCAGAGGAGAGCACCTGGTGACTTCCATAAATTACACTCTCCAATTATTTAGGAAGCCTAAGGAACACAGGCTCCTGTCAGACATGCAGATAATAAATGAGATGAGTAGGGGAAGCAGGATGGCTGTGGGAAAGATGTCACTGTTCCCCTCTGGACAGATACCATACCCCATAGGTAGGGAGGGACACACTCTGCTCTTTTATTAATAACTGCCCAGGACTTCAAAAAAGTAGACAATGAACTACCTTTTCATAGAGATTACAAAGAATATCACTGCATTTAGAAGAATTTCTCTGTTGCTATGATTTTTTTCATTTGGTTTCCTTAATTAAAAAAAAGTCTCTTCTGATTTTACCCTCTTACTTCCTTCTCTTGTCCACAATAATAATGTAAAATAGAAAAATTACATCATACTAAAACCTGGCTTCCGCTGTATCAGCTAAGCAGTTCTCCTGAACCTTGCACACCCAGCTGGTTTGGGGCTGAAGAGAAATCAACACACATTGAAAACACAGCTCCTGGTCCCCACTCCTCAACTCCTTCTCAGGCAGTGAAGGAGAGGAAGGCTGTAGCTTGGTAAAACAAGCTCGTGGGTGTTCTGACACTACCTGCTTAAGGTTCTTCCAGAACTCGTTATACAACAGGGGAGGCAGTCAGCGCATGTCTCTTCTCCCAGCAAGCTTTAAAGGCCAGCCCATGAGCTCTTGGGAGGTCAGGCATGCAGCATGCATGACTCACATAGAAGAATGACATGTGCTAGACAAACAGGTAAAAAGATAGTGTGATTTGTGGGGTGTTTTCAGAGCAGAATGGCAGAAACACTTCTGTGGAATCATAAATGGTGGGTCTTTACTGGCCAGGTGACAGGGTGCAGACCTCCAGTGATGTGTGATCAAACAAGAGAGGCTGTCCCACAAGGAAGAGGAGCTTGGCGACCCGGGAGGCCGACAGGTAGCCTCCTGTGCACAAGAGGAGCATGGGCAGGCTGGGCCTCCTCAGAAAAGAACACTGGACTCTTCTGAGACAGGATGAAAACAGTCCAAGGGCTGGAGTGAACATCTCCTGAGAGAGCCTCCTACTCACCTCCATACACCTCCGATGTGGAGGCCAGGAGCAGACGGGCACCGACTCGTTTTGCCAGCCCTACAGAAAGCAATGACATGATAAAAGAGACTGAATTTACATGTGCAGGCACATTTTTTGCTGGCCAATTTAAGCAATGTTTTAGTATTAAAGACATTTAATTATCTATCCAATTATCTACCCTTACTGCGTCTGCTTTGGCACCAAAATAAACAAAACAAATACAGTAAGAAAAACATAAATGGATTCTCAGAAGGCCAGTATTTTGTTGAATACTTGTCATAAGCAGGGCCAAACGCAGAATCTGTTAGTTTGATAAAGTGTGATTTGAGGAGTTTCGTGAAGACTCCTCTGCCCCCAAATATTACCCCATATTTTACTGGGTAACTTTCCCTTGGTTGGCAGAAGGCAAGGCCCTTTTCTCCTTAACTTCCACAATGGTCAGCTTGCCACTTCCTGAACATCTCCTGGGCTCTTCTAACTGCCCATGCCACCCTGTCTGGGTAACTCTCCACTCATTCTTCTTCCTCCTATGCGGTTCAGCTTACACAGCACCTTTTCCAAAGCAACTGTCACATTCCTCAATTCTGCTCTGAACCCCTTTCCTGGACTGACCACTCACATGTAACTGACCAGAACATCATTATCTATGGTGGTCAAGTAAGTATGGAAAGTCTTCCAAACTCATTCACAGAGTCCCAGTGTACAGTGGTTCACTACAGGATCCAAGAACCCCCCTGACCGTCACTAACCCTGTACTTAAGACAGGCGACATACCCCACCCCCAATCGCCACTACACTAGAGGGGGGCTGTGCTGGACACCCCTCAGCTCTGCCCCCCCACCAACAGCAGGGGCCAACACATGCCCACGAAGCACTGCTAGGAGGGTGAGACGAGCCAGGCACATGCAACCTATGTGCGCTTCTGGGTGAGGCTGGGTGGGGTGGTAGGATTCTAGCGTGCAGCAGCCAGGGGTATCAGTGTGTCAGACAATGTAGTAGCTTCAAAATGAAGGACTCTGAGATCTTTTTCTTCCTGATTAAATTTTTTGAGATATTTGTACATTCAAATTCAATTGTACAAAGTAGTATAGGGACCTTATGTATCTTTTACCCAGATTCCCCCAATGCTAAAATTTGCAAAACTAGATTGTGCCACAATCAGGACATTGACATTGATATGATCAGTGACTATTTCCACTGAAACGGACATTCCATTGATAAAAGTGATAGAGCATTTCCATCTCCACCAGGATCCCTCACAGGGCCCTTCTACAGCCTCTCCTCGCTCCCTCCCACCTGCTGACCCCTGGCAACCACTAACCAATTCTCCATGTCTATAATTGTGTCATTTCAAGGATGATACACAAATGGAACACGGCCTCTTAGGACTGAATTTTTTCATGGAGCATATTTCCCTCAAAATCTATCCAAGCTGCAGTGTGTATCAAAGTTCCTTCCTAATCTATTGCTGTGTAGAATTCCCGGGGATATATGTATGCACTGCCGTTAATCATTCACCTATGATAGGACATTCTGGTTGCTTCTCATTTTTGACCTCTACAAGTAAAGCTGCTATGAACATTCACACAGGTTTTCATGTGAACATAAATTTTCATTTCTCTGGGAGAAATGCCCAAGAATACAATTACTGAGTCTTACAGTAGATGCATACTTAGTTTTTTAAGAAAGCGTCAAACTGTTTTCCAGAGTAACTATACATTTTATATTCCCCCCTACCTGAGTTCTTTCTAGTTTATAGTTTTCTCTGAACTTTGGTCACAAACACACATCACAAATGCAATGTGTTATATTTCAAAAACAACTGAGTTTAAAGATTTTGAAACTAAGACTATTTCTGTAGCACTTTCATGGAATGACTCACGCAGGATCTACAGAGACAACTGTCAGGGAGTGAAGCCAAGGGAGCTATCCTGCTGCTGTAGTGTCTGGGGGTTACGAAAAACTTTCATCAGAGAAAGAACTCTAGCACAGGGTCTGGGAGGTGGGCAAGTTACATAGAGGAAAGGGCCTCACCAGGAAAAAGCCAGGCAAAGTTCATGGCATCTTGTCTCAAGTGCAAGATGGCTAATGACAGCGCCTCTCGGTTCAGAATACAAAGTCCAATTTGGGTTTCTTTCCAGCCTACCAATGGTCTCCCTTTGCCTTTTGTATCTCTCCTGGAAGACTCTTTACCATTCCTGCAAGGCCTCCACATTCAATCTCAGTCATAGCTCAAGCCCTAGCTCGAGTCATTTTTGCCTTTAACTCTAACAGCACTTTGCTGAGGCCTCTCTTTGGGAGACTTTCCTTTCCTACTAGGTATCATCGACGCTTGTGCCCGTTCAGCAGCCCCCAACCCCCATAGGGCACCAAGTGCAGAAGAGCCTGAGGGTAACCCCATCTGAATCTGCCCCAGTGACAGGACCCACGGGCACAGTGACTGCATCCCCCGAGTAGGAAGAATAAACGGAATCTCCCTAAACACCAAGTGCATGATCTTTTCCTCTATGGTCTAGTTCTGGTATGATGGAGGGGGGCGGGACAGAGAGAGTGTAGGAGGGGTAGGCGCTTGTGATGGCAAGAAGAGGGCATCACGCACACCTCTAAGCAGAAGCAGCAGCACCCTGTTCTGTCTGGTGACCAGAGCAGGAGACGGTAACAAAGAAGATAAAGCTCTTTCCAGATAGGAAGAATGAATCATCTTACTCCAAACAACCTGTCCCCTGTGATGGTTCATTTTATGTGTCAACTTAGGCCACAGGATGCCCAGGTATCTGGTTGAACATTATGTCCGGGGGTATCTGTGAAGGTGTTTCCGGAAGAGAGGATAATTTGAATGTGTAGACTGCGTAGAACACATGGCCCTCCCCAACGTGGATGTATCATCCAGTCCCTTACAGGCTTGACTAGAACACAAAGATGGAGGAAGGTCAACTGCTTACACAGAACATCGATCTGCCCTCGGCTCTCTGGTTCTCAGGCCTTGGAACTACACCCCTGGCTTTCTTGGTTCTCTTTCTTGCTTGCAGAAGGCAGACGGTGGGACTTCTTGACCTCCATAATCATGTGAGCCAATCTCTCGTAACAAATCTCTTTCTCTAAATCTCTACACATCCTATTGGTTCTGTTCTTCTGTAGAACCTTGACTAGTACCACCCCCTAAAATATTGCATCTAAGAGATAAACCAATCTCTGGCTGTCCTTTCATTCTCGACTCCACGCTTTGTTCAAATTAAAATTTAGTGCTGTATGTCCCAAGTCTATTTGCAGAACCTGTATTAAATGTTCCTATACTTAAATCCATCATTTACTTGCCATTTTTAAAAGTGGTTCCTTTCTTCCACTTTGCAAATAATCAAAACCCCTGGAGTTTTTTGAAAAAACTGTGCCAAATTTAAGCATGCCTCTAATTTTAAACATTAATATGTGCACATTACCCACTGCTATAAATCTAAGGCATGTCATTTGTGAATATACACATATGACCACCATTAACAATGCTCTCTCGTCCATCTTTTACTAATGCGAACCCTGAAGTCCAATCTAGGGCAGGTACTCAGTCTTGATAACACCCCATACAGATGTCTCCATCCATTCCTTCAAGGAGTGCTACTGAATCACCCCCGTGTGTAAGGCCATGTCAACCCAACCTGGGGATCAGAGCCACCACTGCCTCTTTCCAGCATGAGGCATGCCACTTATCCTCAGCATTCATCAACTGGTTTCAGAGGAGGGGAGGGGGGCAGGCTGGGTGGTTGGTCACATGAAGCGCCTGTGGTCACTCCCAGGGGATCTGCACCAGGGTGCTGCAGCCTGATTACTACAATGCATGAAAAGTTAAGTTAGACCATCTCCTCCATGACATACTCTGATGACAAATAAAAGTCACACTGAAATAACACTGCAAAACTGCCAAATACCACAAGCAGGGCAATAAGGGACGAGGGAACACACTCAGATCAAACTCTAGTAGAAGATTCAATGACCTATGCTTGTAATCATCTAAAATATTCCCAGCAACAGCCAAAAAAACAAGAAAATGACAACTTACCCAACATGTTTAATGTCCCAATCGTATTGGTCTTTAATGTCTTGATAGGATTATACATGTAGTTTGGAGGGGAGGCTGGAGATGCCAGATGGTATATCTGGTCAACTAAAGGAGACAAAACAGAAGCCTATTACTTCAAAAAAGCACCAAAAAAATACTGACCTCCTAGGATATATACTGTATAATAAACGTATTAGTATATCTTTCACTGAAATCAAGTTATTTTATTCTTCATATAAACTAATTTACATTTGTAATTAGGAAAATGTTAAACAAAAATAGAAAGTCTAATTATTTGGAAACAAAAACATGTGCTGGGTCAGCTGAGTCTGTTCTCGTGTAACCAGAGTCAATTCGATTACTGAGTTGATTGTTTTCTGAAATATTTGTCCCAGATAGAGCATTCAAATCAGAAGGAAGACTGATTTTTTTCAGACACAGAATTAATCATGAATTTTTTTTTTTTTTAGTTTGTGAGGCAAATATGACTTAAACCAAAGACACAGAACTATGGGAGAAAGTAGCCTCTCGTTTGTTTTTATGCATCCTGTATACATAAAACCAGACCCTGAGACCATGGCGAGGGAGGGAGGGAGGTTTTTAAAGCCATGAATGGCAAAGCAATTCAGATTCCATGCAACCCCTGCCCCTCCTGGAAAGGCATTCACTTTAACGTCACTACCCACAGCGTTCCAGCACAGAACCAAGTCAGGTAACATCTGCACATAGCAGAGAAGTCCTCGGGGACCAACCTCTCCCTGTGGAATGGCAGCAACAGACACACACACACAGGAGGAATGCCATCCTTCCAGACAAAGTCCATGTCATGCCATTCTACTTTTAGCCAATGGTGAGGAAACACATCCACCATCCACAGGAGTGAAGAACAGGGATCTGAAAGCTCTGCTGCCAAAATGAGTCCTCCCTTGCACATGGATGTGTAAGAATACTTGCAGGGGCCCCTCTGCCCGGGCCTTCCGGGCTCCCCTGACCAGGGAACTGCTGCTGTCTTTCCTTTCCCAGTGCCGGGAATGGAAGAGCTGAAGATCAAGCCTTGAGCCACAGCAGGTCAGTCTGGAGGTTCTCAATCAATCCTGACTGTGCACTAGTCACCCAGTGAGGTGATGCCTGGGTCCCCAACACCCTGAAGCAGGCTGGGAGACTCTAGACCTTCATTCATATATATATATTTTTTTTAACATTTGAAAGCCAAGTCTGGGGGGGAGGAGCCAAGATGGCCGAATAGGAACAGCTCCAGTCTACAGCTCCCAGCGTGAGCGACGCAGAAGACGGGTGATTTCTGCATTTCCATCTGAGGTTCCGGGTTCATCTCACTAGGGAGTGCCAGACAGTGGGCGCAGGCCAGTGTGTGCGCGCACCGTGCGCGAGCCGAAGCAGGGCGAGGCATTGCCTCACCTGGGAAGCGCAAGGGGTCAGGGAGTTCCCTTTCCGAGTCAAAGAAAGGGGTGACGGACGCACCTGGAAAATCGGGTCACTCCCACCCGAATATTGCGCTTTTCAGACCGGCTTAAAAAACGGCGCACCACGAGACTATATCCCACACCTGGCTGAGAGGGTCCTACGCCCATGGAATCTCGCTGATTGCTAGCACAGCAGTCTGAGATCAAACTGCAAGGCGGCAACGAGGCTGGGGGAGGGGCGGCCGCCATTGCCCAGGCTTGCTTAGGTAAACAAAGCAGCCGGGAAGCTCGAACTGGGTGGAGCCCACCACAGCTCAAGGAGGCCTGCCTGCCTCTGTAGGCTCCACCTCTGGGGGCAGGGCACAGACAAACAAAAAGACAGCAGTAACCTCTGCAGACTTAAGTGTCCCTGTCTGACAGCTTTGAAGAGAGCAGTGGTTCTCCCAGCACGCAGCTGGAGATCTGAGAACGGGCAGACTGCCTCCTCAAGTGGGTCCCTGACCCCTGACCCCCGAGCAGCCTAACTGGGAGGCACCCCCCAGCAGGGGCACACTGACACCTCACACGGCAGGGTATTCCAACAGACCTGCAGCTGAGGGTCCTGTCTGTTAGAAGGAAAACTAACAACCAGAAAGGACATCTACACCGAAAACCCATCTGTACATCACCATCATCAAAGACCAAAAGTAGATAAAACCACAAAGATGGGGAAAAAACAGAACAGAAAAACTGGAAACTCTAAAACGCAGAGCGCCTCTCCTCCTCCAAAGGAACGCAGTTCCTCACCAGCAACGGAACAAAGCTGGATGGAGAATGATTTTGACGAGCTGAGAGAAGAAGGCTTCAGACGATCAAATTACTCTGAGCTACGGGAGGACATTCAAACCAAAGGCAAAGAAGTTGAAAACTTTGAAAAAAATTTAGAAGAATGTATAACTAGAATAACCAATACAGAGAAGTGCTTAAAGGAGCTGATGGAGCTGAAAACCAAGGCTCGAGAACTACGTGAAGAATGCAGAAGCCTCAGGAGCCGATGCGATCAACTGGAAGAAAGGGTATCAGCAATGGAAGATGAAATGAATGAAATGAAGCGAGAAGGGAAGTTTAGAGAAAAAAGAATAAAAAGAAATGAGCAAAGCCTCCAAGAAATATGGGACTATGTGAAAAGACCAAATCTACGTCTGATTGGTGTACCTGAAAGTGATGTGGAGAATGGAACCAAGTTGGAAAACACTCTGCAGGATATTATCCAGGAGAACTTCCCCAATCTAGCAAGGCAGGCCAACGTTCAGATTCAGGAAATACAGAGAACGCCACAAAGATTCTCCTCGAGAAGAGCAACTCCAAGACACATAATTGTCAGATTCACCAAAGTTGAAATGAAGGAAAAAATATTAAGGGCAGCCAGAGAGAAAGGTCGGGTTACCCTCAAAGGAAAGCCCATCAGACTAACAGCGGATCTCTCGGCAGAAACCCTACAAGCCAGAAGAGAGTGGGGGCCAATATTCAACATTCTTAAAGAAAAGAATTTTCAACCCAGAATTTCATATCCAGCCAAACTAAGCTTCATAAGTGAAGGAGAAATAAAATACTTTATAGACAAGCAAATGCTGAGAGATTTTGTCACCACCAGGCCTGCCCTAAAAGAGCTCCTGAAGGAAGTGCTAAACATGGAAAGGAACAACCGGTACCAGCCGCTGCAAAATCATGCCAAAATGTAAAGACCATCGAGACTAGGAAGAAACTGCATCAACTAACGAGCAAAATCACCAGCTAACATCATAATGACAGGATCAAATTCACACATAACAATATTAACTTTAAATATAAATGGACTAAATGCTCCAATTAAAAGACACAGACTGGCAAGTTGGATAAAGAGTCAAGACCCATCAGTGTGCTGTATTCAGGAAACCCATCTCACGTGCAGAGACACACATAGGCTCAAAATAAAAGGATGGAGGAAGATCTACCAAGCCAATGGAAAACAAAAAAAGGCAGGGGTTGCAATCCTAGTCTCTGATAAAACAGACTTTAAACCAACAAAGATCAAAAGAGACAAAGAAGGCCATTACATAATGGTAAAGGGATCAATTCAACAAGAGGAGCTAACTATCCTAAATATTTATGCACCCAATACAGGAGCACCCAGATTCATAAAGCAAGTCCTGAGTGACCTACAAAGAGACTTAGACTCCCACACATTAATAATGGGAGACTTTAACACCCCACTGTCAACATTAGACAGATCAACGAGACAGAAAGTCAACAAGGATACCCAGGAATTGAACTCAGCTCTGCACCAAGCGGACCTAATAGACATCTACAGAACTCTCCACCCCAAATCAACAGAATATACATTTTTTTCAGCACCACACCACACCTATTCCAAAATTGACCACATAGTTGGAAGTAAAGCTCTCCTCAGCAAATGTAAAAGAACAGAAATTATAACAAACTATCTCTCAGACCACAGTGCAATCAAACTAGAACTCAGGATTAAGAATCTCACTCAAAGCCGCTCAACTACATGGAAACTGAACAACCTGCTCCTGAATGACTACTGGGTACATAACGAAATGAAGGCAGAAATAAAGATGTTCTTTGAAACCAACGAGAACAAAGACACCACATACCAGAATCTCTGGGACGCATTCAAAGCAGTGTGTAGAGGGAAATTTATAGCACTAAATGCCTACAAGAGAAAGCAGGAAAGATCCAAAATTGACACCCTAACATCACAATTAAAAGAACTAGAAAAGCAAGAGCAAACATATTCAAAAGCTAGCAGAAGGCAAGAAATAACTAAAATCAGAGCAGAACTGAAGGAAATAGAGACACAAAAAACCCTTCAAAAAATCAATGAATCCAGGAGCTGGTTTTTTTGAAAGGATCAACAAAATTGATAGACCGCTAGCAAGACTAATAAAGAAAAAAAGAGAGAAGAATCAAATAGACACAATAAAAAATGATAAAGGGGATATCACCACCGATCCCACAGAAATACAAACTACCATCAGAGAATACTACAAACACCTCTACGCAAATAAACTAGAAAATCTAGAAGAAATGGATACATTCCTCGACACATACACTCTCCCAAGACTAAACCAGGAAGAAGTTGAATCTCTGAATAGACCAATAACAGGTTCTGAAATTGTGGCAATAATCAATAGTTTACCAACCAAAAAGAGTCCAGGACCAGATGGATTCACAGCTGAATTCTACCAGAGGTACAAGGAGGAACTGGTACCATTCCTTCTGAAACTATTCCAATCAATAGAAAAAGAGGGAATCCTCCCTAACTCATTTTATGAGGCCAGCATCATTCTGATACCAAAGCCGGGCAGAGACACAACCAAAAAAGAGAATTTTAGACCAATATCCTTGATGAACATTGATGCAAAAATCCTCAATAAAATACTGGCAAACCGAATCCAGCAGCACATCAAAAAGCTTATCCACCATGATCAAGTGGGCTTCATCCCTGCGATGCAAGGCTGGTTCAATATACGCAAATCAATAAATGTAATCCAGCATATAAACAGAGCCAAAGACAAAAACCACATGATTATCTCAATAGATGCAGAAAAAGCCTTTGACAAAATTCAACAACCCTTCATGCTAAAAACTCTCATTAAATTAGGTATTGATGGGACGTATTTCAAAATAATAAGAGCTATCTATGACAAACCCACAGCCAATATCATACTGAATGGGCAAAAACTGGAAGCATTCCCTTTGAAAACTGGCACAAGACAGGGATGCCCTCTCTCACCGCTCCTATTCAACATAGTGTTGGAAGTTCTGGCCAGGGCAATCAGGCAGGAGAAGGAAATAAAGGGTATTCAATTAGGAAAAGAGGAAGTCAAATTGTCCCTGTTTGCAGACGACATGATTGTTTATCTAGAAAACCCCATCGTCTCAGCCCAAAATCTCCTTAAGCTGATAAGCAACTTCAGCAAAGTCTCAGGATACAAAATCAATGTACAAAAATCACAAGCATTCTTATACACCAACAACAGACAAACAGAGAGCCAAATCATGAGTGAACTCCCATTCACAATTGCTTCAAAGAGAATAAAATACCTAGGAATCCAACTTACAAGGGATGTGAAGGACCTCTTCAAGGAGAACTACAAACCACTGCTCAAGGAAATAAAAGAGGACACAAACAAATGGAAGAACATTCCATGCTCATGGGTAGGAAGAATCAATATCGTGAAAATGGCCATACTGCCCAAGGTAATTTACAGATTCAATGCCATCCCCATCAAGCTACCAATGACTTTCTTCACAGAATTGGAAAAAACTACTTTAAAGTTCATATGGAACCAAAAAAGAGCCCACATCGCCAAGTCAATCCTAAGCCAAAAGAACAAAGCTGGAGGCATCACACTACCTGACTTCAAACTATACTACAAGGCTACAGTAACCAAAACAGCATGGTACTGGTACCAAAACAGAGATATAGATCAATGGAACAGAACAGAGCCCTCAGAAATAATGCCGCATATCTACAACTATCTGATCTTTGACAAACCTGAGAAAAACAAGCAATGGGGAAAGGATTCCCTATTTAATAAATGGTGCTGGGAAAACTGGCTAGCCATATGTAGAAAGCTGAAACTGGATCCCTTCCTTACACCTTATACAAAAATCAATTCAAGATGGATTAAAGATTTAAACGTTAGACCTAAAACCATAAAAACCCTAGAAGAAAACCTAGGCATTACCATTCAGGACATAGGCGTGGGCAAGGACTTCATGTCCAAAACACCAAAAGCAATGGCAACAAAAGCCAAAATTGACAAATGGGATCTAATTAAACTAAAGAGCTTCTGCACAGCAAAAGAAACTACCATCAGAGTGAACAGGCAACTTACAACATGGGAGAAAATTTTCGCAACCTACTCATCTGACAAAGGGCTAATATCCAGAATCTACAGTGAACTCAAACAAATTTACAAGAAAAAAACAAACAACCCCATCAAAAAGTGGGCGAAGGACATGAACAGACACTTCTCAAAAGAAGACATTTATGCAGCCAAAAAACACATGAAAAAATGCTCATCATCACTGGCCATCAGAGAAATGCAAATCAAAACCACTATGAGATATCATCTCACACCAGTTAGAATGGCAATCATTAAAAAGTCAGGAAACAACAGGTGCTGGAGAGGATGTGGAGAAATAGGAACACTTTTACACTGTTGGTGGGACTGTAAACTAGTTCAACCATGGTGGAAGTCAGTGTGGCGATTCCTCAGGGATCTAGAACTAGAAACACCATTTGACCCAGCCATCCCATTACTGGGTATATACCCAAATGACTATAAATCATGCTGCTATAAAGACACATGCACACGTATGTTTATTGCGGCATTATTCACAATAGCAAAGACTTGGAACCAACCCAAATGTCCAACAATGATAGACTGGATTAAGAAAATGTGGCACATATACACCATGGAATACTATGCAGCCATAAAAAATGATGAGTTCATGTCCTTTGTAGGGACATGGATGAAATTGGAAACCATCATTCTCAGTAAACTATCGCAAGAACAAAAAACCAAACACCGCATATTCTCACTCATAGGTGGGAATTGAACAATGAGATCACATGGACACAGGAAGGGGAATATCACACTCTGGGGACTGTGGTGGGGTCGGGGGAGGGGGGAGGGATAGCATTGGGAGATATACCTAATGCTAGATGACACGTTAGTGGGTGCAGCGCACCAGCATGGCACATGTATACATATGTAACTAACCTGCACAATGTGCACATGTACCCTAAAACTTAAAGTATAATAATAATAATAAAAAAAGAAAAAAAAAAAGAATGGAGAAGTCAAGAACACACACAAAAAAAAAAAAAAAAAAAAAGAAAGCCAAGTCTGAAAACCAGTGAGTTAATTTAGAAATAGAACCAATGCTTATGGGAAGAATAATCTTTTTGTAAAGAGAACTAACAAAACACAAAATCTTTAAAATTATTGATGGTCTGTCAAAATGCAAGTTCGCTGAGAGGATCTGTCCAAGTAAAAGGAAATCCTGCGACTGCTGTTCCCACCCCCACAAGTTATTCTGAGCTGAAAAACAGCTAAAAATAAAAGACAAACTAATATTGTATTATACAAATTGTAATTTAACAAGATACCTTTTAAAAATCAGTTCTCACAAAGTCCCATAATTCTAAGGCCAAGCTATCTTTTGCAGTTTCCAGCTAGGATCAGCACAGACCGGGTCAGTTCCTGCTACACCTACTTCCAAGCTCCAGGGCTGCAGGTAGAAGCAGCAGACCATTAGCCCCAGAAACAGGCACTGTGCTGCCTCCTCTGAAGATTCCTCCTCATACCCACTGCCACTTTGGAGCAGGACTGTGCCAAGTTGAAAACCAAATGAGGGCCAGGCACAATGGCTCACACCTGTAATCCTAGCACTTTGGGAGGCCGAGGTGGGTGGATCACCTGAGGTCAGGAGTTCGAATCCAGCCTGGCCAACATGGTGAAACCCGTCTCTACTAAAAATATAAAAAAAAAAAAATAGCTAGGTGTGGTGGCAGGCACCTGTAATCCCAGCTACTTGGGAAGGTGAGGCAGGAGAATCACTTGAACCTGGGAGGCAGAGGTTGCAGTGAACCAAGATGGCACCATTGCACCGCAGCATGGACAACAAGAGCAAAACTCCGTCTCAAAAAAATAAATAAAATTTAAAAATTAAAATTAAAATTTTAAAAAATGAACCTGGCCAGACCTTCAGAGCCGAGTACGACACCACAGAGCCCGCTCAGGTGTGCTAGACCTGGAGCCTGCTGCCACCTGACTTATACTCACGGGCATTTCTGCTTACACAGACAGGGTCACCCTACATTCCTCAAAGAGAGTATAAACAACTCTGTATGGGCTGTGATCTTACACAACAAATTATTCATCATTATCTTTACTCTTGAGGTGACAAGGTATGCAGGGAAAGACAGGAAACTGCATTAAAGGCTAAGAGGGAAGAAGTGTGCCTTGAGAGTACAGGAAGCCTCTCCGACATCAAACAGAAAGCCACTATCATTAACCTCACACTCTTCCCTCCTCGTCGTCTGCTCCAGTCCTGGCTTTCTTCTTCAAAGCTCAATCCAGACGTCAGTCTGTATGGGAAACCTTCTCACCATCCTTGGTCAGAAATAATCCCTTGCCTGCACCACTAGTCCACAACAGCTCAGCGCTGCCTTGTCCAGAGATTCACACATGCCTTCCTCACTAGACGATGAGCTCACTGAGCACAAGATGCAGGCCTTTCCCTTCCTGATGCTCTCCACAGTGTGGACTCTAGAGGGAGGGGAGGCCCCCTCGGTCACCCACAAATGCAGACTCCTGAGCCCACTGCAGGTCTCACCCTTCAGGATTTCCAGGCGGGCCTGGAAACCTTCCATTTACAACAAATACCCCTCCACGGTGCTCTGGCCCAGGCCAGTTTGGGAACAGGGCTCCACAAAAGTTAGCTGAGAGAAGAGATGAGCGTAAACTGGGGTTTTTCCATCCCCAAAGGCCATTCCATCTGGTTCAGTGTTTCTTCCTCACTGGACAGGTCAGTCCCACTGCTGCTCCGGAAGGCTGAGGGCCGCCCCATCAGACTGTCGAGACGTTCAGTTAAGTAGCGGCACTGCTGCATCCTCCCATTTGAGAGGAAACTGAAAACCCTATGAAAATCAAAGTTTCCCACCACCCCCCTCTCCTTTGAGAATGTGTTCTTCCTGTAACATTAACAATAACTCCAGTTCCTATCCTAAAAAGGGCACTGCAGCAGAGTCTGTTGGTTAAATAATCTGGTGAGAAATTCTGAAGGGGAGAGAAGAGGGGAAATTCAGAGCAGGGACAAATAACCAGCAATGAGAGGTGCTAGGTAAACAGTAAGTAACATTAATAACAACCGGCTTCGGAATATAAATAAAGCAGCAAGGTTAACCCTCACAGCCCAGGACAAAGGCCCTGGGAACATGTCAACTGCACAGTTCAGAGTACACCAAGCATGAGCCTGACGTTCCAAAATCCAAGCTGAGGTGGGGAGAGGAAGTCAAAGGGGGACAGAAAGGCAGCCCATTCATGGGTGCCCACAGTTGCTCCAGAGACCGCTAGAGACCCTGCCACGACCTTTCACATTTACAAGGCCACGTGCTGGGAGCTCAGCTAGAAAAATAGAAGTCTCAAGAAATGAGCCTAAAAGAGCTCCAATTAATGATCAGCAGCATTCCTACCAGAGAGCATGCAGGGTAATCTTATGTTGGGAAGTGGCTGGGTGAGGGCACAGCTGCGACTTACTCGGCCCTTCTATGAATCCTGACTGGGGAAACTCAACCAGTCAAACCACAAATGAACTCCCTAAAGGGTCTTAGGTTGAATTTCACTGTGCCCAAAACCCACATAAATGACACATACATAGGGAAGAAAAAAATCACCATAGGAGGAGAACAACTCGGGATAACCTGAAACCACTGTTCAGAACACATCGGAGAAATCGACATTTTCTTCTACCAAAGGGGAAATCCACATAAAAACTGACTGTAGCTTCCACTCCTTTGTTGATTTTCTTTTTTAATTTTGTCTTAAGTTAGTGACATAGTCTGTGTCAAGCCTCATTCTGTGCCACACCCATGCTGTATGAAACTGCCAAGGACCAGTTCAGGATTTGTACCATGAAACTAAAGACTATAGAAACACTAAAACGCAAAACAGTGGGTTAGTTCTTTCTGTGATAACTCACGCGATTATTTAGCACATACTAAATTCCCATCATAAAAGATACTTACAGTAGAATTCTCTTTTTCTACACTTGAGTCAGAGGTCTTACAGAAATACTCCCCAACGAGATGTCCCTCTCTGCAATGTGAAGTCTCACAGCATGGCCCTAGTCTTTGTCTCTAGAACCAGTATTTAGGATGGAAAACAGGAATGAAGAAGATACAGAACTTCTCAAAGTATAAAGACCAAATTTCTCTCGGCACAAAGAAGCAGAACAGCAAGATTTTCCCTTCATTTCATGTCAAATGTATTTACTTAGGGCAAAGGCTGCACACACTAGAGACTGGCTCAGCCCCCGGGAGCTGGGGTTGCCCGCCAGTGCTGTCGACTGTTCTGAGCGAGGGGCTCACCTTCCCTGTGAAGCCACCGCAGGGGAAAGAATTTTCAGTGTCCTAGGCTGCTCCATAGGAAGCCTCCAACAGCTCCAAATTAAACAGAGGGCGATCTCTAAGAGCCACCACTGCAGTTTTATTTACATTTGCAATATAAACTGAAAGCTGAGAAAAAAATTTCTAAATGATACTTCAACAAAAATATTCTAATCAGAGCTGCATGCTTTAAATGTCTACATAAACATGGACTCAATCCCCTTGGCAAACACTGTTTCCACCCCTCCTCTTTAGGGTGGGTGCCCAGGGTTGATGGCTTGGCTCTCCCATCTTCCCTCTCCTGGTGCCCCCACCCCCGGCCCTCCATAGCAACTGAGCATCCAGGTAAAAGGCAGGTAATGGAAAGGGCTCCATGCCTTGGTTTCCTCACCTATAAAATGAAGAAAATAGCTGCCTACTTCGCACGGGTATTGACATAATTAAACTTGCCAACCATAAACAGCGATTAGAATAGCATTTGGAATATAGTTAAGTGTTAGCTATGGTCACTTTCTTCTTTTATTTTCCTGGACCTCTTCAACAGAGATACTACAAGTTCCCGGTACTGGTCTTCCCACGACACAATGCACATTTCTGCCTTTTCCTGTTCCCCATGGAAAAGCTGGTCTCAAGATCCCTGTTTATACAGACGGTGGAAAAGTAAATTGGGACAGCATTTCAGGGAAGCACAGGTGCTCTGTAGCAGGACCCTGGGAAAGCCAGTGTACCATGAAAATGATGACAGAGACACAGATGTGTGGCTTTCTGAAGCATGGTTTATGATGGCCCCAAACTGCAATCAACCTAAAGATCCAACAACACAGGACTAAGGAAATTACAACATATTCATAAGAAGACGACTTGCTAACAAGTAATGCTGAAGGGAAAACCCGTGTCTTGGTAAAGAGATCTAGCTAGTATAGCCACAAAATGGAACACTAAGCAGCTGCCAAAAAAGGTCTCTATATATGATATAGAAAGATCACCAGGACACAGTAAGTGGAAGAAAATAAGATTCAGGACAATACATAATAGGTTATATAAAAAGGGAGAACTATAAATACCTATTTGTGTTAGCTGGGTCACATACAAACACTGCAGATGAATACAAAGAAAGGATCAACAGCTGTTTCCTGAGGAGAGCTGAGAACTGGCAAGAGGAAGACTTTAACTTTACAGTTTTATCTTTTCCATTTTTATGTTTATTTATTTATTTTTGAGACAGGGTCTTACTCTGTCACCCAGGCTGGAGTGCGGTGCAGTCATGGCTCACTGCAGCCTCAACTTCCTGGGCTCAAGTAATCCTCCCACCTCAGCCTCCTGGGTAGCTGGGACCACAGGTGCATGCCACCATGCCTGGGTAATTTTTGTAGAGACAGGGTTTCGCCATGTTGCCCAGGCTGGTCTGGAACTCCTAGGCTCAAGCGATCTGCCTGCCTCAGCCTCCCAAAGTACTGGGATTACAGACATGATCCACTGTGCCCGGCCATCTTTTCCATTTATTTTTTAAAATAATTGAACCATATAACCATATTACCTATTAAGCATGTTTTTAATTGGAAAAAAAATCACATTTAGGAAAACAACTGGATGTTAGCTTCAGTGTTTTTTTTTTGGTTTTTTTTTTTGAGATGAGGTCTTATTCTGTCACCCAGGCTGGAGTGCAACGGCACTATCTTGGCTCACTGCAACCTCCACATTCTGGGTTCTAGCGATTCTCATGCCTCAGCCTCCTGAATAGCTGCGACCACAGACATGCACAAGCATGCCCAGCTAACTTTTTGTATTTTTGGTAGAGACTGGGTTTCACCGCGTTGCCCAGGCTGGACTGAAACTCCTGAGCTCAAATGATCCACCCTCCTTGGCCTCCCAAAGTGCTGGGATTATAGGTGTGAGCCACCATGCCCAGCCAACTTCCTCAACAGTTTATAGAAAGATTAAAAATAATTTTCTATTTGCTTTGTAAAATACCTTTCTATATTTTCTTTAACATGTATGTATTATTTTCATCATCAGGAAAAAAGTTTCTTTTGAAAAGAGAAAAATATTTCAGATTCTCTTCCATCTCATTCTTTATCAAATATATAAACAAGAAACCTAATTCTTTCATTTAGTTCAAAGTATGTTTAATCTCTCTTGAGATTTTTCCTTTGTCTCATATCTTATGTAGAAGTTTGTTGTTTCATCACTAAATATTTTTGTAATTTTCCAGATATCTTTCTGTTACTAATTTCTAGTGTAATTCCACTCTGGTCTGAGAGGACACTTTATAGCACTCTATTCTTTCAGGTTGGCTGAGGTGTCTTTTATGGCTGAGAATATGATCAGTCTTGGAGAATGTTCCATGTGGGCTTCAAAGGAAGGTGCATTCTGGCATTGTTGGATGAAGTGGGCATTGTGAGGGCAGAAAGAGTGAAGAGATGGAGGGCAGCAAGGGGGAAATTATCAAGGGCACAGAAGACCTGATGCCAAGGTTGAGGACCCGCTGAAGGAGAAAGTGAAAAACAGGCTTCAAACCACAGAGGCAGAGAAGCATCTTATGCTCTCCCAACATAAATGCCAACTGAGGGAACGCAATACTCTGAGCAAAGGACAAAGCACCAGTCATTTATTGTATGACTTCATTCAATGTGTGGGTGTGTGGGTGTGTGTGTTTGCATGTATGTGTGTGTGTGTGTGTGTGTGTCCTACACACAGTCACAGAATTGGCAGAAATGGCCTAGAGCAGCTTTGGTATCAAAGCTCGCAGTTAAAGAAGATAATTTACTTATTAAAACACCATTTTTACTAAGTTCTGGCTTCTCAGTGGTACTGAAATTATATAAACAATAGTGTCATAAAATAAATGTTTCTTGCCATGTGCTAAAAAAGAGAAGAGAGTAGTAATATTAATAGGTATCATTTGGGGGAGGTCAAGGTGGGCGGATCATGAGGGCAGGAGATGGAGACCATCCTGGCTAACAGGGTGAAACCCCGTCTCTACTAAAAAATACAAAAAATCAGCCCAGCATGGTGGCAAGTGCCTGTAGTCCCAGCTACTCAGGAGGCTGAGGCAGGAGAATGGCGTGAACCCGGGAGGCAGAGCTTGCAATGAGCTGAGATCGTGCCACTGCACTCCAGCCTGGGCAACAGAGAGAGACTCCGTCTCAAAAAAAAAAAAAAAAAAAAAAAAAAAAAAGGTATAATTTGGGCAGCACTTAGTGAAATGAGGGCCCAGTGCTGTGCTAAGTCCTCACAGTAGTTTTCTATTGCTGCCTAATCAAATTTAGAGGCTCAAAAAATATCCATTCACGATCCGATCTGACAGGTCTACAGGACCGGGCACAGTATGGCTCAGCTGGTTCTCAGCTCTGCCTGCCCCCAGGCAGAAATCAAGGTGTCAGCAGGGCTGTGTTCCTTTCTTCAGAGGATGATTCAGGATGACAGCAAAATTCAGTTCCCTGAGGCTGCAGGACTGAGGTCTCCTTACAGGCTCTCAGCAGGGAGCCATTCTCAGCTTCCAGAGGCTGCCAACACTCTCCCGCACATGGCTCCTTCAAAGCCAGCCAGGGTAGGTCAGGTCCCTTGCACACTGCAAACCTCTCCAGCTTCCCTTCTGCCTGGTCTCCCCGCGGTATCTCTTCTACCCAGTCTCTCTACCTGACTCTTCCATTCTCTGTTGCTGCCTTTGACGGTTCATGTGACTATGTGGGGGCACACCCAGATAATCCAGGATCATCCTCATTTTAAAGCCAGCTGGTTCATAACCTTGATTCTATCAGCAAAGTCCTGTGACAGCACCACCTAGCATCTTGGGTTGAACAATGGGAAAGGGCATCTTAGCAGGGAACTGTGAGAATCTGCTTGCCAGGCCCTGTCACATGTATGACCTCAGTTAACCCCACAGCAATCCCAGGAGGAAATCCAAGAGGAAAGTGAGCCCACTGAGCTATAATCTACATAGCCTGTTATACTTTACAAAAACTACAGCTTCACTCCAAAATGAATCCTAAACAGATTACATAATTAAACGTTTAAAAATGAAGCAAAAAACCAACCAACAAAATTAACACCATGGCTGCTTTCTAAATATTAGATTAAATATTCATCTCATCTTGGAACGGTTAGAGCAGAAAGAGAACAGAAGAAACAGCAAGAAGAATATGAACAGATGAAACTATGTTATAAAATGTCACTCAAACGAAAAGGCAAAAACTTTTTGCCTTTGTGGGAAAAATGCTAAATACAAGCCCAACAGTTAACATTCCTATTACAAAGAACTCATACTAAAAGAATATTTTTAAAATGGACTAACAAAACCATTGGTATTTCTCTGGTGAATTAACATGTTAAATTCTAACCATATTTAGTAACCAAAGAAATGTACATTGAACCAATGGTTTTCTATCAAATTAGCAAGATCAAGGGGTTGGCAGATTGGGTGCTGGTGAGGACCTGCTTCCTGGTTCATATATGCATCTTCTCGCCACGTCCTCACACGGTGGAAAGGCCAACGGGGTTTTCCCAGGCCTCTTTTATAAAAACACTAATCTCATTTGTGACGACTCTGTCTCCATGAACTCATCACCTCCAAAGGCCCCACCTCCTAATACCATCACTGTGGGGCTTGGGATGCCAACATATGAATTTGGGGTGACACCAACATTCAGACCACAGCAGATGTGTACTACAGGAAAGTTACTTCAACAGGTCCATGAAGTTCAGGACCAGGGGTGCCACGTAGGAGAGAAGACGGCTATTCACACTGTTATAACCACTCGTTATCACACAGACTAGGACGGCACCTCATACATATTGAGACATTTCAAAAATAAAACCCAACATAGCTTTCAATGTGCTGAGTCAAACAGCTTACCCTCAGGAATCCCGCAGCTCTGGCAAGGCCACCTGCGGAGCTCTGAATAATAACAATGTGCAGTTTTCACTCACCCTCGATGTAGAGGGGCTCCACCACGTCGTGGTTAATCAACTCGAAGTTCTCATGTCCGATCCAGTGCTCCACGTTTCTCTTCCTGCCCGTGAAGAAATTGTCCACCACGGTCACCTCGTGGCCGTCCATCATGAGTTTGTCAGTTAGATGGGAGCCCACGAACCCTGCGCCTCCTGTTATCTGCATCCGGACAGCGTGTGCAGAGCATTCCCAGAAAAAGCACATGAGAACACAGTGAGGACCAGCTCCACGGAGAGACATCTCTGGTGCAGCCACGACTTAAAACTCAGGAGCAAGGCGGGGAAGGAAGACAGCAAAGGTTTTAAGGTAGCATCTTGACTCTTACTGCAGAACAAAGAGGTCATACTATCTGTAAACTCCTAAGCAGCCTAAAATTTCAAACTACCAGTCTTGGAAGAATACAGAAAAATCATAGTTACAAATTTCAAAATGTCTTTGCTGACTGAGAATTTCCCATTAGTCAAAGGTTCTTGTTTTATAACAAATGGGATGCTGGACATAGCTCACGTGGCTTTAATATTACTGCTGAGAACTTTAAAAATTACTTTATAGAAAAAACGATTAGCAAAATGCAGAGATTTGGTGAACTACCAAGAAAAAAAAACTTAATATTTAAGTTAGATTCAAAAACTGCAGGAAAAACAAATATCTTTTAAATTGTTTATGAGAACAAATTAATAAGCAATACATGCTGTTTGTAGACTAAAGCCCTAAACGCCTAAGTCCACTGTGTGGTTAATTTCTGAATGGTGATGTGAACCCAGTGTGGTATACACTCCCAGCCACAGAGCACGATGAGGCAGCTGTGAGGGGTCTTGACGGTAACTCAGTAATAACAAAACCTAGACCCCTGCAAAGGTGAAAAGTCAACTGCGCTTGAAAAATACTTTTAAGTTGAACACAGGTATTTTATTCAAATTAAATGGTGTAACTGGAGGAGGATAAAGGGAATTTCATCTGGGGGAAGGTTATAGGCGGTGGGAGTGAAAAGAATAGGCTCAGAAAACAGACGTGCCATGCACAACTCAATTCTCTAGCCTGCTGTATCCTGTTCTCCACTCTGCCTTCTCTTCACCAAAATTCTCATTCATTTCACCCTTCTGTTTCAAACGGAAAGTATTAATAGGAAGACAGCAATCCTTTCTACCTAAAATAAAAGGTATACAAACTCCTAGGTCTATGGTTTTAAAACATGTAATTCTCCATGAAACTCCTGTTTAAAATAAATGAAATCTCACACACGATGAAGTATTCACCACGGTGAGAGAGTAAAGCCACCTGGATTTGAGTGGAGTGGTAGCTCATGCCTGTAATCCCAGCACTTTGGGAGGCCGAGACAGGTGGATCACTTGAGATCAGGAGTTCAAGACCAGTCGGGCCAACATGGTGAAACCCTGTCTCTACTAAAAATACAAAAAATTAGCTGGGCGTGGTGGCACACTCCTGTAATCCCAGCTAGTTGGGAGGCTAAGGCAGAAGACTCACTTGAACCCAGGAGGCGGAAGTTGCAGTGGATCGTACCACTGCACTCCAGCCTGGGTGACAGAGAAGACTCCATCTCAAAAAAAAAAAAAAAAAAAAAAAAGAAGCCATCTGGATGAAAAAGATCAAAAATGGCAGAGGAGAAGTAAGGGGAGGCTATAAACTAAAAATGAAATTTGGGTTGGGTGCAGTGGCTCATGCCTGTACCCAACACTTTGGGAAGCCAAGGTGGCTGGATCATTTGACGCCAGGCGTTCAAGACTAGCCTGCGCAGCATGGTGAAACCCCGTCTCTACTAAAAATACAAAAATTAGCTACACGCCTGTAATCCCAGCTACTATGGTGGCTGAAGCACAAGAATCACTTGAACCTAGGAGGTGGAGGTTACAGTGAGTTGAGATCACACCACTGCACTCCAGCCTGGGTGACAGAGCGAGACTCTGTCTCATAAATAAATAAATATCCTAAGTCCCCCAACTGAGTGGGCCCCCTCTTGGCCAAACGGAACCCCAGAGAAACCTGAAAAGCTGAGTTCCCAGCAGTGATGTGAAAGGAGATTGGACATGCCTCACTATACTTTCTCTTTTGGAATTTAGACACAACTGACCAACGTTAATATTAAAACAGAGATCATAAACAGGACCTAGGGTCGTGCCAGACAGGAGCTAAGTCACATCCCTCCAAGTCATTCTGACCCAGTGTATTGGTGAACAGACTTCCTTGTCATAACTTAGATTCCTTTCTGCTGACTCCAAAGTTTTACACAAAGATTTACTCCTTTAACCAATTACAAAGTAAAAAATCTCTAAAGCCAGGGAGGTCAAGGCTGCAGTGAGTGGCAATTGTGCCACTGCACTCCAGCCTGTGTGACAGAGAGAGACCCTGTCTCAAAATAAATAAAATAAAATACAGAATCTCTTAACCCGCCTATACCTGTGAGCCCCCACTTCAAAATAGCCTGTCTTTTTGGGCCAAACCAATGTAAAAGCCCTATATATTGATTTATACCTCCTTGTAACTTCTGCCTCTCTAAAATGTATAAAACTAAACTAATCCGCCTGCCTCGGGCACACTTACTCAAGGCTTCTTGGTTTTGTGTTTCCTGGGGCTGCAGTTACTCATACTGGATCATAATACACCTCTAAAATATTTTAGAGTTTGGTTTTTCAGTTAACAAGGCCAACCTCAAGAATAACCATCCCTTAACCACCACATAGATATTACATATGCTCTGATGAAATGCAAATCAAATGGTTAAGACAGGATGGGTGAGACCAGGCATCCTCATGCTCGATAGCTTTCATTTGGCTTTACCAACAGCACCATTTTCCAAATCCCCTTTGCCTTCAAGATAAGAAACTGACACCCAGAGAAGTTACGTCTTTGACTAAAATCCTCAGAGATCACTAGCTGGGACACACTAAAGCTACAGTCTTTCTAATTACACGCTCTCTACTGCCTGTCAATTTGTCTGGTTCGTGTTTCATCTTAAGAGCTCCCACATTCTACTGCTATACCTGAACAATGACTATGAAAAACGATTTTCCAGAAAAATAATTGAAATTCAAAGTTGACTCACCACTAGAGCTTAACTCACGGGATGAGATTTCATTTTATCTTCACGTTATTGCATTTTTTCCAAGTTTTCCATGATTTTTACATTTAAAAACTTGCAACTTTTAAAAAGAAATGTAACCCCTTTTAACATAACTGTTTCTCTATATGCAAATATTTCTGAAAACAAAATGTTCAGTGGCACTCTAACATTATCTCTGCACCCAAAATACCTGGCAGACAGTTCTGAGATATCAGAGATGCAGCGTATTAAATTACACATGATCATCTCCAACATCTCACTAGTCTTAGTACTGACGTAAAATTGTTGGAAGCACCTTAGCTTGACTAAAATGCACTGGAATTTTTTTTTCTGAAGTAATTTCCTTCTACCTAAAATACTTAAGATTTATATAATATAGCTGGATGGTTATGCAATTTTTTATCCTAATCAATGTTAGCCCATTAGGCAAGTGTTTCAAATAGAAACAAATTTGGTGAAAGCTTAGCACTTACAAAGCTCTATCAGGAACACTAATCACCAAACCCAAGGATATTCTTTGAATAACAAGGAGCTAATACCCAAAAGAGAACAGGAGAAAAGAAGTAAGACCTCTTACACTGAGATGGATTAGAACTTACACGGCTTTGCATGGCTTTCCAGTATAGGGGTTTGTCTCAGTGTGCTTTCTTGCTCGCTCTTGTGGGTGCCAATAGGCAGCTAAAGTGGTCTAGTTCAAGGTCAGCAGTCAAACTCATGATGCTTAGCAAATTAGCAAAAAATCAAAAAATGTATTTCAAAGCAAGTCTCCTCTTTCTGTTGAAGCTGTCCTAAGGCTTACCAATTTACTGAAAAGGCTTTAAGTTATAGCAACAATATACCAGACTCACATGCCAAATGCCTCAGAAATGTGCTTAACCTATGAGATGGCAGATGAGGGGAAAAAAAAAACTAAGTCTGTTTGCTGTGGTGATGTGTAAAGCAAAATAAATTCTATAATACTCAGCATCGACAGGAAGATCATTCCATGTGCACATAATAAAATTCATGGCAAGATTTTGCAGCATTCCTGTAACAGTGCTGCTGTGCTTTTAACGTGTCCACCAAAAGCACATTTTGGTAATTTAATCCCCAGTGCAACAGTGTTAAAAGGTGGGGTGATTAGGCCATGAGGTGAAGTAAATGGATTAATGCCATTATCAGAGGAGTGAGTGTGTTATCGTGGAAGTGTGTTCCACATAGAAGCACGAGTTCAGTCCCTTTGGTCTCTCTCTTGCTCTCTCTTTACCCATCCACTACGTGATGACATAGCAAGAAGACCCTCACCAGGTCACAACCCCTTGATCTTGGACTCCCCAGCCTCCAGAACCATGAGCCAATAAATTTGTTATAAATTACCCAGTCTTAGGTACTCTGTCATAGCAGCACAAAAAGGACTAGGACAGAAAATGGGTACCAGAGAAGTGGGATGATGCTTATACAAACACCTGAAAATGTGGAAAAAGCTTTGGAACTAGGTAATGAGTAGAGGCTGGAAGAATCTGGAGGTGCATGCTAGAAAAAGCCTAGACTTCTGTGAATGGAGTGTTAAAGAAACAGTGGTGAGGCCTCAGAAGAGAAGAGCTGTGGGGGAAGTCTAGAACTTCTTAGAGATTACCTGTAACATGGTTGTGATCAGAACAATTGTGGAAATATGGACAGTAAAGGCCATTCTGATGAGGTCTCAGATGGAAATGAGGAACATACCACTGGAAACTGGAGTGAAGGCTATCCTTGTTACAAAGTGGCAAAGAACTTGGCTGAAATGTGTCTGTGTCCTCTGGCTTTATGAAGGCAAAATTTACAAGCCATGAGCTAGGACATCTGGTGGAAGAAATTTCTAAGCAAAATATTAAAAGAATTGCATGGCTTCTTTTAACTACATAGAGTAAAACAAGGGAAGAGAAAAATGATTTAAAGACAGATTGTATAACTAAAAGGGAAACAGAACAAAAAAAATTTTTTAAGTCCCCAGCCTTACCATATAAAGAATGAAAAAGTGTGCAAGAGTGCAGACAATTGACCCTTTGATACACAGAGTAGTATGGTTAGAAGGAAGCCAGGTTCTGTCCCTTAAGACAATGGGAGAATGACCCTGAAGGCATTTCAGAAATCCTCCAGGCAAGCTGAGACCTTGAGGCCAACGTTTCCAGAGAGGTGCTCGAGGTCACCATTCATTGCCCTGTGCTGCCACAAGTCTCTGCTCCCCTTAGCATTCCTCAGCCAGCACAGCTGTGGCTCCGGCCAGTCCAGGTGCAGCTCAAGCTACCGCTCCGGAAGATATAGGCTGTAAACCTTGGTGGTGTCCACGTGGTGCTCTAATTCTGCAAGTGTGCAGAATGCAAGAGCCATGAGAACATGGCTTCTTCCAACTAGATTTCAAAGGATGTCACAAATAGCCCGGGACAGGGTGGGAGGTGGCGGGGGGTAGGCAGAGACTCATTGCGGTGATACAGCTGCCACAAAGACTCCGGAACTGTAAAGCTACCAGCATGTAACACCAGCCTAAGGAAGTTACAGGCACAGAACTCCAACTCGCGAGAGCAGCCAGGTGGACTGAGACCAACAAAGCCACAAGGCTGGGGCTCCCAGAGGCCTTGGAGGTCCAACCCCCACCCCAGCGTACCCAGGACTCAGGCCATGGAGTCAAGAAAGATTATCTGGAGCATTACGATTTGATCTTGTTTGCCCTGTTGGGTTTTGGACTTACTTGGGACCAGTTACCCTGTTCTTTCCTATTTCTCTCTTTTGGAATGGGAATGTTTATCCCACGCCTGTTCCACCATTGTATTTTACAAGTAGATAACTTGTTTTGATTTCACAGGCCCATAGCTGAAGGGGAATTTGCCTTAGGATGAATCGTGTCTTGAATTTTTCCCAAATGATGTTTAGATGAGACTTTGGACTTTCGAGTTGGTGCTGGAACAAGTTAAAATGCTGGGCTATTGGGATGAAATAAATACATTTTGCATGTAAGAAGGACATAAATTCTAGAGACGGCAGCCAGAATGCTATGGGTTTGAATGTGTACCCCCAAAATCATGTGCTGGAAACTTAATTCCCAATGCAACAGTATTGGGAGGTGAGGCCTAATGAGAAGTTATTGGGCTATGAGGGCCCCACCCTCATGAATGAATTTACGTCATTATTGCGGCAGTGGGTTATGTGTAAAAGAATGAGTTAGGTCCCCTTTGTCTCTCTCATCCACTCTCTGCCCTTCTGCCACGGGATGACGCAGCAAGAATGCCCCTTGATATTGCACTTGCCAGCCTCCAGATCATAAGCCAATACCTTTCTACTTATAAATTACCCAGTCTGTGGTAATCTGTTACAGCGGCACAAAACAAACTAAGAAAAGTAGACTATCAGATTTGTGATCAATCTGACAACATGGCAACAAAACATTAAAAAAATTAACTTTTCTATGCTACTTGAGACACTTATTTCCAAATTCATGCTCAAATGCATATACCTTTTTGATGCAATAGAAATAACCTCAAAAGAGGGACATACAAGTATTAACAGACTTCAGAGTCTGCTCACAGCGAGAGTTATGTAAGCCATCTCAAAAAGGCAAGAGACTTCTATAACTTCCAGAAGAACAGAGAGATTATATGGGGTAACAGTCTAATATCGATTCAGGAGTGACAATAATATTTTAGGGATGCACAGTACTACAGCCTAGGTGATGGGTAAAAGAACAAAACAACCTGTGTACTAGTCATTTCAACATCAAGGTCATATATAAATCATTTCTTGTAGAATTGCAGTGTAAAGTGCTCCACAGACCTGTTCCCCAAGGAAACAACCATAAGTGGTCCAAATTATTTTTTTAAATAACCATTAAAAGTCTCTGGAAATTGTGCTAAGCACGTACAGCAAATGAAGTAACATGTATTCAAGAAAATATAAAATTCACTTTGGGAGGCTGAGGTGGACAGATAGCCTGAGGTCAGGAGTTCAAGACCAGCCTGGCCAACATGGTGAAACCCCACCTCTACTAAAAATACAAAAATTAGCTGGGCATGGTGGAGCACACCTGTAATCCCAGCTACTTGGGAGGGTGAGACAGGAGAATCGCTTGAAATCAGGAGGTGGAGGTTGCAGTGACCCAAGATCATGCCACTGCACTCCAGCCTGGGTGACAAAGTGAGGAAAGAAAAGAAAGAAAAGAAAGAAAAGAAAGGAAGGAAGGAAGGGAGGGAGAGAGGGAGGGAGGGAGGGAGGGAGGGAAAAGAAAAGAAAGAAAAGAGAGAGAGAAAGGGAGAAAGAAAGGAAGGAAAGGAAGGAAAGGAAAGAAAGAAAAGAAAAGAAAAAAGAAGAGAAAAGAGGAAAGAAAGAAAATATAAAATTAAGTAAGAACAGCAAGAGTCTGCAACACTTGAGTCCATCCCCACAGTTTAGAGTGGGGAATGTGCTGGGTGTGGCCAAGAAAATGAGAACCCCACTCAAAAGATATGGTATCTCAACAGGAAGGGCCACTTAGCAGTACTTCCTAGACAGGGAAGGCTGAGAATAATAGGATTCCAGTCACGGTTGCCCCAACTTGCTTAGAAGGGAGAAGTTCCATGCCAAGAGGGGCAAGGAAAAAAAATCAGGGGCTACAGCACCCTGATTATAAAACAGAGGTGTTGCTCCCACCCCAGCACCAGGGCAGTGGTTCAGAGGTTTTCCTGGGGGACAGAGGTACTGAAAACAGTGCACTCAAAAGCTCTCCCTAAAGGGAGTTGACTTTATTTGAAAGAGAAAGTCAAATATAAGGGTGCTCTCAAGAACAAGGGAGATGCAGATGGTAAGCAATAAATAGAAGGCAATAGATCTATGAGAATAAAAAGCTAAATCCGAGGCCAGCTTGTTTAACAGAGAGAACCAAGGAGAGGACACTTAAGAAACCTCCTGGGGTCAGAACAAATCTCAAAGACTGGTCTCAAAATCTACCCCTGCCAAGGGGATAGAATTTAACTGGATCAGGCTGAAGAGCAATTTAAAACCCACAGCATTGTTGAAAAATAAAGCAATTAGCTAGCAACCACTGCAGCCTAACAGCTGGGTGAGATACTGCACAGGCTTAATAGAGAAATCAGGGAAAGAGACTGTCAGCATGAGCCTGTTAGACCCACCATCATCCCAGGGGGTTTGGCCAAGGCTACATCCTCCAAGGAACAACAGTTAAAGCTTCACACTGGAGTGGCGGGGACGGAATAGGAAACACTTCACTAAAGTAGACCAGAGAAGTCACTAAACAAATAAATAAATAAATAAAATAAAACAAGTTGGGGAAGGTGGGGGTTGGGATGAGGGCACAGTATCCAGAAGTGCTACAATATACTACCTAAAATGCCCAGTTTTCTACAACAAATTACAAGACATGCAAAGAAACAGAAATGGGTGACCCATAAACAGAAAAAACAACAAAGCAATAAAAACTGTCTGTGTGAAGTCCCAGGTGTTGGATATAACAAAGACACCAAAGCAACCACTGTAAATATTAGGTTGGTGCAAAAGCAATTGCAGTTTTTGCCATTAAAAGTTATGGCAAGTGTTCAAAGAACGAAAGGAAACCATGCTTAAAGAAGTACATAGATAATAAAGAGAGATTACAAAATAGAAACAAATTGAATTCTGGAGTTGAAAAATACCACAGTTGAAACTAAAAATTCAACAAAGGGATTCAACAGTCAATTGGAACTAGGCTAAAGAATCAGCAAACTTGGACTGAAAGGGCTTATGCAACCCAAAGATCAGAGGAAATGCAGGAAACTAAACAGAGCCTCAGACAAATACAGGACACCAATAAGTGCATCAACATGCATGCTGCACTGGGAGTATCAGAAAAGAGAAAGGAATACAAAATATATTCAAAGAAATAATGGCTGAAAACTCCCCAGAATTGATGAACATATAAATGTATATATTCAAGAAGTTCAATGAACTGCAATTAGGATAAACACAAACAAAAATAGATGCACACAGACACATCATTCTAGAAATCCCGCAAACCAAAGACAAGATAAGATTTTGAAAACAGATGTACTAGGTTGGATACTGTCCTACAAAGTTTATGTCTGTCCCAGAGCTTCAGAATGTGACCTTATTTGAAAATAGAGCCCCTACAGACATATTTAGTTAAGATAAGGTTATACTGGATTAGGGTGGGACTTTAATCCAATACTAAAGGCATGCAAAGACCCATGTGCTGCTGGAGGCAGAGACTAGAGTGATGCCTCTACCAGCCAAAGAACACCAAGGATTGCTGGCAATACGAGAAGCTGGGAGAAAAGCATGGAAAAAACTCCCCTCAGAGCCTTCAGAGGGGCATAGGCATGGCCCTGCTGACATCTTGATTTCAGACTTCTAGCTTCTAGAACTGTGAGGGATTAAATTTATGTTGTTTTAAACCACTCAGATGGTGGTAACTGCAAGTCCTAGGAAATTCATATGGCAGAAAAAGAAAAATGACTTGTCACATGTAAGGGAACCCCAGTATGATTAACTGCTGGCTCATTACAACAAACAATGGAGAAAGCAGTGGATGGCACATGTATTAGTTCATTTTGTGCTGCCATAAAGGAATACCTGAAGCTGGGTGATTTATAAAGCAAAGAGGTTTATTTGGCACACGGTCCTGCAGGCTGTACATGAAGCATGGCTCCAGCATCTGCTTCTGCTGAGGGCTTCGGAGAGCTTTCAATCATAGTAGAAGGCTAAGGGGGAGCAGGCATGTCACGTGGCAAGACAGGGAGAAGAAGGGGGTCCCATACTCTTTTTTAACAATCAGGTCTTGTGTGAACTCATTACAGTGGGGTGTGCACCAAGCCATTCATGATGGATCTGTCCCCATGACCCAAATAATTCCCACTAGGCCCCACCTCCAACACTGGAGATCAAATTTCAACATGGGATTGGGAGGCTGGAACAAACATCCGAACTCTATCAACATATTTAAAGTGTAAAAATAAACTGGCAGTCAAGAATCTTATATACGACCAAAAATAAGATATCCCTAGATAAACAAAAAATGAGAGAGTTCATTGCTAGCAGACCTACCACACAAGAAATACTAAAGGATGTTCTTTAGGCTGAAAGCAAGTGACCCCAAATAGTAAATGGATTCCAGAAGGAAAAAGAAGGGAAAGGTACCAAATAGGAAATTAGTTAATTACAAGGCATTCGCTCAATGACTCACCTAGAGCAAATTCTAGTCCTGCAAGCTCCATTTGTGGTAAGTGGCCTACACAGATGAACACAAATACTTATCTTTGTTATAACTACCTACAGTATTCAGTATAGCAACATGCTGTACAGATTTGTAGCATATGAGCAATAGGTCATACCATGTAGCCTAAGTGTGTAGCAGGCTGTACCATCGAGGTTTGTGTAAGTCCACTCTATGATGCTCACAGAACAACAACAAAAACACTTAATAATGCATTTCTCAGAATGTATCCCCACTGTTAAGTGATGCTTGACTGTACATTTACGGTAAAATTATTTTCAACAAGGGTGCCAGGAAAATTCAATGGGCAATGAATAGTCTTTTCAACAAATTGTGCTGGACAACCGGACAGCCATATCCAAAAGAATGATGACCTAATACCCTATTCAAAAATTAGCTCAAAATGGATCACAGGCCTAAATTTAAGAACAAAATCTATAAAACTCTTAGGAAAAAAACATGGTAAATCTTTGTGCCCTTAGTTTAGGCAAGATTTCCTAAATATGACATCCAAGTACAAGCAGCAAGAGAAAAAAACAGACTTTATCCATATTTAAAGCATTTGTGCTTCAAAGAATGTCATCAAGAAAGTAAAAAGAGAACCCACAGAATGAGATAAAATATTTACAAATAATATACCTGATAAGAAACTTGAATTAAGAATATATAAAGAACTTAATTCAATGATGAAAAGAAAAATAACCCAATTAAAGAATAGGATAATATCTAATAGAAATTTCTCCAAAGAAGATACAGAAATGACCAATAAGCACACAAAAAGATGCTCAACACCATGAGCTATCAGAGAAATGCAAATCCAAACCACAAAAAGATATCACTTCACACCCAGTAGAAAGGCTACAATCAAAAAGACAGACAATAAGAAGTGGCGTTGAGGATGTAGAGAAACTGGAACACTCATATGCTGCTGGTGGAAATGTACAATGGCGCAGCTGCTCTGGCAAACAGCAGTTCCTCAAAAGGTTAAAGAGAGTCACCCTATGACACATATAACAAACGTACAGTCATCCCTCAGTATCCACAAGGAATTGGTTCCAGGACCGCACCCCACCCCCATACCTAAACGCAAAGATGCTCAGGTTCCGCATATAAAATAGTGTAGTATTTGCATATAACCCACACACATCCGCCTGTATACTTTAAATCATCTCTAGATAATTATAATACCTAATACAATGTAAATGTTATGTAAAAATGTTATACTGTATTGTTTAGGGAATAATAACCTGAAAAAAAGTCTGCACATGTTCAGTACAGCCATAACCATTGTGCACCTAACTACATTTTCGATTCGTGGTTAGCTGAATCCACGGATAAGGAAACCACAGATATGGAGGGCCTACTGTATAAATAAACTGTGGTATATTCATATAACAGATTATTTGGTAATAAAAATATATGAAATACTGATACAAGCTACAACATGAACAAAACCTGAAAACATACTAAGTGAGAAAAGCTAGTCACAAAAGGTCAAATGTTGCATTATCCCACCTATATAAAATACCCAGAATTGGCAAATCTACATGGACAAAAAACAGATTAGTGGTTGCCTAGAGATTGGGGTGTGGAAGGCCTAAGGGGAAAATGGAGAGTGACTGCTAATGGGTATAGGCTTTCCTTGGGGGGGGCCTACAATTGGATGTGGTAATGGTTGCACAACTCTGTGAATACATTAAAAACTACTGAATTATACATTTTAAGGGTGAACTGTATGGTATGTGAATTATATCCCAATAAAGCTGTTACTTTAAAAAAAATGCAACATGAAATCTTTTTGGACATAATTTGTTACCTAATAGTTAAAAGGGTTTCTTTCATTGGTGAGTTTATACTGATGTTTAACAAGAGCACTATTAGCCAAGGATACCCCTGGGTATTCTTCAAAGTGGTCTGTGAGCTAGAAAAGGTTAAAAACCACTGCTCTCAAATTTCATACTTCCTCAAAAAGTTAAACACAGGGTTTCCATACAATCCAGTAATTCCACTCCAAAGTATACCTAAAAGAATGAAAATCCTGTGTCCACACGAAAACTTACACACATGCATTCATAGCAGCATTATTCACGATAGCCTCAAGGTGGAAACAACTCCAAATACCCATCAATTGAGAAACAGGGAAACAGTATGTGGTACACCCATACAATGGAGCATTGTTTAGCCATGAAAAGGAATGAAGTGTACTGATTGATGCTACAGCTGAGTCTTGAAGACAGATCAAATATCACATTATTTCTTTCAGACGAAATGTTCAAAAAAGGCAGATTCATAGAGATAGAGAGTAGTTTTAGTGGTTTCCCAGAGCTGGCGGGAGGGGACTGGGAAATGGAAGTGACTACTAATGAGTACAGGACTCTTTTTTGGGGTGATGAAGAAACTGTGGAATCAGAATGCGGTGCTAACTCTGTGGACATACTATAAGCCACTGAATCGTATCTTTGAGAAGCGTGAATTCTATGATATGTGAATTATCTCTCAACGAAAAAAGAAAGTTTCTTAATATTACAAATACTATTCAGGTGTGCAAACTTACCAAAATTCTTTTCCGATCCTTTTCTGATAAAAACTTTACTGGTGGGTATTTCTGGGTAAAGCTGTATAATATAAAGAGATTCAAAAGGAAAAAGTCAAACATCTCATTTGAATATTTTCTCTGTCTACCATCAAAGCATGTGCCAGGTTTTGGGACTGTTATTGTTTGCTCTTCTCTCCACTCTTGAATGAGTGCTGGAGAAACCAAGGAGTCACTAGTTAACTTGAGGTCAAGAGCTATATAACCTGCTCCTTGTTTAGAATCAAGCTAAAGACGTGACTTGAGATTCTATCTCTGAGAAGCAAAAGCGCAAGGAGCTACCGGCTTCCAGCAGCTGCTAAAGCAGGGCAGGCACTACCTCTATTAGTCCAGATAAAACCACACCATGAGGGAGATGGCCGTGAAACTGCCTTTGCAGAATTGTAATAATGAGAGAAATCTAATATGACTGGCTCCATCTAACCTCACAGGCTCAATTTTTGTTTTTATTGTTTTTGCTTATTTTAGTGCAGAGGCCAATATAACTAGGAGAGGAATTTATAGTTAAACGATGAGGCAAGGAAAACTGACCCCCCTCCTTGTTTCGAGATTGAAGCCACATTCCTAAGCCGAGGTTAGAGTTATGGTAGGGTCTGAACTTTGCTAAAGAATAAGCATAAACAATGACCTGCCAACTGCTTAGCTTAGCTGGCTTTTCTATATGTTGCTTCCTGCCCCAGGGTCACTCAAACAGAGGTCGCAAGATTTGTAACTTCTCCAACAACTTCTACAGATAACATCACTATTGTGAATCCTAAGGAAACGGTATTTGAGGTATCTTTCAGATTTAGCATTTTGGCAGACAGACTAAGAGATGTCACCCGGTCCTCAGACTTGGCTTCCATGAATTGATTCAGCTGCCTGAAGACAGTTTAGACACCCCCATGATTTCACACCCAGCCAATCGTTTCAGCTCCCCAGGCCCCCACCCACCAAACTACCCTTAAAAACTCAAGCCGCCGAGTTCTCAGGGAGGCAGATTTGAGAAACCTCGCCCATTCTCACACGTGGCTGGCCCTGTGATTAAACTCTCTCTTCGCTGTAACACCTGTTGTTCTCAGTGCCTTGGTTTTCTCAGGGCAGTCGGCAAGAAGAGCCCACCGGGCTATAATCATGGCATTCTCTGGGTACTGTATCAGGGTCCAGGTGGAAGAAAGCAGCTTCGTGAAGTCACAGGCCCAACGCATGAGGACCGCTCCACAAGAGCGAGAAGAGATATTAATGAAACTTTGTCTCCTGCTCCAGGAATTTTCACAATCACGGCATCCTCTTCCTGACCAGCGTCCCTGGTAAAACGACTGAGCATCAGCATCTTCTGTCTCTGTGGATCTGCTCTGACCCTAAGTCTCACTTATCTTTTGATACCCTCTTGCTGCCCTAAGGTGCCACTGGTCCCCAGCCCACACTGATGTCCCAGGAGCAGGGCAGTGTGATCTGAATATAAAACGTCCAGTGAGAGGTAATAAACACAGAACTGAAATATTCATTTTAAAAGTTATTCAGTTAGGAACAAAAGTGCTTTAAATAAAATCTGAGACATCAGCTTTATGGTCATTATACTAATTGGAAAGGTGTTGTGCCAGGTGGCACCGTCTCCATCCCTGCCCTGTCCCCAGCACAGACACAGCACTAGGATACAGAATGCACTTCCTTAATGGTCGCTGAACTGAAGGGAATATGAAGGGTCATTAGACAGAAGCCCCTGAAGCAGGGGTTTCTCATCTCCAGAAAGCCCTGAGCGTGCTTAAATTGGAGTGAAAGGGCTTTCTATTACAATGCAGACGAATTCCCCCATTAAGAACTTCCAGGGTCTCAAAAGCTCAAGTTCCCCTTGCAGACTACAAAATCAGATGGGAGAGTCTGAGGGCAAGGGTGGGAACCCTGGGGCTCCCCCTTGTGAGCTCACCGACCGTCTTTAGTACTTGCCGCCCATAGGAAGTGCCTCAGGAAAGTCATCCATGCAGCTGGGGAGCAGGAGCAAGTTCTGCCTTCAGTCAGGAGCGATGCTGTTAGACTGGCGGGAGCGGCACAGATGTCTTGTTTGCCAAGTAACACTTCTTGTCATTCCGCCTCTTCTTCCCTCACCAACTCAGCTAGGGGACGGCACTGTAAATCTCAGAGTTATTTGTGTGCACCTCTCACACCGCTCCAATTGTCCTCATTTCTCTGAGCTCACGATATCCATGTCTTCAGCCTCAGTCCCCAAGTGGCACACCCAGTGCCGTGGCACAGCTGAGACTCTTTCCTTCCCACGACTGCTCATAAGCACCGTGGCTCCTCCGAACTGTCTGTCGTGAAAACGCTGGAGCCGTCTCTGACTCATGACTTCCCCTCACTCACCTTCAGGGCTCCTTCTCTACCGTGTATATGATTTTAGAGTCAAGACCGCTCGGGAATGGGAATATAGCTACATATGGGAAAACGCGGTGCAGGGAGAAAACCAATTCAGTGAGGAGCGGAGGCGCAGGACTGTGGAGTGTGCATCCGGGGCCATGGAAACAAATGTTAATCCAAGCTGTCAGCTTAGAATAGTCCCTATCTGAAAGCTTAAAATGAAATGTGGTGTGCTACTTATACCAAGAGGAAACGGCCAAACCGTTTTATTACAGGAAATGTACTTCAAAGAAATTGAACTGAAGCAAAGGCATGGTTGCCCGACATACGCAGTGACGGGCATAAGATGGACTAAAAAATACTTCAAATGCAGCGTGCTGAAACCTTTAATTTAAAAAACGAAAAATAGGTTGAGTTTCTTGCTTTGTTCTTCTTCAATATGTAGCAGCCAAGTTTTAGATTTCATATGTATACGCTCAAGTAATTAAACTTTTAAAAAACTATCTTATACTCCTCACTTCTTCGAGAAGCCACACATACAAAGCTGAAAAACAGGAAGGGGAGAGTGCCTGTGGGGTCCTCCTCAGTATGCATGTCATCCTGTTTTCCTCCTTGCAGTAATGGGTGACAGAGCACAGTGACTGATAGAGTGCAGTGACCATGTGGGTGCCGTTGGCTGGGCCACATGCTGAGCCAGCTGCCTGGGTGCTCCCAAGCACCTGCTGGACTGACTCAGGGCTGGGCAGGAGCACAAGGCCTTTTTTTTTTTTCCTTTTTTGAGACAAGGTCTTACACTCTGTCACCCCAGATGGAGTGTAGCGGCATAATCACAGCTCACTGCAGCCTTGTATTTCTTGTAGAGATGAGGTTTCATTATGTTGCCCAGGCTGGGCTCGAACTCCTGGGCTCAAGCCATCAGCCTGCCGAGGCTTCCCAAAGTGCTGGTATTACACCGTGCCTGGCCCACAAGGCTTCTTAAAGACCTGTAGCAGGTGAAAATCCTACCCAGTGTACTGGCTCATCCACTTATTCAGGAACTTTCCATTAAGCTCCGTTCTACACTAGGCACTGGGGGTTAAGCAGCAAAATGCAGCAGAGGCATGAGGCCTGCATTCCTAAGCGAGAGAGAAACCAGCAAGCAGAGGCAGAATGAGGTAACAAATCTTTCCTTACAACCCCAAATTAGTCCTTTACTAATCATTAATATTTTATGCCATTCCAGATTAAACTTACTGTTTAGCCAGTAAGCAGTATTCTTACTTAGAATTTAAATTATCATTTGCCATCTATTCAAAGAACATTTAAAGATACAGAGTTAAAATTAAACAAATGGCATATAATCAAAGTATTAAGCAATGGGAGTGTGGTAAAAGAGAAAAAGCCCACATACAATCCATTTACTCAGGATTCTAGAATGACACTGTCTTCTTTCTTTCCCTGTACAAATATAACCTGTAACTTCCAAAAATATCTTTAGTTCTTGGGGGCCACTTTGCTCAAAGTGACAAGCACGTCAAGTAAACCTATTTCCAGTTACATTCTTATCTTGTCAGTGTCAAGATGGTTGTTTGATCATCTTTATCACACACTGAGTCAGGAAAAGTAAGCTAGACGGAGTTCCATCAATTTCCACCGTCACGCTTTTTTAGCCAGGCCTACGCTTGACCTTCTGACACAGTAATGCAGGCACGCGGATCACCTGACTTGCTGACCAACCTGAAGGACGGAACCATTCCAGAATGAGTCACCTGCAAGCAGCCCGAGAGGCAAATGTTTGCCCTTTGCCACTATTTTCAAGGCGGTTTCACAGGTTGACAAGAATAAATTATTAGTAAATTCTTAGGATTGAATTCTTATTTGTGCTTCTCCATCCAGTTTAAAAGCACACACTCAAAGATATCACAAAAGTATCAAAGAGATTGCATAATTCTCACATGTTGAGAGCTCTTGTTTGTAAGCTATTGCCTTAGGGAAGTTATCGAATTGAGACATTTTTCTTTTCATAAATAAATTCTATTGTCTAAAGAAAATAATCACTGGTGGACAAGTTTTTAGACCAATATAGAAAATGTGTGGTGGGTTATTTCTTATTGTTCCAATTTTTCTAAAAAGAAAAAAAAAGCTTCAATTAAGATCTCTCAATTCTGCTGTCTTATCAAAGGCAGATTTTCTGGCTCCCATCCAAGGAAATATTACAAGCTGCATAACTAAAGCACAGAATCATGGCAAAAAAAATTTAAAGCACAAGTAACAACCTTATATTACTAAGGAATCTGTTAAAAATTACTGACAACTTTTGTTCTGATAAGTGCTGAAATTAACAGTTTGCTTGACTGCTCAGTTGAGGATAAGAATCAAGTGAATGACACATTTTGTTTAATGACTCTTCTCCAGTCGTATTTCCCTTCGATCATTTAATGAAAATCAAAGGAAAACTGCTCTTCATTTTTTCATTTTTGTTCTGGACTTGATAAAAGGCTCATTCAATGCTGACACACATCGTCCAAACTCATCCCAATAAGGGGAAAAAATCACATCAACTTTAATAAATGCTGTCATTTTTCTTTCTAAAATTTCTGAAGATTCAACTGCTACTCTAGATAGTTTTCCACATACAGTACGTGCAAGAGGAAAGTCCTGGAGGCTGAGGCTCAGCGGCCTCGGGAGTGCCTGAGAGAGAACCTGAGGGCAATAGTGTCCCAAAGGGTGAGGAGGGGTTCTCTCCGAAATCTGACTCAAATAAACATTTCTATCATATTACATAATTCTTCTGCCCTCTCACTTCACCTGGACTAAATTCTGGAAACCTCCTCATGAACTCTGGTGACAAAAGCAGCTAAATGACTACACATGACACACCATAGGCTCCACATCCTTATTTTGTGGTGTTTGCATATGGTACATTTCAGGCCCACTGGATTGTCCTCCTATTTTGGAATTCTATCCCACTGATCAATATATGCAGAAGTTCAAGGAAAATGTGAGGCCTGGCCTCAACTTCTATGTAATAAATTTGCAGAAATTCAGACGTTCAGAGTTTGAAGAAGGAAGATCTTAACACATCTAGATTGATTCTTCTCCCCATGTTCTATCTGGGTATTACACTCAAAGTGGGGGAAATGCGTATACAGACATTTATTTAGGTTGGCAGAGTTTGGAGCAAACAAACAGAATTAATTACTCAATTGAGACAAACTTATTTTAACTATTGACTTTAAGACAAAAAGTACACATACCTTTTTTCTAAATCTCTGATTTTCTCTCTTAGTGGTTCAACCATCTAGAACAATAATAACAAAAATCAGTTTTAAAGCAAAAACACAGTTCTCAACCCCTTTCACCCCATTCTGATGTTTCAGATAAGGCAAAACAGGTTTTAATTTCTTCTACAAATTAACTTCCAGTTTGAAATTAAGATACACCACTTGCATCACAATGCTAGAATTGAACAGATAAACTGTCCATTTGAACTCTTACTCCATAAATGCCTCGGTTTCTGAGACAATTAATGTTTTTGCTCACCCATCCTACTAGGAAGAATGTAAAAGGTGTTTCAGGCTCATAAAAACAGATCAACACTATCCATCTCTTTTTAGGAACAATCCCCTAAGCATGGCCCACAAAAGCTTAACATCTTGTTTCTGCAATTACTGTGTATACTCATGTTATCAGCTGCAGCACATAAATTGCAGGCTGTGAGTCAACCTACATCCACGTCTGTAGACACTGTGGACTCAGGCAGAAAGACAGCAACTCAAGGGCTTCCCAGGACTCCCTAAGTTGGCTTCAAATCCAAAGTAAGTAACCTCCCATCCCCTCCCCCACAGCCCATGTTACAACGGTCTGGCTGTATCTACATGTATTTAAATAGGAGGTGCATAACTGAGCATAGGTGCTAGCCTTCAGCTGGGTGGGTGTGCAACGTCTCCATCTGTGCACGTGGCCTAGCATCCGATTGGTGGCCATTGTTCTTTTCAGCACCTGTGCCAGTGAGAGGATGTTTGTACTCATCTCTATCTCCCAAAGGCAATCACTTCCCTTTCTCTAAAAAACGCTTACCTGAAAAGTCATGTAAAAGTCTAAATCCATTTTGCCTTTGAGGTAGAATTTGTTTTAATACATCAAAAATGGACCAACAGTAACAGACTGCATGTCCTCTTAAATAAGGGAGTAATTTTTTGAGACACGGTTGCAAAATCACAGAACAGCATCAAGCTGCCACAATAAGAATGACAGCACGAGCAAAGGAAGTAAAATTGACAAGTATACAGATGAAATAGATACAAAAATAGAAAAAAGACTAACCTCTTCAATCTTGCTTTCAATTTTTAGTTCACCATTTTCCTGGATAGACCTGTTGAGTAGAAAGCTATAAAACTGAGATCAACTGAAAGGCTTTGTGACTTTAAGACTGTTTCTGAATAAATTACCCTAACATAACCCAACGGATGCAGACCACCTCTGTCTCCTGCTCAAGTATCAGTCATGTGTACAATTCCCTCCAGAAGGGATGCACCAGAGGAAAAGAAGACAACCAAAGGGAAGGACTCCCCTTAAATCCATCTGTGAACATGCTCAGTATTACCTAATGGATTATTTCCACTAAACTAAAATAATCTCACTGCTATGCTACATCCAACACAGGATTTTAAATTTGAAGCAGGAAGTGCGTCTGTAGGAGTATGTGTTTGTGCCTGCTGGGCTTTCCTGGGGATTTAATGTAAAAATGGAGTCTTTTAAGTAAAACCACAGAGCTCCTTTAAAAGGGATCTGAGCACCCCACCTAGTCATACACAGCAGCCTTTGTCAGGAGACACACACATGCCCTGGTGGTAGGAATCAAATCGACACCATCCCACCCACCTTGCAAAACCCAACTCCACATGAAAAGCCTCCTGAGGGCATAGTAACCTTTTACCCTGGTAGACATGTGCAGCCGCATTACATTACAATACCAACCTAATCATCACAATAGTGATTCTCACAACATAACCAAGTGGAGCAAATTTTCCTTTACATGGAAAACTATTAACAGTACCAAATGGTTTTTACAATAAGTGCTTATTTCTTTTTGCTGATTTTTTTAAAGGCTATTTTTTTTTATTTGGTAAAGAGATAACACGAGTTTTATTTTTACAAGAGTGCCTCCTGCCCTATGAAGAAGCACACACGATGCATACAGGCCTAACGCTGGACTAAATAGGTGGTCTCTGCATCGATACCCACTAGCTGGCCCCCTGAGGTCATGGGCCTGCCATGGCTTCCCGAAGACAGCTCCCTTCTCAGAAGGCTTTGCAAAAGCCCCTCAGTGTTCTTGCTCAATCCACCCAGAAATACAATTTACATAAGCTAGGGTCAACCCTTTATTATCTACACAAGGAGGGAAGCGGGGGTGGCCGACCATTGTTTTACTTGTGGGCCTTACTTGGTAATTGTTAAAATCAGCTGCATTCCTTGAGAATACCCATAGGAGAAAAGAAACAGCTCAGATATGTGAATAGCAAGAACCCACTTTTGTTTTAAAAATATTTTTCAATTAACCCATGACATCCATGGTATATATGTACCAACTGAAATGTGTCTATAAAATCCAACCACAGTACCCAAGTAATTAAAAACAATTACCTCATATTAACGAAGTTGCCCCAAACAGCTGTAAGAGAAAGAAAAAAGGAAGTCAATGTTTAAGTCCACAACTTTCAGGGATTCCAATGGATGGAATCTTAAATTTTAACCAATATTTTAAATTTTACAAAGAAAATTAACTTACGAAGACAACAAAATGCATACTTTGTTTTCAAAACAATTAAATCTTACTACAAAATAAGTAAAAACAGGATCGTAGAGTTTATTCAGGCCAAGTTTGAGAACTGCAACCCAGGAACATCAATTCAAGTTGCCCTGAATATATGCTCCCATCAGCAGCAGTGACAAGTGGGCTTTTAAAGGAAAAGGCAGTTTCTAAGTTATCAAGAATTTACATTAAAATAACATAAGCTACTGATTGGCCATATATTGTTTTTTGTATCAAAAATCCCAGGAAAAAGATAATTGGTTGAGGCAGCTGGGCAGAAACAAAATACCTTTAAAGAACCGGCCCTGGGCATGGCAGGGCATGACTTTAGTTCCGTGCTCATGACTCTCCAGCCTGATAAATTTTGCAAACCTCACATGGCTCACACTGCTCTGAGCTGTTTTTCTTTTCTATCTATCCCTGCAGTTTTGGAATACCTCTTTTGGGGTCTAGAGTTGGACAGTGCAGGTGAAGCTTTTTTTTTTTTTTTTTTCCAAGTGACAGATCTCCCTTTATTACCCAGTCTGGTCTCTAGTGATCCTCTCGCCTCCGCCTCCTGAGTAAGTGGGACTGCAGGCGTACGCCATCACACCTAGCTAAGGATGCATGTGTTTTGATAAACAGTATGTTCTCAACCTTTGTTTGAGGAAGAGCTAGTCACAAAAATCAAATAATCACATGTCTGAAAGAAGTCCTAAGGTTCAGTCTAACCTCTCCCTTGTAATGATGATGAAAGCAAACCCAGAGAGGTTAAACAGTGGCCTGCAGTGCGGCTTAACTCCAACGGGAGTGCCATCCTTTCTCAGCACTTACCACATCTCCCTTCTATACTCTAGGCACCTGGTGGGCAGGCTCTCCTTTGCCTGTATACAGCTGGCCTTCAGTAAATGTGTATAAGTCAGCCCTGAATCAACAGCAGATGACTTTAAAATGTAATACTGGACCATGAGCACTCACTTTAAGTTACTGAGCAGGATTCTTTCTACGGAAGCCTTTCCTGAGCATAGGCGGTCCTAATATTTTGTACACACTCCTATTTGGCCCTCATGTGGCCACTCAGCAGATACTGAAGGCCTTCTAAGTGCCAGGTGCATTTAGGTGCTTCCAGGTGCCGAGGAAGAACAGAGAGATTAAACACAAACGTCCTCCCTGTCCCGGGCTGTTAAATTTGTGAGCTTGGGAAGGCCCTGAGGTTAGGATCTCATAACCCCAGGCATCTTCCCATTGCCATCCTCTTGTGTGTAGTAGGAGTTTAATAGCTACTCATCAAATAGGATTCAGTATCCAAACTACACCCCCACATGAAATTCCCACTCTCAAGAAGGGGAATGTTGCTAATTCCATAGAAGCACATCTCTCTTCAAACAGAGGAGAAAACTTGGTTTAAAAAAAAGACAGCAATATATGACCAAATAAATAAAAGTGGCAAGAAAGCAGGGAAATGGGAGAAATTAAAATAAAGCTATTAACTAGATTCATTATTCATTAAAAAAAATAAAAACTGCTTATGTCAGAGGCACTGGAACCAGAGTAACTCCATCTTGAACAGTAGCTGGGTAAAGTGAGGCTGAGACCTACTGGGCTACATTCCCAGACTGTTAAGGCATTATAAGTCACAGGATGAGATAGGAAGTCACCATAAGATACAGGTCATGGGCCGGGCACTGTGGCTCACACCTGTAATCCCAGCACTTTGGGAGGCAGAGGTAGGCAGATCACCTGAGGTCAAGAGTTCAAGACCAGCCTAACCAACATGGTGAAACCCCATCTCTACTAAAAATACAAAATTAGCTGGGCATGGTGGCGCATGCCTGTAATCCCAGCTACTTGGGAGGCTGAGGCAGGAGAATCACTTGAGCCCTGGAAATGGAGGTTACAGTGGGCTGAGACCACACCATTGCACTCCAGCCTGGGCAACAAGAACAAAACTCCGTCTCAAGAACAAAAAAGATACAGGTCATAAAGACCTTGCTGATAAAATAGGTTGCAGTAAAGAAGCTGACTAAAACCCACCAAAACCAAGATGGCCACAAGAGTGACCTCTGGCCGTCCTCGCTGCTACACTCTTACCAGCGCCATGACAGTTTACAAATGCCATGGCAACGTCAGGAAGTTACCTATATGGTCTAAAAAGAGGAGGTGTGAATAATCCACCCCTTGCTTAGCATATCATCAAGAAATAACCATAAAAATGGGCAATCAGCAGCCCTCAGAACTGACCTCTCTATAGAGTAGCCATTCTTTTAATCCTTCATTTTCTTAATAAACTTGCTTTCACTTTAAGGACTCGCCTTGAATTCTTTCTTGTGGAAGATCCAAGAACCCTCTCTTGGGGTCCGGATCGGGACCCCTTTCCTGTAACACTTATACCTTTGAACCATGTGATTTTGCTTTTATCTTACTCTCAGGAAATCAGTAAACATACAGGAAAAGTGCCCTCACCAATGTCATGGCCTTATTTATAATCACACACACAAAAAAGGAATAAGCCAAAATATCCCATAATTAGAGAATTGCTGTATAAATTGTCATACAGCCATTTGATGAAATCAGAAAGCCATTAAATATGACCACGGAACTACACTGTAACATGATGCAGTTATGACAGTACCAGACGAAAAAGTATATATACAGTGTGACTCTCACTTCTGTAAAATGCATTGGGAAAAAAAGACTGTGAAATTTCCAAAATACTGAGTTTAAATGGTGACATGAGTAACTGTTTAATTTTCCTTGTGGTTAAGTGTTTACTTACTTTTAAAAAAGTTTAGTTACTTTTAAAAAAGGAGGGAAGAGATTTTAACCCTTACTAAACTCTATGTCCTTGTTGTCCTGTTCTTGCCTTTTTCTAGACACCTGGTGAACACCTGGGTCAGTCCTCAGCTCGGACACCACGCACTGCTGCCACCAGAGTCCACAAAGATCACCTGTGAGCCACCAGTTGCCCAACCCATGTGCGCTTTTCTTTACTGTGCTATATATCTCAAATAAGTATACTGTCTCATTTTGGCTACAGGATTAAGCTGCTTTACTGAGAATAAGTATTCCATGCTATGGAAGCATCCATTCTCTTATTGCCTTCTGGGTGGGTAGCACCTTTTGGCAGACTTTTCAAATCATTCCATCGTTATTTGCTTTTTCAGTTTTTTCTTTCAAACCTTTTTTCAACTCACTTTAAAATGTTGATTTCAGGTTGGTGCGGTGGCTTGTGCCTGTAATCCTAATACTTTGGGAGGCCAAGGTAGGCAAATCACTTGAGCTCTGGAGTTTGAGGCCGGCCTGCGCAAACTGGTGAAAACCCCATCTCAAAAAATTAGCCAGGGGTGGTGGCCTGTGCCTTCAGTCCCAGCTACATGGCGGGGGCAGAAGCAGAAAGATCGCTTGAGCCCAGGAGGTTGAGGCTGCAGTGAGCTGAGAAAGCGCCACTACTCCAGCCTGGGTGACAAAAGTGAGACCCTGTCTCAGAAAAAAGAAAAAAAGTTGATTTCACAAAAATCTCTCAATCCTTCTATCCTCAGTCCATTTCACAGCAGTGAAGGCTGCCACCCATCCCAGACACCTTCTGTTTCCTTGACCATGATGTCCTGAGCCCTTTCCCCTTGCCCACTGCTTCTCCTTAATCATCTCTTCCTGGGGAAGCAGGTGACGCCCATGCTTCCCAGGATCAGCCCTGGGGAATGATGTCCAAGCCACAGCCAAAGCTTTACCACCCTTCATAAATGGATAAGAATGGATGTAAGCAGATATGGACCAGATCCACTTCTGTGTCTCAGACCTCTTCCACTGCCCCTGGAGGCTGGAGATGCACCTGGAGACGTGCCCTCTCCTCCCCAGCTGCACCTCCTGATTCATGCTGCAAAGGAGGCTTCATGAATCCCTTCCTTCCCCACTCAGACCTCCACGCTTCGCCACTCAGACCTCCAGAGCAGGCCCCTGCAAGCAGCCCCCTGCATGTGACTCTCCACCTTCCCTAAACCACTTGCTGTCCCCAACCCTTCAGCTCGTCTACAGGTAGTGTCCTGGGCACCTGCACCTCCAAGACTCATCTGAGCATCTGATTCTCCAGAAAGCACCTTCAACCTTCCCTCCTGCTCCAGGAGACACTGGTGGCCCTCCTGTGTGGCCAAGGTCTGCTGCATGTTTTGTTCTAATTGGTACCTTACAGGTGGGTCTCACTGCAAGATGAGGCGTTTTCATATTTACATTTGTTACACCAGGCATACATGGTCCAAGCACTAAAATTCGTTGAATGCATGCCAAGTAATTTTTCCCTTTTCTTACATTTATCTCTTGCTTATTACTTTTTATCTTCAGACGCGCTATAACCAATTAATCTTTACAATGTTTTCATGTCAAGTGTTGTGGCCTCCTTTCAAATTATCAAAAGCTCTACCTGCTTTGCTTGAGAGATAATTCAATACCCAGCCCAGACCAAAGAACAGACACACACACACAGCAAAGCAGGACAAACCCCCACGTTGCTGCACAGATTCCAAAGGGAAAGACACAAGCAATTTCCAACAATTATGAAGCTTTAGTTTTGTGTAGAGTAGCCTGGAAGGTTGCAGGGCATAGACCTTAAAAGTTAAACATTACTTTAAATTAATATTGCTTTTAAGTTTTTGCAACCTGCTTGAGTTATTTTGACCCACCTTACGGTGCTTCAAACAGATAGCTGGGCATTACTAACAGATGCACTCTACAAATATTTGAACTGAATTAAACCCATTTATATAGTACCAGGAATCAATATTAAGTAAAGTAAGTATTTTAAGAAAGATAATTATTCAGTTATTGACAAAGGGCTTATAACTGAATGCTCTTACACAGCTTTCAAGATATTTTAATTTTTAATATAAATTTAAAAAATACTTTGTATGTAAACTGAGGCATATCAGCTTCATAGTTCTCATTATGTTGGTATCCAGACTTCAAGCTATGCAGGGAACCCAGTTCAAGAAAATCTAACTCATAAAAATTTTCATTTAGAGTGAAAAATTGAGTTTTTTAAAGGATATGATTAAAATGAGTGTCCTTTTCCAACAAAGAAAAAATTCAAATGCTAACCCAACACTTTCATAATCTCTGAGTCTAACTTGATTTCTTAAATAGTCATCAGCTATCATGAGATCAATCCTTTTAGAATACAGTCTTCCAATCTGAAGTCTGTGGATCTCCATGGATCCCTGAATGGGTTTCAGGGAGACTAGAGGGGAGTCTCATGTGAAAGCACATGTGAAATTGTGTGTTCACAGGTCTCAAGGTCCTCCAATGAATTCAAGACCCCGAACAAATGAAAAACCATCAATTCAGAATCCATAAAAGCCCGGGATTTTAAGAGGCACATTTGTTTTAGAATAGGGATATAGCCTGAGTCCCTGAATGCCAGGCCACACAGAAAGTACAGATTCTTCACCAGGAATCCAGATCTGGGTAGCAATTTCAATGGCCCTATTTCAAGTAATGTTACAAGGCTGGATCAGGCAAAATCACCATTTCCGTTTTATACCTGTCCATTTTAAATGGCTACAGTATGCTTTAGCATGTTTTTCTCAGTCATTCCGATCACTATTTCAAACTGGAAAGCATATGTACTTTTACACTAAGTCACAGGAAGAAAGTGTGATTTAGGGAGACTGCTCTCCTACCCTACGTTATCTATGTAACACTGTATGTAAGGCACGCCCTTCTTTATAGTATGACATCCTATAAAGCAGCCTGCTGGATGCTCAGTGAAATCAGGCAGCCCCTGGCTGCGGGGTCCTCATGCAGGCTTTGCCTTCTTTCCAATGTTTCCTAAAATCCTTCCTTGCTCCTCCATCCCCCATTCATTCAACAAACTCAGCGCTTGCGGATGCACAAGTTAAGACCCTGCACACATTGCTTTACTGTCCAGAGGCGACATGGGGTCTGTGATGGAAATGCAGCATGTATGGGGAGGACCCCCTGAGAGGGCGTGGAGAACCCTTCCCAAAGGCCTGGCTGGGTGACAAGCAGTGGGGGGCGGGGTGGATCCACCTCAGACTACGGGAAACAGTGTGCCCCCATTCCTGCAATAAAAGGTGGAGCAGCCACCACTGGCTAGATGCTGGAGGACTTACCCCTTTATTGAGACCTAGGCCTCTAGACGGAACCATGCACAGAGAAAGAAAAGGCATGCCCCAAAATAACAGTAACAGAGGCCATCAGTCACAGGGCAAATGCAGGTCTCTTTTTAAAAATTATTTAAACATTTATTTGAGTATCTTCTAGGAGCCAAGCAATGTGTGAGGTCCGGTAGCCAAGGTTCCTAATCCACACTGCCTTTTAGCATTGCAAGGGCTCTGCAGGCCCCAACACTGACAGAGATGGGGCTGGGGGTGGAGCAGTGTGGATCTGATTCTCCCATCTCAACCGATAAAATCTAGGACCTTCCAGGCCACAGGTCTGTACTTCAGACCTGCTGAATCAGAATCTCTACAGAGGCCTCCCAGCAGCTGTATTTTTTAAGTACCCCAGGTGACTGTGACCCCTGGCGAGGGAGGAGGACCTCTACCCTAAGGGATCTGGGGACCTGCTGCCACCACCTATTGCCCATCTCTCTGAATGTTCAGAGTCCAGGCTCAGGCCATCTGCCTCGTCATTCCTCAGACTTGCCACACCTGCCTGCCTCAGGGCCTTTGCACTTACACTTCTCCCAACTGCCTCTTCACCTTTCCCCCTCCCTCAGTTCATCCAAGGTCTCAGCTCAAAAGTTACCTTATAAAAGAGGTCTTCTGACCAATCTATCTGTGAGAGCACCCACCCCCCAACAGCCCACTTAGCCTTTCTTTTTCTTCACAGCACTTATCACCAGCTAATATACCTATTTATATCTGTTTATTGCCTGTTTGTGCCCAATAAAAAAATGTAAGCTCCACAGCAGCAACAATTTTGTTTTGTTCAGTGCTGTTATCTAGGGTACTGAGACAGACGAACATAGTATGTGCTCCCTAAATATTTGCTGAAAGCCTGACTAAAAAGCTCCCCCAAATGACTGGGAATTGCTACTCTAGGGCAGAAGTCAGAAAACTGTAGGCTGGGTGTGGTGGCTGATGCCTGTAATCCCAGCACTTTGGGAGTGTGGACTGCTTTAGCCCAGGAGTTTGAGACCAGCATGAGTAACATGGTGAAATCCTGTCTCTACAAAAAAATACAAAAATTAGCTGGGCATGGTGGCACACACCTGTGGTCCCTGCTACTCAGGAAGCTGAGGTGGGAGAATCGCTTGAGCCCAGGAGGTTGAGGCTGCAGTGAGCCATAATCACACTGCTGCACCCCAGCCCAGGCAACAAAGTGAGACTCTGTCTCAAAAAAAAAATTAAAAACCCACAAAACTCTATTAAAAGAGCCAGAATAGCAAATATTGCAGTTTTGTGGGACATCTCTGTCCCAGCTATTCAACTCTACCACTGGAGAGTGAACACAGCTGAAGATAATTTGTAAAAGCATGGCTGTGCTCCCACACAACTTTATTGAAGGACACAGAAATGTGCATTTTATACAATTTTCAGGTGCTGTGAACTAGTATTCTTTTTGACTTTTTTCAACCATTTAAGAATTGTTAAAACTTTCTAGCTCTTGGATCTTACAAAAACTAGCACTGGGCTGGATATGGCCCATGGGCCACAGTTTGCTGACCTCTGCTCTAAGGGATACCAGAATGACTAAGGTGATTCCAGTCCAAGGAGTTCTTGTCCTTGAAGGAAAATGGTCAGCAGCCACCTATATATAATGCACCCTGGAGAAGTAAAGGCTGCAGTCACCTGAGTCCTGGGGAGTAGCGTGAAGATGGCTGTGGGATGACTTACGGACGGAGAAGGAGATTCTGGTGGAGGAAGAGGATTGGGGGGGGCGGGGGCGGGATGGCAATGCCAGCAGAGGCCCCTGGGGAGGGGAAGATGCAGCAGCAAGGTCAAGATGGGCAGGATGGTTGTTTTCATAACAAGCCCCAGGAGATTCTGTTCATGAACCAAATATGGGCACCACTGTGTTCCCTTTTATATTATTCCAAGAAAGCTGGGCTCCGGACAGCAGGCAATGAACAGCTGTTCAGAGCATGAAGAGACAGTGAGGTGCTGTAGTCTGAGCAAATCTGGAAGCAGCGGTGTGAGAGACAAATGGACGAGGGAGGAGGTGAACAGAGAGTAAATAATGCAGAGGGCAGAGCCCACCGGTCCTGAGGGTGAGGACAGTAATGTCACAAGATAAGAGCACCAGAGGCAGATAGTTGGGGCAGAGGAGGATGGTCTGAGATAAGTACATGCTTAGCTCAGGGCATCCTGTAGCAACCCACATGAAGATGTCTCACAGGCAAATAGAACCTGAGGGCTGGGGCTTGAAGGCCCGCATCAGCCAGAGGTGCAACCCAGGGCCTGTGTGGGGCGCACGTAGTGAGAGGCCACAGCCCTGGGGAGGGCCTAGTAACAGAACCAAGGCACGTGCCCAGTAAGAGTGGCAATGCCAGCATCACTGCTGCTTACTGAGCACCTACTCCACGTGGGCCTTTTATGTTGGTTCTAATCACAGCGTCATGGTATCACCACCATCCCACAGCGGAAGACAGGCCCCAAGAGGTAGCCGGTGACTTGCTTGAGGACACACAGCTAGCGCCCACCCATCCCTGGGCCACCCTTCCAAAAGTTAGGCCTCAGTCCAAGGCCTGCATGACCTGTCAAGGGCTCCAGATTCCTTCCCATCTGCATGGAAGAAACGCATCTTGTTCATTTCCAAACACATCCTCTAAGCTAATCCCCCATCCTCAATGCCACGTGGCACATGCTCAAACAAAAACTGAGTGACATCAACCTCCATGAAATCCTCAGTGGGGCAGCGAAGCCTCCTGGAATGTGAAAGATGCCCCCCATTTCAGGAGAATGAATAGCGATTTCCAACCTTCCAGTGCTCAGAGCAGGAACACTTTAATTTAGAGAGACATTCAAAATGGAAATCTTGTACAAACAGAGGGCACCTTGAGCACACTGAAAGTATTATTGGCAGAGAAAGTTCCAGAATGCTGCTGCTGCATGCATTCCAATGCTGGACTGTTTGCTGTTCCTCTCAAGCTTTTCTGAACATGTGAGCTGTATCGAAAAGCTTCATCTAAGTTGAAAAACAGTTTCTCTGCCAAGTGCTTGCAGCAAAGCTACATGGAGCCTTTATACCCAAAGGGATACTCCAAAGTGACACTTTTAAAACCTATCCAAAAATTATCTGGCACACCTTGCATGGGGGGACAGAAGTGTCTCTGTGTCCTTCTTTTAAGTCTGGGGGTCTTGAGCTGCTTGGACCACAGTGAAGAGCAAAAGATACACTATATGATGCCTTTAGATGGTCACAGATGGCCGCCAGTGCTTCTGCCACATTTGCTGAGACACTTGGTCTCAGAGCCCTGAACCACCATGCGTGAAGTCTGACCACGTGAGGCCAGACAGGTTGCCTGTGGGCACTCTAACAGCCAAGCCTGAGTCTGTCCTCAAGGTCCAGACCTGCCAGTGAAGAAGCCCCCTGCAAGTGGATGCTCTAACCTGGGTGTGGTCCCAGGCATCACGAAACAAAGAAGAGCCATCCCCGTCTCAAATTCCTGATCCACCAAGCCCATGGGTATAAATACAACGGTAACTGTTTTCTGCCACTATGTTTTAAAGTGGTTGGTTAAGCAGTGAAACATAACCACAACCAAAACAGTGCCAGACCTGTCACCACCTTTAATCTATTGATGCTCATACGCCCAGGTCACAGCCCTCAAATCAAGCCAAATATAGGGCTAAATCCCTCCTCACCCACAGCTTGCCCTACCAAGTGTATCTGTGCCCTCCTCCAGTCAAAGGCACTGCTTTGCATAGAGACTGGCCCGCCTGGGTAGAAGGCAAGGGCCAAGTCTGAAGTCCTCAGAAAATTCTGATCCCTATCCCCCCACCCCTGGCTGCTCCCCACCTGGCTGCAGTCCTCCCACCTCCCATCTGAAGAAAACAAGTGTACATAGGAAAGATGCATCCTTACTCACCTCTGAAGAACCCCAATCATCCTAGCACTCTGGAAAAGGGCAAATCTTCGACTTTCCTTGGATAAACCCTGAGGTGGCACAACTGAAATGTTTGCTTAAAGCAGATAAGAATATGCATCATTCTTCTAAGAAGAAAAGCATTCAAAGTTTTGCTTAAGCTGACCAGAAGGTTCGAATTAGAAGATACTGCTCTGTGTTTAATTCTCCAAATAAGAAAGGGGGATGTGTCCCTGCGGTGAGGGGGCTTCGCAGTTGCTAGTTCCCACCAAAAGAATGAGGTGCTCAAAGGTCAGGCATCATGATAGACCAAAGAGTGGCAGCTGCTGAACGGGAAGCCGTGCCTACTCCTGAACCTGAAGGAGCCTTAGCCCTAAACCTTGGAGCATGCCCAGACTAGAGAAGCACTCTGCAGCCGCCCTCAGCCTTCCAGGCCTGTGCTCATTCTAAGCGGTTACACAGGATGAAAAGTGGCCCAAATAAAAAGTCAATCTGGGGTGCCTGAGCAGGCTCTAGCAACCGGCATGCTCCAAGCCTAAAGCAAAGGGCGCTTGCTTATCAGACCTCCCTGTGGTCCTCGCCCTGCTCTGAGCCCTCCAGGAAGCCAGAACTCCAATTTGTTGTCTCCAGAAGCAGGCAAAAGAGCAGCTCTCTGCAACCCCAGCTGGCAGGCTCTGAAATCCAGCTATAAAACCCTTGTGATGCACACCTTCCCATAGGCTTACCCAATAAAATCCTACCAATATGCCCAGGGGAAAAAATTTTGCCCCAAGATGTCACCTTTTTTAAAGGGTGGTTAAAAGTATGGGTTTTGTAGATGATATCTGCACCTTTTACAACTTTTTGCACATAAAATGCCAACGTTAAGTAAAAAGGACAACTTAGAGGATAATACATACAGCAGGGTCAATGTTTTTGCTTTTTAAAGCTACATGCATTTTTTTTTTCTTTTTTCTTTTTTTTTTTTTGAGATGGAGTCTTGCTCTGTCACCCAGGCTGGAATGAAGTGGCATGATCTTGGCTCACTGTAACCTTTGCCGCCCGGGTTCAAGCGATTCTCCTGTCTCAGCCTCCTGAGTAGCTAGGATTACAGTTGCGTGCTACCACACCTGGCTAATTTTTGTATTTTTAGTAGAGATGGGGTTTCGCCATGTTGGCCAGGCTGGTCTTGAATTCCAGACCTCAGGTGAACCACCTTTTTCGGCCTCCCAAAGTGATGGGATTATAGGCGTGAGCCACCAAGCCCGGCCTAGCTACATGCATTTTTAAAGCTATTCATGTATTTGTTTATTTTAGAAGTCTGGGGACACCAGGTAATACGACCTTCCTATACTTTTGTATTACTTTAATTTCCGCAAATCACAAGAAGAAACTTTTGAACACCTTTTTTAAGTCTGTACAGGATGCTGCCATGTGAGGACACTGCGAGAAGGCGCCATCTATGAACAGGAATTGGGCCCTCACCAGATACTGAATCTGCTGGGGCCTTCATCTTGGACTTCCCAGCCTCCAGAACTGTGGGAAATAAATTTCTGTTGCTCATAAGCCACCCTGTCTGTGGTATTTTGTTACTGCAGCCTGGGGTAGGACAGCTCCCAAAGCAGAAACTCTGGGGTGTGGTCTGGCCATCTGGCCTTAGCAAGGTTCCAGGTGTTGCTGACGTGACCCAAATCTGAGACCCTCTGCTCTGGGCACCCACCTGTGTTCTCACTTGCTCAGTTCCTCTGAAGACATTCCACATTTTAGTAAGACAAAGAACAGAGTCAAATGCCAGAAGAACTCCTCTGTACAAACCTCTTCCATCGCAGGCGCTACTAAATTCTAGACGCCCCTTCTCCCTCTTCACTGCTCTTCCATTGTGGTTGGCAGATGCTGACAATGTGTTCTTCCATGTGTCCCCCATCTCTGTGCCCGCCGCGTGGGGGCCCTGGCCACTGCATCACCATGCCACCTCCTTCCGGGCCCTTCTGTCTATGCCATCCCCACGTGGCACTTCTCCCGTCTTTACACGGTTTGTCCAAAAAGTCTTTGTCCTTTTCCTGTTCAAGATTTCTGAGTTCTCCAGAACAATCTGGTCACCCGCTTCCAATTATCAGTGTTGAGCATGCACCCCACATATATGTATATGTACCACTATATTATGTTCTTTATAACAACAGAAATAATGTAAAAGGACAAGGCAAAAAGTATGTGTATGTATATATGTATGTGTGTGTATATACATACAAGTGTGTGTATATATATATAAGTATGTGTATGTATACATATACAAGTCTATGTATATGTATGTGTCTGTAAATATATACAAGTGGGTGTGTGTGTGTATATATATATGTGTATATGTACATGTATGTGTGTGTATATATGTGTGTGTGTATATATGTTAGAGTGTGTGTGTGTATATATAGCAGCTCCACAAATCTCTTTTACAACATTCCACATGGAGTAGGGCCCATGGGGCACACCCTGCCCCACCCTAGTGGATGCCTGGCACTGGCCCCCACCCCCAGCCCCCTTTCCCCCGCCCTATGTCTACTCCTCCATCACCTGCGGCAAGCTGGGCAGTGTAGTTCTGAGCACACCCAGTGCCCCCCAGCCTTCCTGAACCACAGAATGCCTTCCAGCTTCTTCTATCACATTCGTACTTCCTGACCAAGAAATAATCAGCGTCTGATCATTAATGGGCCTTTTCTCTAACGGACAGCAGGGCGGTGTTGATAAAGCTTGCTCAGCACCAGGTCCCTGTGGGCTGGACGGGGCACAGCTTGGGAGCAGGGCTTCATGTTACCTTTGCTCTGTGCAGCAAAGCCCTGCATGGTCACTGGTGTCTGGCTCTCTCCTCCTCCTGAGGGTGCCCAGTCTCCCTCTGTGGCTCCATCATGCATCAGGCACAGGTGAGGCACCCTCTCCAAATCAAGGCCAATCCCAAGGCTCCCTGCTCATGTTCCTGGACAGGATGCCCAAAGGATCCTTTGTGATGAAGCCTCCATGGTCTCCCCCACCCCACCCTGAACCCCCGCTCTTGCTCTGACTTCAAACCCTGGCTCTTCCCCTGACCCTCTCCACAAAGGCCCTGCCCTGCACTTCTCCTGCTCTCCGCTCTCTGGCTCTGTCATCTTTCCCAACCCTGTGCGGCCTCACCCCCTCTCAGATGCCCGCCCAGACCCTTTCTTTGTATCACCATGGAGTCTTCCGCCTGCTCCTGTCTCCACCTTCACGATGAGGACAAGGTCCCTGTTTGATTCATTCTCTACTTTACTCTGCAAGTTCAACATTACAGAGGAAATGGAAGATTACAATGAGAACTTTAATATGACTGACCTTCAAATCCCAAGACAGGCTTGAAGGTAAAGCTTTAAAGTTCTAAATATTGCATTCTATCCTTAAGGGGTTTCACTCTTATTCAAGAAGGCTGTAAGAACAACAGTTTGAAGGAACAGGATTTTCCACTAGAAGTCCCCACTCATACAAAGCCTTCTTTTTGTTTACATGAGAAGACACTATGATATAAATCTACCAATGAGTTCTGTGCAACCATAGATTCATGAGGTAGATCTCTGTGTTGAAAGATTTCCTCCACGGCCAGGTGTGGTGGCTCATGCCTGTAATCCCAGCACTTTGGGAGGCTGAGGCAGGCAGATCACAAGGTCAGGAGTTCCAGACCAGCCTGGCCAACATGGTGAAACCCCATCTCTACTAAAAAAAATAACAAAATTAGCCGGGCATGGTGGTGTGCACCTGTAATCCCAGCTACTCCAGAGGCTGAGGCAGGAGAATCACTTGAACCCAGGAGGCAGAGATTGCAGTGAGCCGAGATCACACCACTGCACTCCAGCCTAGGCGACAGAGCGAGACTCCGTCTCAAAAAAGAAAGATTTCCTCCACATATAAAGTAAAAAAGCAAAGCACAGAAAAATCAAGGGCATAAAACCATTTACATTTTAAAAGCACCTAAGACATTCTACAAATGGTACAATGCAAAGGAAACAACCAGTAACCCACGGGAAGGTGAACAGGATTAGCTGGAAGGGAGCGATGCTTTCCATATACTTCCAGACTGTTTGACTGTTAAAATTATGAATTAAAACTAAGCCCCAGAAAGATATGTAAAATATCAATGACCCTTGCATGTCACTATCCAAATTATAAACCACCCTTAACCACCAAGTACCTTCCCAGGTTCTCCACCTCAACTTAGGATTTGGCTGCAAAAATACTACAGAGAGAAAGCTCTGCAATAAGTATTTCAGTAACAATTATGTGACTAATTCTTAGAGCTGGAAATAAGATACACTATCTGCACATCTCCACCTGAGAAAATCAAGTACTTTCTGTCATTGGAAGCAGGACACCAATAAACTTGGAAACACGTTGCACTCACACATTTCACTCGAGGTTCTAGTCCAGCGTCACCATTTAACAAGCACAAAACATCTCTTCATCTGAAATACCAGAGGATACCATCAAATTTGGGGAGAATAGGGAGAAAGAAATAGAAAAATTCCAGACCACTTCTGAACTCCAGAAAGCAAAAATGGACTTTGATCCTGCAAATTACTACAGACAACAAAGAAGTGGACTCTCCTTCCTCCTCTCCTCCCAACTTCGCAAATATCAATGATGCCTGGTGTGGCATGGTAGAAAATGTTACCATGCTATTTCTTTTGCCTTTTTCTACTTAAAGAGATGTAGGCTCCACCTAAGGATATGTGACAATATTTTACCTCAAACGATAACAATGGAAAATGAAATATACTTTCCCTAAGGTTACCAAATGAATGAATCTCCTTAGTTTTCTGATGGAACGAACAGATACATTAAAGAAAAAGAGGGAAACCAAGGGGAGGGAATCCCTCCTAGTTCATGGGGGCATCCCACAGGGTGGGCTGCGGAGAGGTCACTGGAGTTTCATCCCTCCCACACCTGTCACCAGTGAGGCTAAGCATCAGGGCCCTCATCCTTACAGGCACATCCCTCAGCAGCCCTGTACTCTTCTTCCCCGCTGCCAATCACGTCCCTGGCTCAGGGCGGGGCTCTGGAACCTCATCTCTCTCTGAAAACTGCTAACAGGCCCCAGCTCCCGGCACATGCTCCCTTCTCAGCAGGCTCCAGCGAGCACCACCGATTAGGTTTGAGAATAACCGTTAATGAATCTATTTTTAGAATGCCTAAGGCAAAGAAAGCTGGGGCAAGCGGGGCGTGGTGGCTCACACCTGTAATCCCAGCACTTTGGGAGGTCAAGACGGGCAGATCACCTGAGCTCAGGAGTTCGAGACGACCCTGGGCAACATGGTGAAACCCTGTCTCAACTAAAATACAAAAAACTAGCCGGGCATGGTGGCGTGCGCCTGTAGTCTCCTACTCAGGAGACTGAGGCACCAGAATCACTTGAGCTTAGGAGGGCAGGTTGCAGTGAGCCAATCTGGCGCCACTGCACTCCAGCTTGGGCTACAGAGTGAGACTCCATCTCAAAAAAAATAAATAAATTTTTTTAAAAATCCATACTAGTTAAGAAGAAAAAGTAAATTCAGACTTCTCACCACGACTTTTAGGAGGAACTACTATGATCTAAGAAACCTAGGAGTGCTAACGCTGGGATCCAACGTAACATGTAAAGCTCTATTATTTCTTTCTGAAAGTAGGGCACTTTCTAAAAGTTAAGAAGAAGATGGGAACAAAGTATACAACTTAAGGATTAATGCAAAAGGCAAAGGAGAAATTTTTTTAAAAGATGGATTATGACTTCAGGGCTCATTTTATTGCTTACTGTTAAGAAGTTTTGTTAGTAATATATTTGATACTTGATCTTGATGTAGAATGAATGCGAAAGAGAAATTTGATGGAAATACACTTCACAAAAGAAAGAAATTACAAAACTTTGCTGAGGGCCAAAAGAAAGGTCTATCTAAAGTATGGGTGTCCAATCTTTTGGAATCCCTGGGCCACAGTGGAAAAATAATTGTCTTGGGCCACATATAACGCTAACAATAGCTGAAGAGCAAAAAAAGCAAAACAAAACTCATAATGTTTTAAGAAAGTTTATGAATTTGTCCTGGGCCACATGCAGCCCGCGGGCAGTGGCTTGAACAAGTTTGGTAAAGAAAAGCTAGGCGCTATTTCTGGATGGGAAGGCAATTTAATATGCAGAAATTATGAGGTCTGGGATTTTTCTCTTCTTTGCACTTCATTCTCTAGCTTTTCCACATTGAGCACCTTGTTTTCTCATTTCTCCTGTATTTTGTAATTTTCAAATGGGAGCTTAAAAAATTTTAATAATGGTTTTAAGCTAGCCTTTTCATTTTGTGTTCAAAAAGGGCAGAGAGGGAAAGAAGGTGAGAGAGGGATCTAGGAGGACCATCTCCAAACCACAGCACCCACGGGCATGATCCTCAGCCACCACAGCTGTGCCCCAACCCAGAGGGCTGTCAGTGCTCTGGGCTCATTCTCCATGCCTCAGTTTCCCCACCTATGAAATGGAGAGAACATCTCCCCTCTTCACGCCTCACTGCAGGATAGTTGGGTGCTGCTTCTCCTGCCCAAAATGAGGGCTGCATTTCAGCATCTACACTGGTGGGTGGGGGTGGGGTGGGAACGCAGGCAAGGTGAAGCCTAAGGAGGGCAGAGAGCGCTTCCGTTGGGATAGTGGGGTCCTCTCATTGAATTAAGAACCTAGGATAGAAATTCTGTTTTTTAAATAATTAGGATGCACTGGGGTAAGGGAGCAGGGAATCAGAATTAAATTCCACAGAACAGCAAAAGAAACCAAAAGAAAAAAAGAAAAAGATCCTGATTTGGCAATGTATGAGTTTTGCTGAGAAGCCCTGTTTACGAGGATCCATTATTCACAGCTAATGGCCATTTCCACCAGAGCCATCACTAGCCCCTTTGATGAGTGTCAGAATAACTTGGTTCTTTCCCTTGGTTACAACCAAGCCATCCTACACCACCAATGTTCTGTTGCTGATAAAACCCAGCTGCCTGCTCAAGTCTTTTTTAAAAAAAAAAAAAAAAAAAAGCAAGGTCACCCCCAGTATATATGTCAACCAAATTCTAACTTAGAACCAGCAGGCTTTGCTTTCAATTTCTAAAAATACTATAAAAATATTCAAAGATACTAAGAATAACATTCCAAGATCTCACCACCCTAACAAAATTGTTTTCCTTTTCTAGCACATCCAGACTCCCTCTGAAAAAGACTGCTTTGAAGTTCAAACGTTTTCTGCTGTTGCTTTACTTCACTTATTTATTTTGGTTACAGCAACTCTAAAAAGCTTAACCAAAAAGAAACTGATGGATTAACTCCAAATTCACTCTTGGCCCTTCTAAATGCAGGGCGATGAGGAAACCCTCAGCCCCCCTCAGAGGAGAAGTTCCCACTTGCTGGCCGTCACTGCCCTTCCTGCCTGGAAGGAGTCCCTCCATGTTGCAGGTTACTTTACAACACACACCCACACCTTTTTTCCCTTGAAGCTCATCAAGTGAAGTTATCAGCTCTTTAGAGAAATCCCTTCAATTCCTCACAGTATTTAAAACAAATTATTTTTACCTGCAAGGCAAAGGAGTATTTTCATTTTACAAATGGAAAAAAAAAATTGAAACAGAAGGTTAGAAAGCTTGCACCACGTGATAGGGTGAGACCGCTTTATTCAGAAAAGGGATGATCTGGCCAGGCACTGTGGCTCATGCCTCTAATCCCAGCACTTTGGGAGGCCGAGGTGGGTGGATCACCTGAGGTCGGGAGTTCGAGACCAGCCTGGCCAACATGGTAAAACCTCATCTCTACTAAAAATACAAAAATTAGCCGGGCGTGGTGGCGCACGCTTGTGATCCCAGCTACTCAGGAGGCTGAGGCAGGAGAAACGCTGGAACCTGGGAGGCAGAAGTCACAGTGAGGCAAAATCGCACCACTGCATTCCAGCCTGGGCAACAGAGCAAAACTCCATCTCAGAAAAAAATAAAAGTATAAAAAGAAAAAGAAAAGGGCTGACCCTGAATTAATCCTCCCCACATTTACCCTTCAGGTAATTCCTAGGACTTGTCATATTTGTAAGACAAAAAGCAAGACAAGAAATTTGCAGTAGACATTAATGTGGGTTCAGTACACATGAAGAATCTGGTAACTGGCCTCACCTATTCAACATATCTATTTGTGAAAGCTCTCCAACTTCACATCAGACATGTTCTTGACTTCTCAGCTGTCTTAGTCCATGTTCAGGCTGCTATCACAAATATACTACACAGTGGGTGGCTAATAAACAGGAATTTGTTTCTCACAGTTATGAAGGTTGGGAAGTGCAAGATCAAGACACTGGCGGTGAGGGCTCACTTCCTATTCACAGACGGTGCCTTCTTGCTGTATCCTCACATGGTGGAAGGGAGGAATGAACTCCCTTGGGCCTCTGTTACAAAGACACTATCCCATGCATGAGGGCTCTGCCTCCTGACCTAATCACCTCCCAAATACCCCACCTCTTAATGCCATCACTTCAAGGATTAGGTTCCAACATGTGAATTCCAGGGGACACAAACATTCAGATCACAGCACTGGCCTGTACAGAAGTACCATACATATCATATACCAGGACTAGAATCCAGTCACATATCTACAAAAGGTAGGCAGCTCAGGAGACATGCACACCACAAAGCACATTTCAGGCCACACGGGCCAACCCCAAAATGCAAAACTGATTATACTTTGCCCTGCCCTAATGTCTGAACACTTCAGGCATGTTCATCAAAATCTCTCTCATGCTGCACAAATTCTTATGGAGGGCTTACTCATGTCATTAAATCAAGTTTATGTCAGGTCAGACTTCCACATTCTGCCTTTATGGGCCACAAAGACTCCTGCTCCTGGCATTGTGTCACTCCAGCCTCTGCTCATTCCATCACTTTCACCTTCAACTCCACTGCCCAAATTGTATCCTTCTGCTAAATGCCAACTCAATGCCCCAGGTCTTAAGGGCATCCCATTCTCTCCAAGTCCCAGATCTCATTTCTCTCATGGTACTCAGCACTTTACCTTGACTACTTTACCTTGTCCATTTTCTTAGGAACTATGGTGGAAAATGGGAAAATTGTTGAAAATAAAGATGCCCAAGTCTTAAACCCTGTTTCTACCTACAGAACACTTCTGATACCACGTGTGTGTGCTTTTCCCATACTACCAACCAATTCTCCCACTCTCTAGACACCAAGCAAGTGGCCAATGATTCCATTCAATTCTGGCTCCTTGGAGAGAAGGCTGATTCCAGGTTTGGGGTAGAAAAAGAAAATGAGCCTGAAACATCTAGACATTAAGGAAGTGCTCAAAGACTAAAAGAAGCTACGGGTCCACAGTGATTAAAGAAAGATCACCATGAGTTTAACGGTGCCCCCTAAAATATGTCCACATTCCAATTCCTAGAATTTGTGATTGTTATCTTACTTGGAAAAAAGGTCTTTTTAGCTGTAATTAAAGATCTCAAGACAAAAAGATCATCCCGGATTATCCAGTTGGGCTCTAAATCTAGTGACAAATGTTCTTATAAGAAACACCCAGGAGAGATTTAGCAGACAGAAAAGGAGGAGGCCATGTCACCGCAGAGGCTGGAGCAGTGCAGGCAAAAGACAAGAAACCCTGGAGCCACAGAGGAGCATTCCGAGGGAGCTCAGCCCTGCCAACACCTTGGTTTCAGACTTCTGGCCACCAGATTTAGAAATAATAAATATCTCTTGTTTCAAAGGCACCTAATTTGGAGTAATTTGTTACAGCAGCCACGGGAAACTAATACAGTGAGAGAAGAAAAAGGGAGGGAAAGTTCTTTTCAAAACACCACCAGTTAATAACTATCAAAAGATTTACAAAATTAGAAAATCACTAACTGCAATCCCCAACAGAAAAATCGGTCCAGGCAAGGATCGTCAATGGACATGAAATGCACTGGCTGGAGAACAAGATATTCGCACAGGTGGCAAGAATCACTCCACAGATTGCATACTGCAAAAATGTACCTTCAAAATGAAGCAGCATAGAGGCCATTCCTTCCAGGGGTCACACTGAACAGTGTCAAGTGGGACCAGCCCAGACACTACATGTTCCCAACGACACCAATTAGCAAGCATTGTTATAAAAATGTTTAACTGAACTTAATCATAAGGAAACAATCAGACAAATCCAGAATGTGGGACATTTATAGGAAAACTGCTCTGGGCTTTTATATATATATATATACACACACACACACACACATATACATGAATATACGTAAATATGTATATACACACACACACATATATAGGTAAATGTTATGAGAAACAATCAAACAAACAAAAAAAAATCAGGCTACTATGGCTCCAGAAATTTAGAGGCATAAAACCAAATGCAACATGTAAATCTTGACTGGGTCCTAGATTTTAAACTAAACAAAAAAAAATTTTTTAATTAGCTGGCTGTGGTGGCACACACCTGTAGTCCCAGCTACTCAGGAGCCTGAGGCAGGAGGATCACCTGAGTCCAGGATTTTGAGGCTGCAGTGAACTAAGATCATGCCACTGCATTCCAGCATGGACAACAGATTGAAACCCTGTCTCAAAAAAACAGAAGCAAAAAAAAAATCTCAGAAAGGCTATCACAGTCATTTATGGTACAATGGGGGGAAATTTAAATATAGACTATATCTTAGATATTATTTTGTTAATTTTTAGGGAGTGATAATGGTAATGAGATTATATAGAAGAATACCTTTATTCTTAGGAGATATATGTAAAGTACTTGAAGGTGAAGTACTGTTACGTCTGCACCTTTCAAATATTTCAACAAAAAAAGTATATATAAAATATATACAAAAAAAGTAAGAAAAAGAAAAATGTGGAAAAAAATGTAGGCATCTGGTGAATCTGGGCAGAGAGTATTTGGGTGTTCACTAAAATATTCTTTTAGTAGAAAAGATAGAAAATCTGAAAGGAAATTTTGAAAATGTTGAAAATTCACAATTTCCAGCTTGTGCCTCCAACCCTCAGGCTCCTACAGGCCTAGGAGGATCCTAGGAACCTGCATTTGACAAGCCCAAGCTGATCTCACGCTCGGGTCAGCCTGGGAATGCCACCGGTACTAGGTTGTTGGATTTTAGCTGTCTGCTGTCCCCCAGGGTCCTCTGGCGTCACAGTGATATCTAACTTGCTGCACATCCTCCAAGGCAGAGGCTAACAATTGTGTCCCGAATGAATTTATGAGGGCAATTGCCGATCATGTGGGAGCTGATTATATTAAGGGCAAAACTGTACCGTAACCAAAGTCCCAACCTCAGGGAAGTTTGAAGTCTATTACCATAAACACAAAACTAAGACACATAAAACACTCTTTCATATGGTTTTCAGGTTTTATCTCTTTTCTTGTTAAGTAACACTGACAGGAAAGAAAGGTACCACAACTAAAATGTCACTACAACAAAATCCACAATACACCAAAAATTACATAAATGTTACTAGATGTCACAATGTCACAACTGTAATTTCCTTTTTTTTTTTTTTTTGAGATGGAGTTTCGCTTTTGTTGCCCAGGCTGGAGTGCAATGGCACGATCTTGGCCCACTGCAATTTCCGCCTCCGGGTTCACGAGATTCTCCTGCCTCAGCCTCCTGAGTTGCTGGGATTACAGGCGCCCGCCACCATGCCCAGCTAATTTTTTGTATTTTTACTAGAGACGGGGTTTCACCATGTTGGCCAGGCTGGTCTCAAACTCCCGATCTCAGGTGATCCACCTGCCTTGGCCTCCCAAAATGCTGGGATTACAGGCATGAGCCACCGCGACCAGCCTTAACTCTAACTTTCAAAGGCTAAAGGTGAAAAGATAATGGCTCCTAAACCCGACTAAAACATCAGAAAATGTCTTTTGTCTTTGATTTCTTTTCTTTTTTTGAATATAGGCAATCTATTTTCCTCCCTGCCCCTCTCTCCATATCCCTCCTCCCTGACTTCTTTTTTGTTCTTGTTTAAGGAATCAATCCACGTGGACAGGGAGAAGGGGAAGGGAGAACAGGCACCAAAATGCTACTGGATAGGAAAAAGAAGATAGGTGAATATGGGGACATGGAGAGGGCACGGACGTGGGCGGGCAGTGGAATGGCCCATTTATACTTAGGGTCAAGAACTGGGCCAGGCCTGGAGCATCTGCAATGGGTGTGGAGGCAGCAGAGACAGGAAGTCTGATTTTCAAAGACATCTAAGAAGCAGGACAAGTTCCAGCTCCTGTCCCACCCTGGCAGAAGACAGGTGGCTCCATCTCTGGAGAGGGTGGAATCAGGGTCTCTGACAGAGGAGCCCAGATCCCCCTGGGACAATCAGGTTACTGATTAGGCTACAGCCCTCGCTCACTGGGCTCCAGGATGCAGGCAGCCAAGCCTCCCCTTCCTGCAGGGACCAGGGAGAGTCTTGTGACAATAGCCCGGGAGGACCAACCCGCAGCACTAAGGTCAGAAGGCCCCAACAAGGAAAGGTTCAGCTCACAGAAGGCAGTGCCCATCCCTACAGAGTCCCCCACTCTTAAACATGGGCAGGCCATCTGAGGAGAGCCTCACACAGAAACGGGAAGGCAGCCTAGAGGAAAGAGATCCTTCAGTAAAGAGAAAAGAAAACAAATTTTTTAAAAATCCAGAGAATATACCATGAAATGAAGACCATGTTTTAGTTTTTTAAAAAAGTTCACAGAACAAAAAAGAACTCTTATACATGAAAAAGTATGGCAAAAATAAAATGTAAAAAAATCACTAGAAGAGTCTAAATACAAAAATGAGGAGACGTCCCAAAAGTGCAACAACCTTAAAATGGTAGAAAATAGGAAATAAGAGGATTGGTCCAGCAATCCTATATCAGAATAGTAGTAGTCCCAGAAAGAGATGAAATAGAAAATGGGAGGGGAGAAAATCACCAAAGAATAATTCAAGAAAATTCCCATAACTGAAGAATAAGTGTTTCTGGATTGCCAGGGCACAAAAAATGCCCAACATGCTGGATAAAATACACCAAGGCCTAGCACTGTGGATCTTGGAACACCACGGATGTATCAGTCAGGGCAGGCATTGTTAAACTACAGCAATGAGCAGCCCAAAAGCCCTCAGAGGCCTACAACAACCAAGATTTATTCTTCAAGTTTATTTCAATCGAACAGGGTCATAGCATGGGTGGGAGGGGGTTCTGCAAGCTGAGTATCATCATTGTCAAGCTGAGTTCAGAACCTAACTAGAGGGAAGGAAAACTCTGGCAGCAACTTACACTCGCAGCGAAGTGCAGGCCCAGAAGTGGAAGTAGCACTTCCGCTCAGCTCCTGGGCAGGCCACTGGCACAACAACCATGTGAGGCCATCAAGCTCAGGGAGTGAGGAAGGGAGGGCAATCCTACCAAGAGCCTGGGGGACAGGGGGCTGGACATGTGTGGCGAGCACTGACAACTAGACCCGAAAGGAAGATGCTACAATCTTCAGAAAGAGAAGGACTGGCTTGAAATTCTTCAACAATACTGGAGGCCAAAAAGGATTGGACCAATGCTTCAAAAATTCTAAAGGAACTTTTTTTCTATAATTCTACACTATCAATCTATCAGACATGAAGGCAGAAAATATACTTATGGGTAAAGTCTCAGAATTCACTTCCCATCACATCCAAACCAGGGAGTGAAACAAGAGGGAGTCAGGAAGAGGAAGTCAGGAAACAGAAGTCCTGCAGTGGGTAGGTCCAGGCTGATGTGGGTGCAGGTGGTGAGGCTGGCAGCTGACCCTCAGATGTATCCACAAGTTGCAGTAGAAGGCCCCGGGGCCCTTCTTCAGGAAGGGGTGCTGACCAAGGGGCATCCTGATGCTCATGAACATCATGGGGGAAGACGCGACAGACAACTGGCAAAGAGTTTGGAGTTGGATCTGTCATACTACATAGAAAGCAAGCAAATTAGAACACCAGCCAATTATTCGCTGGAGAAAACAAAAAGTAACCTACAACATGACTCACTAGGAACAGCATTTACATAGTCATGCTTGTAAACACTGCATGATGAGCTCCGTGAGATTATACCACATCTATATAGGAGGGTGGAGAGCATGTACAGGGGCAAAGAGAAGAAAAAAATCATCTCCCAAAGAACAAAGTCACTAGGTAATATCTACAACTGAAAAATCAGGAAGCCAGGTGATTCAATGGCACAATGATAAATACCAAAATAATCAACTAAAAGAAGTGAAATGCCTAGGGGTTGGGTGCGGTGGCTCACGCCTGCAATCCTAGCACTTTGGGAGGCTGAGGTAGGCAGATCACCTGAGGTCAGGAGTTTGAGACCAGCCTGACCAACATGGAGAAACCGTCTCTACTAAAAATACAAAATTAGCCGGGCGTGGTGGCGCATGCCTGTAATCCCAGCTACTCAGGAGGCTGAGGCAGGAGAATCGCTTGAACCCAAGAGGCCAAGGTTGCAGTGAGCCGAAATCACGCCACTGCACTCCAGCCTGGGCAACAAAAGCGAAACTCTGTATCAAAAAAAAAAAAAAAAGAAATGAAGTGCCTGCTTCTGGGGAGAGGGAAATGGTGGCAGGGGATACTGTTTGGCCCTGCAGAAGCTATTTAACTTTTTACACTATATGCATGTTAAAAAAAAATACGTTAAAGGTAATTCAAGCAGTCTGCCCAGGAGCTACCTAGTAGGTTGGCCTGATTTTTGATTCAGCACAAAGGGCAGAAACTGAGTTCTTTCAATGAGCCATTAGCACTGCTATAAATGTTTCAAGGGCTGAAACACATAAGACACAATCCCTGTCCTCAGAATCGGGATTTCATTGAGAAAAAAAAGCCAACATATGAATGGGAAAGAACTCAAGTACAATGCAAGTTAGCAGGTGGTCAACCCTAAGACATGAAGAAGAGTTATGTGGTATCAAGGAGGAGACTCAGGGCCAGAGTAGGTAACAAAGACTTTGGGAAAGATGTAAGGAGGAGAAGGAGAAAGGCTAACAGAACTTGAGTTCTGTTCCCGAAACAGGGAGGGCATTTCTGCAACGGAGGCTGGCTAACAGTGAGGGTGTATATAATTGGGAAGTATGGACAGTTTTTTCAAACAGTGGTGAGATTTTACTTGTAACAGGGAGGGCAAGATTACTAATTAGGAAAAGCAGAGATTAGAAAACACAGACATCACGGTTGAGGGACTACATTTTCAGTGTCCTTCGGTGTTATCAATCACAAGCCCTGTAACATTTTTCCCTGCAGAGTGGCTCAGACTTAGCATACCTGCTCCTTATTAACACTGCCTCCACCCTGTGTTAAACCCCTCATAGCTAAAATCAACCATGTCGTGGGCTGCACCCCAGGCCTGCCTGCCTGCTTGCCTGCTCTGGCCCCTGTCTGCCTGGGCAGCCTCATGGCTGTAATTTTGTTTTCACACTCCAACAATACCATCCTTCTTTGCATTCCTAGAATACTGCCTGCTCTTGGCTGCCGCAGGACCTCTGCACACACTGCTCCTCCTAGAACACGCTCTCTCCTATGACTTCCCTGTTAACTCCTACATAAGCCGTCCATTCTCAGCTCACTTTTGATTCCTCAACAAAACAAACGTACCTGATTGCTCTCACTCAGGAGTTCCTGGCATAGTTCTCATGCATTCCTTTTCCTCACACCAGTTTGTAATTTAACCTTCATTTCCAATTCATGCCCACCTCACCATCTTGGCCAGTGGGTCTCAAAGTGGTGTCAGGTCACAGCAACAGCATACAGAACAACCTATTAGTGATGCAGATTCTCAGGCCACATCCCAGACCAACTGAATCAGAAACTTGAGGTGGGAGACAAGCAGTCTGTGTTTTTTAAAAAAAACCCTACTGATTCTGATGCATGCTTAAGTCTGAGAATCAACGTGCTACACTATGTGGTATAGGGTCTGTACCATCACAGCACAGACCAGTTAAGTTTTAGCACCCCATGGTGTCTCCTAGTGCCAAATTCAGGGACAACAGTAAGGACTTGGTAAGATTTCCTGGTCAGATGAATGATTGGTTAAAAAACTTTCCTGCTGGGAGCGGTGGCTTACGCCTGTAATCCCAGCACTTTGGGAGGCCGAGGCAGGCGGATCACGAGGTCAGGAGATCGAGACCATCCTGGCTAACATGGTGAAACCCCGTCTCTACTAAAAATACAAAAAATTAGCCGGGCGTGGTGGCGGGTGCCTGTAGTCCCAGTTACTTGGGAGGCTGAGGCAGGAGAATGGCGTGAACCCGGGAGGTGGAGCGTGCAGTGAGCCGAGATCGCGCCCCTGCACTCCAGCCTGGGCTGAACAGAGCGAGACTCCGTCTCAAAAAAAAAAAAAAAACTTCCCATGGCTCCATAAATCCCCTACTTTATTAATTCTAAACCCTTGCAGCGACTATAGAATACCCCCAAAATAAACATTGAAACTGCTGTTCGAAGACCTGGGTTCTAGCTCCTGCTCCCAGGCCTTTCTGGGTTCAAATTTTGGCCCTCCTTCTCTTACTATCTGTGTGATCATCCATAAATTTCCTAATCTCTCTTGGCCTTAACTTCCTCACCTCTAAAATAGGAATCATTATAGTACCGATTTCCCAGGGTTGCTCAATGATTGAGACAATGGCACTAAGAATCATGACTCACACAGTTAAGCACTCAACAAATGTAGGTAGTATTACTGCCATAATAATAGTTATTCAACTTTAAATGGTCTTTCCTCTTGGGTCTCAGCTTTCTTACTCAAGATTGACCACACACACACTTTAGACTAGTTCTTCCTCCCTTGCAAAACTACACACATCTAACACCCATCCGACGCCTGAAACCTCCCCTAGCAACCCGGAGTCCTGCTGGGGTTTTCCAGCTCCACCTCCTGAACAGCTGGGCTGTAGCACACAGGCTGGATCTACTCATACTTGCCTTCCTAGAGCTCAACTGAAGTCACTTCAGACAAGTGAAGTACCCACTCACCTCTGGAATCAGATCTTGGTAACGCCAACAGGTTAGCAGGTGATTTCATTTCAGTGTGTGTCTGGGTGGCTAGCATTCAAACGCAGCTCACACTGGGAGCTATTTCTAGTCCAATTTTGCTACTTGGTAACGTATTAATAGCATCAATTAAAACATTCCCAACGAATAGATCTTTAAAAGGACGGTTTCTGACTTCCCTAACAAGCAGAGGGCCGACCACCTGCCTGCGAAGTGCCCCTCCTGCCCTGTCTCCAGGCAGCATGCTGTGAGCGATGACAGAAACTGGACCCGCGCACAGAGAAGCTGCAGGCACGCCCTGCCCGGCCACCCAGCTGCCTGCCTGCTTCGCCCGGCCGCCGAGCCCCGGGGGAAAACCTAGAATGGGGATGCCGGTGCGCCCCGACACCTGGGCACGGCCGCGGGCCGGGGAGCCGCCCACACTTGGCTCCCCAAGAGTTAAACGCTGAGTAATTTTCCTGAGGAGCAAACAGTCGGAGCGGGGGCTCTGCCAATGGCCACAGTATTTTTATCCGACTTAACCGACACCGCGGCGCGACCTCGGCTGTCCCCAAGGGTATCCCCACGCGGCACGCTCCGGAGTCCCCGACCGGGACCCTCGCCGGCTCCCAGCGCGACATGGACGACAGCGCCGCCGCCGAGTCCCCCGCGCCCGGGCAGGAGGCAGAGACCTGGGGCCGCCCGAGGACTGCTAGGGGCCCCTCCGCCCGGGGTCCGCGCCCGGGCCTAAGCGGTAGGGGGTGTGCGCCCAAGTTGGCCCGCTTTGCTGCAAGAGTGGAAAGGGGTGGGAGCAGAAAGCGCCGGCCCCGCCCGGGGCGGGGAGCAACGCGGGGCTGCAGGGCCGCCTCGGGGCCCCGAACCACCGCCGCCCGGCCCACCGCGGCGCCGGGGAATGAATGGGGCTCCCCAGCTGGCAGCGGGCGCGCACTCACAGGCGACGTAGGCCAGCAAGGCGATGCCCAGCAGCAGCTTCATCCTCCTGCGGTTGACGGCAGACACGAGGCGCAGCAGCGCCTTGCTCACCATCCCCGGGAGCCGCGCGGGTCCAGGGCCCTACCGCGCGGGGGCCCGCCTGCTGCACAATGCGCGGCGGCGGCGGCGGCAGCGGCCCCGAGAGCCCCGCCTCCTGCCGCCGCGCGCCCCCGCCCCCGCGCGCCTGCTTCCTGCTGGCGGGATCACCGCGCAGGCGCGCCTCCACCCCCTTCCTCCGGCTCCGCCCCCGCCCCTCCGGCTTCTCTACCCGCAGGCGCAGTTGCCGCCTTTCTTGCCTTGGTTTTCGAAGAATGTGACCTGGAGGGCTGGTGGGCGGTGCGGCGCGCCGCGGCGCATGCGCGTTCCGGTCTGTTTTCCCTGAGTTAAAGCGCGCGGGTGCCAGCCGGGAGGTGCGGCTGGATTCGTTTCGCTGAGGTGCGTCCCCAACCCAAGGGCACGACTGCAGTGGCCAGTTTCCGAGCCCCGCCCGGAGGGGGGCACGCGGTGGGCATTCCGGTGTTGCAGTGAAACGAAACTTATTTGCTAAACTTGGCCGAGCCTTAGAAGTTGAATGCCTGCCTCAGAAAGTTGCCTCGTTCTCTGGGCTGTTTAGTTGGCTTTTTTTAGTTAGAATATCGGCAGCGAAAATGATAAATCCCCTAAACCTTGCCGAAGTAAAAACTGGCTGCGTTTTTTTTCCTTGGCTATGATCAACTGGGGTGCCTTTGTTTTAATAATAGTCTTTTATTATTATTTTAAAAAGCAGTGCTAAGTATATTAATTTAGGATAGACTTGGAAAAGAAAAGATGAAATTGCGCTGTCTCTGCCTAGAGAAAAACCCTGACCATGTTGTCGTGTGTGTTTCATTCAATCTTTTTGTTGAGTATATCTGTTTTATGAGTGCTGTACTGATTGCATAGGAGGTACCTGTGTTTAAAAAGCATTTACTGAATGATGATTACAAGCAAGGAGATGTATCAGAAGATCCACAGATAATCGGAAGCTTGTCATTGGATCTGGAGAGAGCTGGTCCCATGGAGGAAAAAAAGACAGGTACACACAGATGTGTGTGATGCCACATTAAGAGAGATCCCGGATTTGGGATCTGCAGGCTTCAAGAGGTCATCTTCAGCTATACGGAGAAGTTGAAGTCAGCAGCGGCTCTCCTACCTCTTGGAACCTCAGGCCATTTTGCAAAACTTAATAGATCACCCTCCTTTAGATTTATTAGAAACCTCCAAGAAAAGGAAATATGGCAGCTGGTACTAAAGCAGCAGCTTTATGTTACATCTTTCAAACTATAGTGCAAATGATGTGATTCTGATAAAACCTACCTCCATCCTACCCCTCCCCTAAACCTGTTGAGAATCCCTGACTAGGAGGAAACACTGAGCGGTTTGCTAAGGCGGATTGCCCCTGCTATGCATGCTGCCCATAGATGGAGTGGACTTCTTTCGAGAAGCCCAGCTCCCTGACTCTGACGTGTCCAAGGAGGCTGCCAAGTGACAAAACACCTGGCATGGGAGCCTGAGTCCTGGGTTCCCAGAGGGGCCAGGCCCCCAGAGCACACCAGTTTGGAACAAATCGATTTTGTTTGTAAGTCTGCATTTCCTCGTGGCTTTCTGGCTATGGTTTTTGAAAAGAGAACTAGAGCAAGTGGAGCTCTAGGCCTTTCCCATTCCATGACTCCGTGGTTTTTAGATTAAAGATGAGGAGCAGAAATGGAAGAAAATAATAGTTCATTAACATTTGACCTATGGGCAAAATCAGACTGAAGCTTCTAGGCGGATTTCAAGCATTTTAGGTTTTAGGTAGGGTTTAGTTGATAGGTATCCTATTAGACGACAAAGGTCAGAAATTGTGGGGTATTTGCCATTTCTGTACTAAACTCCTTAAGCCCAGCATTCCCAGTTAGCATTTTTTTCTGCTGCTGGACACTACTGCCAACTTCTGCCCTGTGGGATTAAGTATATGGAAATACCGTTAGCAGCTGCAGTTGAAATAGCTGCTGCTGTCATTATTGCCACCCAGAAGGCGGTTGGTGTCCCAGGACACTGGTGTCTTGCTCAGCCGCAGCCAGAATTAAAAAGTAAGCAATAGTAAGTGTGCACCCAGTGGAGGTAAGAAGGCCTGAGGGAGGGAGATGCCAAAGAGACCCTCCAAGCTCCTCCGGGGATCTTGGGCGTAGGCAGCACCATTTCCCTGTGCTCCTTGCCTCTCTTGTTTCTTCCCAGACCCCCTTGTTTCTTCCCAGCCCATCCCCACTTCCCCCGCAGGTTCTGGGCTCATCCCTCCCTGCTCCCTCCCCTTACTGTCAACCCCCTCATATTTCCAGTGGATAGGTTAACAACAATATTTTTGAGCGATTACATATTTTTGAACAAGTTACAAAGGTAGTGTTTTTGACACTCAGGGTAATTAAAAAATGAATTGTAATATGACTTCTAAAGTGTTTAAAGCCTAAGGAGTGGAGAAAATTAACATTTATAAACCTCTACAATGTGCCAGGGACTGTTATGCAATGCACTTTCATTGTTACCTCATTGATATGGTTTGGCTCTATGTCCCCACCCAAATTGTAATCCCCACATGTCAAGGGAAGGACCTGATGAGAGGTGATTGGATCATGGAGGTGGTTTTCCCTATGCTGTTCTCATGATGGTAAGGGAGTTCTCATGACAGCCAATGGCATTTTTTTTTTTGAGACGGGGTCTCACTCTGTTGCCCAGGCTGGAGTGCAATGGCACAATCTCAGCTTACTGCAACCTCTGCCTCCCGGGTTCAAGTGATCATCCTGCCTCAGCCTCCCAAGTAGCTGGGATTACAGGCGCCCGCCACCACGCCTGGCTAATTTTTGTATTTTTAGTAGAGATGGGGTTTCACCATGTTGGTCAGGCTGGTCTTGAACTCCTGACCTCAGGTAATCCACCCGCCTTGGCCTCCCAATGTGCTGGGATTACAGGTGTGAGCCACCACACCCGGCCGGTTTTAAAAGTGTTTGGAAGTTTCTCCTTCACGGCATTTCTCTCCTCTCCCCTGCCGCCATATGAGGAAGGTCCTTGCTTCCCCTTCACCCTCTGCCATGATTGTAAGTTTCCTGAGGCCTCCCCAGCCATGCGGAACTGTGAGTCCATTAAACCTCTTTCCTTTATAAATTAGCTAGTCTCCAGCAGTTCTTTATAGCAGTGTGAAAACTACTAACACACTCATTTAATTCTTGCAACAGCCCTGTGGGGCAGGGTTGCCATTGTTGCTGCTCTTTAAAAAAAAAAAAAAAAAAAAAAATTTTAAATTAATTTTTAAATCAACAAAAATTGTATATATTTATGATGTATCATATGAGGTTTTAATATATGTATAGATGGTGGAATAGCTAAAACTAGTTTGCTTCCACCTTTTGGGTATTGTGAATAATGCTGCTGTGAACACAGGTGTACAAATATCTCTTTAAGACCCCACTTTCAGTTCTTTTGGGTACATTACCCAGAAGTGGAATTTTTGGCTCATAAGGTAGTTGTGTGTTTAATTTTTTTGGGAACTTCTATACGGTCTTCCTTAAGGGCTGTACTGATTTACATTGCTGCTGTCATTAATAGATGAGGAAACTGAGGCTCTGAACATTTGATAAGTGTCCCAACACTTGGTAGGTGGCAGGGTTACCAGTTACTTGGCTTGGTAAGTAACAGGGTTACCAGTCACAGAGCTGGGAGTGTAGGGCTGGAATTTTAAGCCATGATTTTCCCTGTGTGAGGATGCTTTTCTGGAGTTGAGTGCAGACTTGCACAGAAATGACTATCACTCATAGCAAAATGTGGTGAGTGGTCACTGTGGGACAGGGTCGCATGAATGGCTAAGGAATTTCACAACAGGAAGGTATGCTTCCAGGTCATGGACTGTGGTTTGCCATGCCGGGACCAGCTGACAGGCTCACAAGAGCTGACAGTTAGCAACTGTTCCTCTGGGATTATTTGCACCATGGAAATAACGCAATTGCTACATACCAGGGATTCTTTTTTTTTTTTTTTCTTTTAACTAGCATACTTCTGCTTGCAGATGAGAACAGTGAGAGAGAGAAAGCTTTGCAGAGCAGGACCTACGTGAGCTGAATTTGAAAGGATGTAGTATAGGATTTGGACTCATACATCTTGGGCAGGGGCATCCCTAAGGAAATAGCAAAGGCAAGGATGCTGGGGAGTGAAAGGTTGCCATAGGAAATAGTGGGGATCTCTGGCAGGAGGAGCAGAGAACAAGAAACGAAGGTATATTGGCCAGGCGTGGTGGCTCACACCTGCAATCCCAACACTTTGGGAGGCTGAGGCAGGTGGATCATCTGAGGTCAGGAGTTCGAGACCAGCCTGGCCAACATGGTGAAACCCCATCTCTACTAAAAATACAAAAATTAGCTGGGCATGGTGGTGGGCACCTGTAATCCCAGTTGCTAGGGAGGCTGAGGCAGGAGAATCACTTGAATCTGGGAGGCAGAGGTTGCAGTGAGCCGAGATCGCATCACTGCACTCCAGCCATGTTGGTAGAGTGAGACTCCATCACAAAAAAAAAAAAAAAAAAAAAAAAAAGAAGTGAAGGTGTAAATAATGTTGGAAAGGAAGGCCATAAGGGTTAGTATAAACTAGGCATCAATCACACCCTCATCAAGGGTTACTTTCTTTCCTGGCTACTCACTAGCAGTGTCAGCCTCCATCTTCATCTTTGCACTCTACTCTGAACACTGCTGGGCCTAGCTTGTGTCACTGCATCTTCCAGGCTTCGCATTATGCTCTGCCAAGAAAGGGCCCCGGAGGAAGATCAATGGGGAGAGGAGAGATGCTTCTGTGTCAGTTCTTCTAGCGTGGCCATGGCTAGTGGCTGCTGATAGTTGCTGGCACTTGCTGCAGTGAGGATGGGGTGATTCTGGACTCAGCAGCCCCAGGGAGGCAACATCTTTTCAGAAGTTGACCCCTGTTATCAAGGCCCCTCTTCTCAGCTGATCTGCAGCTGACAGCTTCTGATCTCTGGGCATCACTTCTTTCATTTTTGCTTCTTCAGAATCTCTCTTCTCCCTTTGGTGCTTCTTAACCCTGCCAGCATCTTTGGAACCAAACCCCTATATTAAATTTTTCCTGTTTGAAATACTTAACAATAGTTTTCCTGACTAGATCTCAATTGATACATCCTCACATCCTCCTCTGATGAAGGTGAGAAAGAAGGCTTGGTCTCAGACCTCCTCCTGAGGTGCCTGCCATGAAGCTGCTCCTCCCTGCCATGCCAGCTGTGCCATGGCCACATAAGTTTTCCTGTTGGTAGTGACAACCCTGCGTGTATTGGAGTCCCTTTCTGGAGCATATGTTTCTCTTTCCTAGGGTCTCAGGAGAAGGATAGATGCAAGGCCTTGCTGCCCTGTTGCTTTATTTCCCAACATACCATCACCCCAGGATGAGTGAGTATGCTAGATCTTCTTACTGGTTTAGGCAGACAGATGGGTTTAATATAGCATCATAAATAACTTAAAATTGCTTATCTAACATTCCCATTCTTGAGTCTTTTTTAAAAATATACTTTATTTTTTAGAAGGCTTTATATTATGGAAAAATTGAGAAGATGGTGCAAAGAGTTCCCACATACCCCATACCATTTTTCCCCTATTATTAATATCTTGCATCTGTATGGGACTTTTATCACTTCATACCAACAGTTCACACTATCAACATGATTTGTGACTGCTGATGTGGACCTTGATCAGATCAATGCCAACTGAGGTAGTATTTATCAAGTTTCTCCACTGGAAAATTATTCTTTAACCCCTTTCCATACTGTACTCTTTGGAAGGAATTCACTATATGCAGCCCACAATCAGGGAGTGGGGCATCATGCTTTCCTTCCTTGAGGGTGGAGAATCTGCATAAATTCTTTGGAATTCTACTGCACAGGAGTTTGTCTCTTCTCTCCCTTTGTTAATTTGTTCCGTCATTTATTTATATCAGTATAGACTCATGGATATTTATTTTATACTTGGAGTTATAATACAGTACTACTTTATTAATTTTATCACTCAAATTCTGCCAGTGTATGTTATAGGAAGCTCTTTTGTTTGGCTTCTGTGCCCCTTTGACATACTCCCATCATTGTGGAGTTTCTAGGTTATTGTTTTTGTCTTAGCATTTTCTTACTTTCTGGCACTCACAAGAAACTCCAGACTCATCTTGTATATTTCCTGCCCCAGTCCTAGAATCGGCCATTTCTCCAAGATCCCTGTTTTCTTTTATTGGAGAATAGTATTGGAAACCAAGATTTGGGTACTAGGTGTGCTAGTGCTACTGGAGTGTTGTTGCTTCTAGGTGTTCTTAGCTCATAGAGCAAAGAAATATGTGTATGTGCACTAACCTTTTTATATACACATAGCAACAAATATATCTATAGATAATCTATATCTATAAACAGGAGTTCCTACTGAGGTCTCCAACTCTAATACATTGCCACATGGATCATTTTAGGATCATCTCCCTAAACCTGGCTCCCACCATCTGCCATCCGTTTACTAAATCATTCGATTCCAGTACACACGTATAGCAGTGTCATTTGTTTCTTTGACCACGGGATGGCATCTATGCAGATTTCTATCCTTTCCCTTCACACACACACACACACACACACACACACACACACACCCCTTTCCTCTCCTCTGCTCTCCCCACAACCTTGCATCCCACCCCAACTCTGGAACTCCTATTCATTCCTGTGCTGTGCAGTTTGTCTTCCCTTGTTTTGTCCATACCCATGAAGGACTTACCTTCCTCATCTATACCTGCTAATAAAAGTGTTTTCTAACAAAATCCAGTTCCCTCCCTAAGACGCACCAAAGACCCTTAAAATATTTTCTTAAACCTGACCAGGATAAGAGACTGGCCTTTTGTCTACAGACAGTGGGGTGTGACTGTCTGTCTCAAGCAGTAGCTCCCATCATCCAGGCAGGTTTTCCAGCAGCATCGGCTGGAGTGGGAGCGGTCTCAGGAGAAGCTCATGCATAGAAGGCTGCTGCAGCAATTCAAGTGGACAAGAGCGAGAAAAGCTAGTAGTTGTGGTGGAAAGGGCATAGGAATAACTTTGAGGGTTATTTTAGAAGTTGAATGACAGATATTCTGGTTGATTGTATAGATCAACAGGGAGAAAGAGTAATCAAATGAGACTCTCATGTCATATGCTGGGGTGACAGGTCCTCCTGAGGTGTTAGTGAAGACTGAAAGTTTTTTTCCTCCCAGGTGTTTGTATTTTAATGATTCTCCTGGACTAGAATTCAAAGTTGACAAATAGGTCTTATATGCCTGCCCACTCCAGGAGAAACGTGGGGTTGCCTGAAGCTCTGAATTAGGAAGGGCATCCAGACACAACAGGAAAGTGCTGTGATATTGGTAATGCCTGTGTGGTTTCAACAGGGTGGGACAGGGACTGGGGGGGAACCTATGATTCATGGTTTTCATGGTTCTATCGGCAAGTTCCCTCCAGTTCAATAATTTCATCATGAATTTTTATGTACTAAAACTGCCAATGGAGGAGATAGTTTTGAACAAAAGCCTCCATATCATATAATGTAGGCAATTCCTTCCTTGTCTAGTCTAAGGCTGGTCTTGTATTCTAGACTAAAATAACCAATGAGCTGTGTGAGAGCCCAGTCATAATGAGTTCCTCAAAACTGACCTAGGGCTTTGCGCAATCCACTGTATGATAAGGCAATAGTGAATTAACCAGTTAATTGTGAATTAGGTATCAGCCACTACTAAGTCATACTTTTCAGACCTTATGATATCTTAAGGTATGCAAGCATGGGATCTTGAAAGGCAGAGCTACTGCTAGGCCATTATGATATTTTGATAGGGAGCAGGAAAAGGCTCCCTTTCCTCAATGTACCTTCTTTACTTCTTTCTGGAAATTGTTATGATATAGATCTGTATATATACACATGCATGTATGTGTGTGCATATATTTTATATATATATATATATATATATATATATATATATATATTTCTGTGATATTGTGCCTTCAGTCAGTGCACAACCTGCACAACTAAACATGGTGTATGTAGTCAGCAGTGAAGGTAGGATGTAGTGATGTAATGAGAAGGTAGGGGAAAAGATAGAAAGAAATGGCTTCCCTATATGCATCTGGGGCTATGGAGTTACAGCAATTAGATTTGGGGTTTCTGGTGCACAATCAATTCTAACTTAACCAATTCTAATTTAAAGTTCTAACTGCTCAAAGGTACTTTGAGCAGACAAGCAGCTGGTACATGAAAAAAACTGACATGAAATAGTCCTCTTCTTCATGTCCTCCACCTCCACTTCACTGTCTGGTCCTACAGTCAAGGACAGCATCAGGGAAGGTGGAAGGTGCCCAAATTGAGTCAAAAAGCAGAGGAGGTAATCAACCATGAAGGCACCCTGAGTCTGTAAAGTAATAAAACTCATAAAGTAGATGGGAAGACAATTCCACTGACATTATAAGAAGGTGATCATTCTGAAGGACAACATTCATTTAGATATATGTGCAAAAGTCAGTTCCTTTACTATCATACTTCATATGCAGCCTTATAATTGCTTTTACATTACCAAGATAAGGGAAAAGCAGAGCTCTTGTGATGGTAGCAAATTTCCATCATAAGGTAATGTGCAGGTGTCAAGGCTGAGATGGGAAAAATTTTAAATGTTAATAGGACAAAACTAAAGCATTTTATCAGAATAAAACATACAGTGGGGAGGGAGAAAGGACAGAAGACACAGTGTTAAGTGGATGTCAATTTGTTCATTTTAAAGTCAGGTAAGCCTAGTTTAATATACAGGTTCAAGGGGACAAGAAACACTGATAAAACAGCAGGTCAAAAAGCCAAAGGCCTTTCTCCCTTCACAAGCCAGAAGAAGTTAGTCCCCAATGCTGAATTTGCTAGAGGGAAATCTGCACTGGAAAAAAAAAGAATTTCAAAAGAGATATCCCTAGGTGGATTTCTAAATAAAATAAAGTAGCATTACTCAAGTGTCCTTCAATGGTTGAATGGATAAACAAAATGTAGTATAAACATACAATGGAATATTATTTGGCCTTAAAATTCTGGCACATAGTACAATTGGATGAGCCTTGAGGACATTATACTAAGTGAAATAAGCCAGTCACCAAATGACAAATATTGTGTGATTCTACTTATATGAGGTACCTGGAGTTGTCAAATTCATAGCAACAGAAAGTAGAATGGTGGCTTTTAGGGGGTGGGGAGAGGGGGAAATAGAGAGCTGTTGTTTAATGGGCATGGTGTTTCAATTTGGAAAAAGCACAGGTCACAGATCCTATTGTAACTTGCATTTCTTTTTCCTGGGTACATCCTCAATCTGGGCAAAATAAACCTCTAATCAACGAAGATCTGTCTCAGGCACTTTTTGGTTTACAGTAAAAATGAGAAGACCTGGAAGCTGATGTTTGGGGCATGGAGTAGAACCTGGGTATGGGGTAGGGTAGTGACTGTGTGTACACACTGAAAAGACAAGGCTGTGATAACAAGGAAAAGCCTCTCCTCGCTGGTCAGACAGGAGACATATCCCAGTAAAACCTGGCTCTGGTGTCCACCTCTCTCAAGACAAACACATGTAGAAATTTGAGACAGAGATAGGCAGAGCTTGGTTTAAATTCTAGCTCTGTCATTTTGTAGCATGTGACTTGGTCACATTCATTAAGCTTTTAGAACTTAACTTCACATCACTTGTTATACGGACAGCTGATCCATAAATAGCACAATTATTGTGAGGATTAAATAAGCAAATGCAAGTAAGTGATTCGCAGACTCTCAGCTCATGCTATGGGAATTTTTTTCTCTTTTGGGGACCTCACTCAAGGAGTTGTCTTCTTACCCTGTTCATTACTCATTATCACTATCCATCCATGCAATACATCCAATTATTAACATTGTTCTAGAAAATAGTCTACTATTGACAAATGCTTTCAAATACATAAATTATGAAATGCTGAGGTGTTCCTGCCAATGCTAATTACTAAGGCAAAACTCCAGCTACCATTTCACTAAGATTTCCAAAGGAGTCAATTGTCCCCCAAAACTAAGCTCCTTCCTTCTGTGTTCTATGAGATCCACTGCCTTAGGGTGACTGTGAGACACAGCAGTAGCATTAGAAAGGGCTCACGCCCGCTTCTTTTTGGTAAAAGAGATTTTGTTGCTAAACATGGTGAGCCACTGAACCCTCCAATAGGGGATGAGGCTTTGAACAGGGGATGAGTTTTGTCCACTGTTAAACAGATTCCAAAGGTGCTTGGCTGCATGTTCAGGCCTTGGGGCATGGAGCTAGGATTGAGGCTCTGGTGCTGCCTGAACCCAGACATTGCAGACTCAAGATGATTGAGGGCAAGTGCATTGGAGGGTGGGGGCAGGGGGAGCGTGGGGGTGGGGGACAGGGCAGGATGGAGAGGAAGGGGGTAGGGTGGGACAGGACAGGGAGGATGAGGGCAGGGCACAGCAGGGAGGTTGTTGTTCTGCAGGGCTGGGTGAGTGTTAGGGAAAGAATGCTAATGCACCTAACCAAGAAGTATTAAGTCACAAAGTTTTGTTCTTGGTTGTGCAAAGAAGAATCACCATGTGACATGAGTCAGGTCCTCCTAGGAGTTGCCATCAGGGAGGGAATTATATGATATCCCTGAAAACCAGGTCTAAGCAAAGCATACAACACTATAATTGTCCTCTTATTTTTCTATAAAATGAGGATTTTCACATGTTCCTTATGAGTTGCTGTAGCCAAAGCCTTCTTCCTTGTGATCTGGGAAAAAAGGGTTCCTCCTGTTTGTCTTAGATCACCCTGCAGGTACATGTGGGTTGGAGCTGGTGTCACTCACTCCCAGATGAAGGCTTGGAGGTCCATGAAGGGGTGAATAAGACCAGGGTCTCATGGTTTCTTTATCCTTCTTCAGCTTTGTCTGCTTAGTTTTCAGACTATCCTGAGGGAGAATGTGGAGGAAGACAGGTGGCAGCCGAGTTCCTGACAAGGAACCCACGGGTGCGTGGGGACTTGCTTTTTCTCCTGAGTTGATTACCCTTTGCCAGCAGACGAGCACATTTCTCCTCTTGGCCTGGATCTTATATTAGTAAGGGCGTCCGGGAAGTGTTCATGCAAGTTCTGTTTTTCCAGAACTCTGGAATCCTCATAGCAGGTGAAGAACTGATCATGAGATCATGTCCTTCCCAACATGTACATTAATTTTTTCATTCTCCATTGAGGATGTCCTTTCAGGGAACATAAGTGAAGGGTTGTCATTTTCTCATCCATCCATTGCCGTGATAGGGAAATGAGTCACTCAGTTAACCATGTCAGTGGCTGCAGGGGTCTTAGGTGTGTGGTGACCACAGGTGACAGGGATGTGTGACAGCAGGTGCTGAAGGTCGGGTATGGAGGTAGGGTTTCACCAGGTGCTCAGCCTGTCAGGCCAGGCAGCTTCCACGTACGCTACTTTGTCTCTATCCTCATCTGTTTTCTTTCACAGCACTTACAACTGCCTGAACATTGTTTGTTTACTTAAATCTAGTTTATCAACCACTAGAACACGTCTTCCTGACCACAGTTTTGTGTCTTTATTACTACTCCATCTCCAATATTGAGAACAGTGCTGGGACCTCAATGACTATTTTTTTGAATAAATAAATGGATTAAATTTTTTACTAAGTGACAATACTGTTTTAAGCACTAAGCTAGGGTTTGAGACCATAGTAATAAAAATATAGCCATTTTCTTTTCCAAATAGAACCTAGATTGTTCCAATGGATCTTAATTTTATTGCATTAATTATGAGAATAAATTCCACAACCCACTGTGGAAACATTTAAATCTTCACTGCTGCTGAGACTCAGGGGCTTGGTGTCAGGGGTTTTCCTTCCTGCTCCAGGGAAGGGCCCTCAATGTCCTTGGTGTTCAAGGTGCTCTTCCCCGGGTGCCCTTCCATGCTCGCCTTGTCTTGTTGGGAGCCTGCCTTAGATCTGAAGATCACGCACAGTTCTCACACAGAATTCAAAATCCATGCAACTTTGCCCAGAGAGCATCAGCTCTGCAAGTCATTCATGATTTCCCAGTTGAAACAAGGAGCAGTGCTGTGGAGGGAAGGAAGGATTTCCCCAGAGCCCAAATCCAGGTGAGCTGCAGACAGATAGGCTCAGTGCAGGAGGTGACTGGTCAGTGAGGGACAGAACTTTGATAATGTCGAATGCAGATGACCTTGAATGAATAATATTTTTAGAAAACTATGAGAAGCCATTGGGAGAAAAATTCCATATATAATGTTATTATTTCTCATATATGTACCAGTTTCATTCACATATATTCATGTCTTCTTAGAGGTAAATTTTCACATTGTGACCTTTGCCCTGGTCCTTTCCCTTTGATGATTTTCCTTTTCATGACCTCTCCAATATTACATCTTTATTTTTTCTCTTCATTCTTGAAAATACTTTAAAATTTTTAATTTCCCCAAATGTCTTCCTAGTCACTGGTGTATTCCTCCATTTCACGTCTCTCCCATGTGAGAGCCAGTATTTGAAACCTACCCACGTGAGCCTTGTATCCTTTTCAGTGTGTTCATTCTCCTAATGCCAGTCTAGCAATTTAATTTTTTCAATTATTTTAGGCAGGCAGGGTGGCCTTTAAAAACAAGAAATGGTATCCATACACTTTCTCTGGAGGAAGGAGTCCCTCTACCTGCTTGTCAATGATAAGCTTCATGGGGGTGAACCCTGTTCCTCCAGATTAGAGACCTGGGGATGGGCTGAGTTAGGAACACACCACAGTCACATGGCTTTAATTAGAGCTGGGAGTGTGTCCCTTCATATGGTTTTGGATATTTGAATTTAGGAAAGAAATTAACCTGAGCTCAAAATTATAACCTGAATTCTTTATAAAAGGACAATTGCATAGACATGGCTGATACCTCATCTTTGAAAAATAATGAAGCCTTGAAAATACATCAGATAGTTATACCGTTGAGATGCTACAAAAGAGAAAATATCTGTGCAAGCAAGAGAGTCTGTGTGTAACTAACATACATTTGCATATAGCAATATGGAAGTGATTTTGACTGGAGACTATCACGAAATGATCATTCCAGAATCTATCTGTAGAGAAATTAATGAAAGTATGAGGGTAATCAGTCCTTCAGCAGCCTGTCACCTTCCCAACAACAGAGAACTCACACTGGAGAGGAGCCCTTGAATACAGTGAGTGTGGGAAAATCTCCATCCCAGCTCCACATTGACTCAGCATGTGATAGCCCACATGGAAAAACCCCATGCCTGTAATCAATGTGGAAAGATTCTCAGTGACTGCTAGTCCTTTCGTTGACATAAATCAACTCACATTGGAGTTAAACCTTATAAATGTCATCTATGCAGGAAAGTCTTTAATCATTGATCTTACATTAGACAACAGGAGCCCACTCACACTGGAGAGAAATTATATGAATGTCATCTATGTAGAAAAGTCTTTAGTACATACTCTGGCCTTAGACAACACAAGAAGATCCACACTGGAGATAAACCATCTAAATGGAATTACTGTGAGAAACACTTTGGTCAGAACACCAAATTTATTCACACCATGGAACTCACACAGAAGAGAAACCTTATAAATGCAATAAATTTGGGAGGCATCTCAGACAAAGTGTAACCTTTATTCACACCAAAGAACTTGCATGACAGAGAAACTCTGTAAATATAGTAAATGTGGGAAAGAATTCCACCTGAGCATTCAGCTTTATTCACACCACATAATTCACACTGCAGAGAAATCCTGTAAGTGTAATGACGGTGGAAGAGCCATCAGTTATCCTTTATCCCTCAGTCAACACAAGCAAATTCACACTGGAGAGAAATGATATGAATGTCATTTATGTGGAAGAGTGTGGTCAAATTTCTGGTTAGTAAACATAAGAGAATTTGCACTAAAGAAATAAAGTAACTGTGACCAGGATTTTAGATCACAGTGAAGTGGCCTTGTTGTCTGGGGGGAGGTTCTTGGTCTCATGGCCACGGAGATTAAGGACCCGGACACACACAAGGGTGAGGTCTAGAGCAGAACTGTAATAGGTGAAAGAAAGAGGATAGCTCTCTCCTACAGAGAGGGGTCCCAGGAAAATGGGTTGCCAATCTCTGGTGAAATGCAGGGGGTTTTTATAGATGAGCTAATGGGAAGATGGTGTCTGATCTACATAGGGCATGAAAATCTGGTTAGGACCAATTGTGCCATTTGCACAGGGCATGAATCTCTGGCAGCCCCCACCCCAATCTTTTATTATGCAGGTGGGTAGCTACTCCATGTTGCTTATTTCTTTCGGACTGTATACATGGTAACAAAAAAAGGGAAGGTGGAGCCCCATGGTGGACATGCCTGGCCCCAGGTAGCCCTTTTCTGTGGGTGTAGCTATAGGCCTCCCCCAGTGCAAGCTTCCAGCTTCCTTATCAATGCTTGCAGCTCAATCTTTCAGGCTTCTCTTTGTTAAAAAAGGAATGATTTCTTGGGCTGCTTTTTGTTAGAAGGGAAGTTCTGTCAAGGACTCTTTTGCCCTCACTATCTGCCTAAATAATTTCTTTCTATCTCCTGTATCAAGAGCTCTCACTTGATTTACACACACACCAAAAATAAGAATTATAGGGGAGAAAAATCATATGAATGTCAGATATGTGGGAAAGCCTTCAGTCAATTCTCTGACTATGGACAACCTGGGAGAACCTACATTAGAAATGTAATAAATGCATAAGAGCCTTCAGCAGTAGCTGTAAACTTTATAAACACCAGAGAACTTACATGGAGGAGAAACTTTATGCCTGTCATCAATGTGGAAATGCCTTCATATCTAACTTATCCTTCAAACAACAGGAGTGAACTGTACTGTAGATAAGCCCTTGGTCTGTAATCAGCTTTAACAAGCATTCGGCAGAGGTCCAGCTCCAGTGTGCACAAGAAAACCCAGAGGAGGAATAGCCTCTTAACAAGAAATTCGGGGCAACCCCCTTTGGGTCCATTTTATGGGAGCTCTGTTTTCACTCTATTAAATCTTGCAAGTGCACACTCTTCTGGTCCGTGTTTGTTATGGCTCGAGCTGAGCTTTCACTTGCCATCCACCACTGCTGTTTGCTGCCATCGCAGACCTGCTACTGACTTCCACCCCTCCGGATCCAGCAGGGTGTCCGTTGCAATCCTGATCCAGTGAGGTGCCCATTGCTGCTCCTGATCAGGCTAAAGGCTCGCCATTGTTCCTGCATGGCTAAGTGCCCGGGTTCATCCTAATCGAGCTGAACACTAGTTGCTGGGTTCCACGGTTCTCTTCCATTACTCATGGCTTCTAATAGAGCTATAACACTCACCGCATGGCCCAAGATTCCATTCCTTGGAATCCATGAGGCCAAGAACCCCAGGTCAGAGAACAAGAGGCTTGCTGCCATCTTGGAAGCAGCCTGCCACCATCTTGGGAACTCTAAGAACAAGGACCCCCCCAGTAACATTTTGGCAACCACGAAGGGACCCCCCAAAGTGGTGAGTAATACTGGACCACTTTCACTTGCTATTCTGTCCTATCCTTCCTTAGAATTGGAGGAAAATACTGGGCACCTGTCAGCCGGTTAAAAACCATTAGTGTGGCCGTTGGACTTAAGACTCAGGTGTGAGACTCTCTGGGAAAGGGCTAACAACCCCAACCCTTCTGGGTTGGGAGCGTTAGTCTGCCTGGAACCAGCTTCTGCTTTCAATTTTCCTGGGGAAGCCGAGGGCCGACTAGAGGCAGAGAGCTGTTGTCCCAAACTACGGCATTAGCTGGTTGAGATCATGGCACAGCCAGAAGTCTCTACTCAACAGTTGCCCATGCGTGTGCCCCTACCTTTCCTTCTGACCCATACCTCCTGGGTCCTGACCATGACTTTCTTGAAAGTGTAGCCCTAAAATTCTCCTTGCCTCTGAATCTACATCCTCCAATCCGTGCCTCCTAGATTCTAATGCTTCAGACTTTCACTTCCTCTCCCAAGTATTAGAACAGGTTGTATCTCCAAAGGGATCTAAGGAAGCTCTATGCTGCATCCTTAGGCCCCTAGGCTATGAACCCAGGGAGTCTTTTCCCTGGTGTCCCTCCCAATTTAGGCATACAGCTCTCGACATGAGCAGTTATGTGGGACCCATTCCCCACCACCCTTACCAGGGCCTTAGAACTGATAACCCAGTACTTTAACAACAGGAACTAGGTCTACAACAACGTAATAGATCAGGATGAAAGCAAATTGAGTAAACAAAAGGGAGGCACATACTCCTATAGTGGCAAATGGGGGCAACAAGTGAACATCCTTCCACTGTGTTTCCAAAATCCATCTACAAAGACAGCAAGGAAAAAGAAAAAGAAAGAGAAAGAAGTAGTAAAGAAAAAAGTGTGCCCTATGTCTTTAAAAGCCAGGGTAAATTTAAAACCTATAATTGATAATTGAAGCTTGTCTCCATGACTCTGTAACACTCCAGTACCCCTTTGTTGTCAGTGTAAACAAGGGCGTAGCCCGAAAGCACTGAGGCCACTGACAACCAGTAGCCTTCCTATAAAAAATCCTTAACCCAGGAACCTGCAGATGGCCCAAGTGCATTCAATCTGTAGTGGCAACTGCTTTGCTAACAGAAGAAAGTAGAAAATTAGCCTTTAGAGGAAACCTCATTGTGAGCACACCTCTCCAGTTCAGAACTATCCCAAGTCAAAAAAGCAAAAAGGGTAGCTTACTAACTCAAAAATCTTAAAGTATGGGGCTATTCTGTTAGAAAAAGATAATTTAACATTAAATTCCCTTAACCCAGCAGATTTCCTAACAGGCAATTTAAATCTTAATTACCATACAAAAGTCCGACCAGACCTAGGAGGAACTCCCTCCAGGACAGGACAGTAGATGGTTCCTCCCAGGGCATTGAGAAAAAAACACAATGGGGAGTCAATAACTGAGGGAAACTCTTGTAGAAGATAGACCTAGGTAAATTCTCAGATAACCCTGATGGCTATATTCATGTTTTACAAGGGTTAGGACAATCCTTTGATCTGACTTGGAGAGATATAATGTTACTGCTAGATCAGACACTAACCCCAAATGAGAGAAGTGCTCCGTAACTGCAGCCTGAGAGTTTGGCAGTCTCTGGTATCTCAGTCAGGTCAATGATAGGATGACAACAAAGGAAAGAGAATAATTCCCCACAGGCCAGCAGGCAGTTCCCAGTGTAGACTCACACTGGGACACAGAATCAGAATGGAGATTGGTGCTGCAGACATTTGCTAACTTGCATGCTAGAAGGACTAAGGAAAACTAGGAAGAAGCCTATAAATTATTCAATGATGTCCACTATAACACAGGAAAAGGAAGAAAATCCTACTGCCTTTCTGGAGAGACTAAGGGACGCATTGAGGAAGCATACTTCTCTGTCACCTGACTCTATTGAAGGCCAACTAATCTTAAATGATAAGTTTATCACTCCATAAGCTGCAGACATTAGAAAAAAACTTTAAAAGTCTGCCTTAGGCCTGGAACAAAACTTAGATACCCTATTGAACTTGGCAACCTCGGTTTTTTATAATAAAGATCAGAAGGAGCAGGCGGAACGGGACAAATGAGATAAGAAAAAGGCCACCACTTTAGTGATGGCCCTTAGGCAAGCAGACTTTGGAGGCTCTGGAACATGGAAAGGCTGGGCAAATGAAATGCCTAATAAGGGCTTGCTTCCAGTGTGGTCTACAAGGACACTTTAAAAAACATTGTCCAAATAGAAATAAGCCACCCCCTCGTCCATGCCCCTTATGTCAAGGGAATCACTGGAAGGCCCACTGGCCCAGGGAATGAAGGTCCTCTGAGTCAGAAGCCACTAACCAGATGATCCAGCAGCAGGACTGAGGGTGCCCAGGGCAAGTGCCAGCCCATGCCATCACCCTCACAGAGCCCCGGGTATGCTTGACCATTGAGGGCCAGGAGGTTAACTGTCTCCTGGACACTCGCTTGGCCTTCTCAGTCTTACTCTCCTGTCCCAGACAACTGTCCTCCAGATCTGTCACTATCCGAGGAGTCCTAGGACAGCCAGTCACTAGATACTTCTCCCAGCCACTAAGTTGTGACTGGGGAACTTTACTCTTTTCACATGCTTTTCCAATTACGCCTGAAAGCCCCACTCCCTTGTTAGGGAGAGACATTCTAGCAAAAGCAGGGGTGATTATACACGTGAACATAGAAGAAGGAATACCTATTTGTTGTCCCCTGCTTGAGGAATAAATTAATCCTGAAGTCTGGGCAACAGAAGGACAGTATGGATGAGCAAAGAATGCCCATCCTGTTCAAGTTAAACTAAAGGATTCCGCCTCCTTTCCCTACCAGAGGCAGTACCCCCTTAGACCCAAGGCCCAACAAGGACTCCAAAAGATTAAGGACCTAAAAGCCCAAGGCCTAGTAAAACCATGCAATAGCCCCTGCAATACTCCAACTTTAGGAGTACAGAAACCCAACGGACAGTGGAGGTTAGTGCAAGATCTCAGGATTATCAATGAGGCCATTGTCCCTCTATACCCAGCTGTACCTAACCCTTATACTCTGCTTTCCCAAATACCAGAGGAAGCAGAGTGGTTTAAAGTCCTGGACCTTAAGGATGCCTTTTTCTGCATCCCTGTACATCCTGACTCTCAATTCTTGTTTGCCTTTGAAGATCCTTCGAACCCAGCGTCTCAACTCACCTGAACTGTTTTACCCTAAGGGTTCAGGGATAGCCTCCATCTATTTGGCCAGGCATTAGCCCAAGACTTGAGCCAGTTCTCATACCTGGACACTCTTGTCCTTCAGTACATGGAGATTTACTTTTAGCCGCCCGTTCAGAAACCTTGTGCCATCAAGCCACCCAGGCACTCTTAAATTTCCTCGCCACCTGTGGCTAAAGGTTTCCAAACCAAAGGCTCAGCTCTGCTCACAGCAGGTTAAATACTTAGGGCTAAAATTATCCAAAGGCACCAGAGCCCTCAGTGAGGAATATATCCAGCCTATACTGGCTTATTCTCATCCCAAAACCCTAAAGCAACTAAGAGGGTTCTTGGCATAACAGGCTTCTGCCAAATGTGGATTCCCAGGTACGGTGAAATAGCCAGGCCGTTATATACACTAATTAAGGAAACTCAGAAGCCAATACCCATTTAGTAAGATGGACACCTGAAGCAGAAGAGGCTGTCCAGGCCCTAAAGAAGGCCCAAACCCAAGCTCCAGTGTTAAGCTTGCCGATGGTGCAAGACTTTTCTTTATATGTCACAGAAAAAACAGGAATAGCTCTAGGAGTCCTTACACAGGTCCAAGGGACCAGCTTGCAACCGTGGCATACCTGAGTAAGGAAATTGATGTAGTGGCAAAGGGTTGGCCTCATTGTTTATGGGTAGTGGCAGCAGTAGCAGTCTTAGTACCTGAAGCAGTTAAAATGATATAGGGAAGAGATCTTACTGTGTGGACATCTCATGATGTGAACAGCATACTTATTGCTAAAGAAGACTTGTGGCTGTCAGACAACTGTTTGCTTAAATATCAGGCTCTATTACTTGAAGGGCCAGTGCTGCGACTGTGCACTTGTGCAACTCAATCCCGCCACATTTCTTCCAGACAATGAAGAAAAAATAGAACATAACTGTCAACAAGTAATTGCTCAAACCTACACCACTCAAGGGGACCTTCTACAGGTTCCCTTGACTGATCCCGACCTCAACTTGTATACTGATGGAAGTTCCTTTGTAGAAAAAGGACTTCGAAAAGCAGGGTATGCAGTGGTCAGTGATAATGGAATATTTGAAAGCAATCCCCTCACTCCAGGAACTAGTGCTCAGCTGGCAGAACTAATAGCCCTCACTTGGGGACTAGAGTTAGGAAAAGAAAAAAGGGTAAATATATATACAGACTCTATGTATGCTTAACTAGTCCTCCATGCCCACACAGCAATATGGAGAGAAAGGGAATTCCTAACTTCCAAGGAAACACCTATCAAACATCAGGAAGCCATTAGGAGATTATTATTGGCTATACAGAAATCTAAAGAGGTGGCAGTCTTACACTGCTGGGGTCATCAGAAAGGAAAGGAAAGGGAAATAGAAAGGAACTGCCAAGCGGATATTGAAGACAAAAGAGCTGCAAGGCAGGACCCTTCACTAGAAATGCTTATAGAGGCTGGGCGTGGTGGCTCATACCTGTAATCCCAGCACTTTGGGAGGCCGAGAGGTGGATCGTGAGATCAGGAGATCAAGACCATCCTGGCTAACACGATGAAACCCTGTCTCTACTAAAAATACAAAAAATTTAGCCGGGCATGGTGGCGGGTGCCTGTAGTCCCAACTACTTGGGAGGCTGAGGCAGGAGAATGGTGTGAACCCGGGAGGTGGAGCTTGCAGTGAGCCGAGATCGCGCCACTGCACTCCAGCCTGGGCGACAGTGTGAGACTCCGTCTCAAAACAACAACAACAACAAAAATAAATGCTTATAGAAGGACACCTAGTATGGGGTAATCCCCTCCAGGAAACCAAGCCCCAGTACTCAGCAGGAGAAATAGAACGAGGAACCTCACAGGGACATAGTTTCCTCCCCTCAGGATGGCTAGCCACTGAAGAAGGAAAAATACTTTTACCTGCAGCTAACCAATGGAAATTACTTAAAACCCTTCACCAAACCTTTCACTTAGTCATTGATAGCAACCATCAGATGGCCAAATTATTATTTACTGGACCAGGCCTTTTCAAAACTATCAAGCAGATAGTCAGAGCCTGTGGAGTGTGTCAAAGAAATAATCCCCTGCACTGCAGGCCATACATTTCAATTCCTGTATCTTTAACCTCCTTGTTAAGTTTGTCTCTTCCAGAATCGAAGCTGTAAAACTACAAATCATTCTTCAAATGGAGCCCCAGAGGCAGTCCATGACTAAGATCTACTGCAGACCCCTGGACCTGCCTGCTAGCCCATGCTCTGATGTTAATGACATCGAAGGTACCCCTCCTGAGGAAATCTCAACTGCACGACCCCTTCTATGCCCAATTCAGCAGGAAACAGAGCGGTTGTCAGCCAACCTCCCCAACAGCACTTCAGTTTTGCTGTTGAGAGGGGGACTGAGAGACAGGACTAGCTGGATTTCCTAGGCTGACTAAGAATCCCTAAGCCTAGCTGGAAGGTGACCTCCCTAAGCCTAGCTGGAAGGTGACTGCATCCACCTTTAAACACGGGGCTTGCAACTTAGCTCACACCCGACCAATCAGGTAGTAAAGAGAACTCACTAAAATGCTAATTAGGCTAAAACAGGAGGTAAAGAAATAGCCAATCATCTATCGCACAGGGGGAGGGACAATGATCGGGATATAAACCCAGGTATTCAAGCTGGCAACAGCAACCCCCTTTGGGTCCCCTCCCATTTTATGGGAGCTCTGTTTTCACTCTATTAAATCTTGCAACTGCAAAAACAAAACAAAAAAAAAAAACACAAGAAATTGGATAGAAATTCTGAATCAGGAAGAGGAAGCTTCCTGTGTGTTTTAGGGGAGTACTGGAGGACGTGGTATAGTAAAGAATACATCTGACATTGTCTTTAGTTCTTAGCACAGAGCTTCAAAAATTTAATCAACCAAGCCTACATAATGAAACTGCAGTAAGATCTCTAGACACTGAGGCTCAGGGGAGCTTCTAGGTTGGTGAACACCTTGCTGATCAGGAGGGTAACCAGCAGCGACTCCATGGGGAGAGGGCACACAGCTCTACATTCCCTCCAGACCTCACCCTATACATCCCTTCATTTAGTTGTTACCAAGTTGTATGTTTTATAATAAACCTGTAATCATAATTATTGCTTACTTTTGAGCTCTGTGAGTCATTTTAGTGAATTATTGAATCTGAGGGGAAATGAAAACCTCTGATTTTATAGCCAGTTGTGTAGAAGTGCAAGTGGCTTGGGGCCCCCCAAAGTGTGCCTGGTATTTGAAATCTTAAGAGAAGCTCAATGGGAATGAGGCTTTAAACATGTGAAGTCTGATGCTAACTCTGGATAGTGTCAGAATTGAATATCCATATACCCCTAGTGTAGTTAAAATGGAATAGGGGAATATCAGATAATTTATGCTGGAGAAGGAAGTGAAATAAACATAGGAAACCCTTTATTCATACAGCAACTCTTGTAGGACATGCAAGGATTCACATGGTATAGAATAATTTCAGTGTAACCAATGAGGGACGGGCCCAGTGATCACTCATTCCTCAGTCAGTATTACAGTTCTCACAGCAGGGCGATACTAATCCTAAAGTCAGAGTAGAAAAACCATCTTCAGGAATTCATCAGAAAACTCAAACCAGGAAAAAACTCTATCAAGAATCCTTTAGGAAGTCCTAGCTATAGCAATCAGACAAGAGAAAGAAATAAAGGTCATCCAAATTGGAAAAGAAGAAGTCAAATTATTCTTATACTTGACATGATCTTAAATTTGGAAAAAACTAAAGACTCCAACAAAAAACTATTAGAACTGATAAATTCAGTAAAGTTGCAGAATACAAAATCAACACAAAAATCAGTAGCATTTCTATATGCCAACAGTAAACAATCTGAAAAAGAAATCAAGGAAGTAATCCCATTTACAGTATAGCTACAAATAAAATAAAATACCTAGAAATAAACTTAACCAAAGAAATGAATGATCTCTACAATGAAAACTGTGAAACACTGATGAACGAATTGAAGAGGACACAAAAAAATGAAAAGATATTCCGTGTTCATGGATTGGAAGAATCAATATTGTTAAAATGTCCATACTACTCAAAGCAATCTACAGGTTCAATGCAATCCCTATCAAAATACCAAAGACATTCTTCACAGAAATAGAAAAAAAATCCTAAAATTTTCATGGAACCACACAAGACCCAGAATAGCCAAAGCTATCCTAAACAAAAGGAACAAAACTGGAAGAATCACATTACCTGACTTCAAATTATACTACAGAGCTATAGTAATCAAAACAGCATTGTACTGGCATAAAAACAGACACATAGACCAACGGAACAGAACAGAGGATCCAGAAACAAACCCATACTCCTGCAGTGAACTCAGTTTTAACAAAGTGCCGAGAACAGACATTGGGGAAAGGATGGGCTCTTCAATAAATGGTGCTGGGAAAACTGGGTATGCAAAGGCAGAAGAATGAAACTAGACCCCTGTCTCTTGCCACATACAAAAATCAAATCAAAATGGGTTAAAGACTTAAATCCAAGTCCTCAAACTATGAAACTACTCCACAAAAACATTGGGGAAACCCTCCAGGACATTGACCTAGATAAAGATTTTTTGAGTAATACCCCACAGGCATGGGCAACCAAAGCAAAAATGGACAAATGGGTCACTTGTTTAAAAGCTTATACACAGCAAAGGAAACAATCAACAAGTAAAGAGTCAACACACAGAATGGGAGAAAGTATTTGCAAACTGCTTATCTGACAATGGATTAATAACTAGAATATATAAGGAGCTCAAACAACTCTATAGGAAAAAAATCGAATAATGTGATTAAAAAATGGGCAAAAATTCTGAGTAGACATTTCTCCAAAGAAGACATATAAATGGCAAACAGCCATATAAAAAGGTGCTCAACATCATCAGTCAGCAGAGAAATGCAAATCAAAACTACAATGAGATATCATCCCACCTTAGTTGGAATGGCTTTTATGCAAAAGACAAGCAATTAACAAATACTGGCAACAATATGGAGAAAAGAGAATCCATGTTCACTGTTGGTGGGAATGTAAATTAGTTCAACCACTATGGAGAACAGTTTGGGGGGTTTCTCAGAAAATGAAAAATAGAACTACCAAATGATCCAGCAACCCCACTGCTAGGTATATACCTAAAAGAAAGAAAATCAGTGTATTGAAGGGGTATCTGCACTCCCATGTTTATTGCAGCAGTATTCACAATAGCCAAGATTTGGAAGCAGCCCAAGTATCCATCAACAGACAAATGCATCAAGAAAATGTGGTGCATATACCCAATGGAATACTATTCAGCTGTAAAAAAAGAATAGGATCCTGTCATTTGTAACAACATGGATGGAACTGGAGGCCATAGTGTTAAGTTAAATAAGCCAGGCACAGAAAAACAAATTTCCCATGTTCTCACTTATTTGTGGGAGCTAAAAATCAAAACAATTGAATTCATGGAGAAAGAAGGATGGTGACCAGAGGCTGGGAAGGGTAGTGGAGGGTGAGGGAAAGTAGGGATGATTAATGGGTACAAAAATATACTTAGGTAGAATGAATAATATCTAATATTGGATAGCACAACAGGGTGACTACAGTCAACAATGATGTATTGTACATTTTAAAATAACTAAAAAAGTGTAATTGGGTTGTTTGTAATGTAAATAAAGTATAAATGCTTGAGGGGACGGATACCCCGTTTACTCTGATGTGATTATTATGCATTGCATGCCTGAATCAAAACATCTCATGTACTCCATGAATATGTACCTACTGTGTACCCACAAAAATCAAAATAAAAAAAATTATAAAAAGAACCCTTTAGCCCACAATTCATTTAGGAACTCAGAATTTTGCCATGTGACTCAATTTTTAAAAGTAAGATAAAAATACGATTGTGATACGATTTGGGTTGTTGAATGCAAAATTTTGTGACAAGTAATAAGTGATGAGGTTAAAGGTTAAATACTTTTCAATAGATTAATACTTTTCAATACACACGCAGCCAAAGTTGCTGAAAAAACACCATATGTTGGTCAGTTTCTAGCTTTTTATGCAGCTCTTAACATAATTTTATTAGTAGAAATTTGGGTCCATCAGAAAATAACTTTGAATATGAGCTGAGAAACAGGACACAAAATTATGCATCTTAACCATTATATTAGTATTACGTGTACATACACATGGCAAATATTTATATGAACATGGATAAATAACACATAATTTATGACTGAAGTCTGATGTTAATATAATTCTTCCTTTAAAATGTCAAATCTGTCCATATTTTCCCACCTACACTGCCATGGTTATTCCTCACCTTGACGGGCAGGAGGAGAGGGCAGGGAGAGGAGGCTAGGAGGGAGGAAACAGGCAGAAGGAGACGCCGCAGGAGCATGCAGTATGCGGGTGAGTGTCCCCAGCCGTACTGGGGCAAGGATGGACTGGTGGCGGGGGATGAAGGGCAGTAGGAGCAGAAAGAAGGAAGAGGGCTGCACAGGCAAGGCACTGATGGGGCAAATGAGGCGGTGAGGTTTAGTATTGAGAGCATCACAGCCACAGAGGAGAGGAAATGCAATGAAGATGTGGGTGCGTTGTCCTGGGAAGCTCACGCTTCCTCATGAGGGTGCTACCAGTTCTTGCGAGAATCAGATCAGCTGAAGCACACAGAGCACTCTCTCTGCTGAACAGCGGGAGCTCAGTTCCTGTTGTTTCACTCTCATCTCTCCCAGTTCTTTCTGATAAACCTTGAGCTGCTCCTCCTTGTAAATTAGAACTTCCAACTTTCCAAGTTGGAAGCGGACTGAAAGGCTATTTTGGTAGACACAATTCTAAGATGGCTCCTGAAATTCTGTCTCCTGGAGTCCACCCTGTATAATCTCTTCCCATTGAGCGGGGCCTGGACTTCTGAATATATTGGGATGCCATTTCCCTAATTAGATGACCTTACATGGCAATGCTGGGGGGCAGGGTTTGCAGATGTATTTAAGGTGCATAGTATTCTGACAGTGATATAATCAAGAGCTAGTTTTATCTAATTAGAAGAGTCCTTTTGAAGAGAGTCTATGGGTCAGAAATGAAGGAAGTCTGAGAGACGTTCCTAACATTCAACATAAATCAATTGGTAATTTGGTAATTTGAGGTTTCCGGCAATTTGTTTCACATAAATAGAACTAACAGAGGTATCTAGACTCATCTCCTCTGCTCCCTGGATCCTAGTCCTAGTTCTAACCAGTTACTAAATCCTTGTCAGCAAAGGATCATCCAGCTTGTTGCTAAACAGCCCTAGTGTAGGGACCTGACTGACACCTAAGGTAGAATAATTTGGTTTTATAAACAGGGTTAATAATTATAGTAGTGATTCCTGTTACCTGTTCAGCAGTAAGTAGATGCCAGCTACCATGCAAAGTCCTTGACCTTATCAAATTTTTACGATAGCCTCGTGAGGACAAGAGAGAAGGGCAGTGTAGCTAGGTGAGATTCAACCAGTCATTTAGTTCAACCTCATTCAGTTGTGAGGAATCTCAGGCCCAGCTCTGTTAAGCTCGGGGGTTACAAAGCCCCCTGCTGCTGTTTACAACCATTAGCATAATCCAGAACACCTAGATGTTTCCTCTATTTTCTGTGAATTCAGCAAAAGTATCCTTTACCCACACAATCTCCTGTGGTTGTGTTTATATGCACTACTCTTGTGCTATGACCAGAATTAGTTCACAGCGGCTTTTCATGTTGTCACAATGTTAACTTAGCACGTCTTCAACACCACCAGCCTGTGATGTACTTTAGAGAATTGTACATTTCTGGCTATATATGATTTAAACACAGTCAAACATCTATCATACTGAAAATTCAAAATTCATAAACAAATCTATAAAATGCTTTAGAGGCTCAGAAAAGAAGTGAGTTGGCAGCCCAGTACTTTGGGAGGCCGAGGTGGGTGGATCACGAGGTCAGGAGATCGAGACCATCCTGGCTAATACGGTGACACTCCATCTCCACTAAAAATACAAAACATTAGCCGGGCCTGGTGGCGGGCGCCTGTAGTCCTAGCTGCTCGGGAGGCTGAGGCAGGAGAATGGCATGAACCCGGGAGGCAGAGATTGCAGTGAGCCAAGATCGCGCCACTGCACTCCAGCATGGGCGACAGAGCGAGACTCCGTCTCAAAAAGAGAAAAGAAGTGAGCTGGCATTGAGAAAATCTCTTGATATATTTGAATGTTTCATTTTAGTTAAGTTTTGAATGACTGTAATGCTCCTTATTATCCAAATAGGTTTTAAATTCTGGAGATAAGCTAACAAATGGTGTGACATGCTATGAAACAGGTTTTATTGTGGATAAGGGAAGAAATATATATTCAACGAAGCGTAAGTATTGTCCGTAAAACATATCACATTATGTGACCTTGTCAGTGGTTAAAAATCAATTCAAGTTCCAGCCAACCCTAACATTCATTAGGCTAAATTTCTTTAAAATAATTGTATCATATTAAATAATAATTTTAATTATTACTCAAACTTTCCAATATTGCACTGTTCTTTTTTTTTTTTTTTTTTTTTGGAGACAGAGTCTCACTCTCTCACCCAGGCTGGAGTGTAGTGGCGTGATCTCAGCTCACTGTAACCTCTGTCTCCTGGGTTCAAACAATTCTCCTGCCTCAGCCTCCCAAGTAGCTGGGATTACAGGCACCTGCCACCACACCCAGCTAATTTTTTGTATTTTTAGTAGAGATGGGGTTTCGCCATATTTCACCAAGCCTGACAAGGCCAGACTGGTCTTGAACTCCTGACCGCAGGTGATCCACCCACCTCAGCCTCCCAGAGTGCTGGGATTACAGGCATGAGCCACTCTTCTGGGCCTACGCTAGTTGTTTTTTTGTTTTTGTCTTTTTTTTTTTGAATGGAGTCTCACTCTGTCGCTCAGGCTGGGGTGCATCACTGCAATCTCGGCTCACTACAACTTCCGCCTCCTGGGTTCAAGGGATTCTCCTGCCTCAGCCTCCCGGGTAGCTGGGACTACAGGTGCGTGCTATGACGCTCAGCTAATTTTTGTATTTTGAGTAGAGGCAGGGTTTCACCGTGTTAGCCAGGATGGTCTTGATCTCCTGACCTCGTGATCTGCCTGCCTCGGCCTCCCAAAGTTCTGGGATTACAGGCATGAGCCACCACGCCCGGCAAGGTAGTCTTTTAAATGGGGAATATAGAATTCGAATTGTGTCTCATTCTCTGTTGTACAGAAAATTGAAGAGTTATGCAATAGTACTGGGGGTTACAATATAATTACTCCTTTAAAGATAATGCAGCCTAAGCAATTTTTACACCTAGAAAATGAAAAACCAAAATGTTTTCCTTTCCATGGAATGGTAACTTGTAATTAGTCCATTGAAAGTATGTTGGTTAGTGTTGTTTATTTGCCCTAGACTTAGAGGATAAGAATTTGTGAGACAGATCCTCTTAAAGAGGTGTAAATGTTAAAAAATTTAAAATTCCTTTAGCCTAATATTTTTTTCCTACAATTTCCTTCAACTTAAGTTTAATGGAAATTTAGGACCCTGTAAGAAGTAGTTTGATAGAAATGCAAGACCATGGCATTCTACCTTGATATTAAACAATTAGTTCAAGAATGACAGGAACAAAAATTAGTTTACCTTAAATAGTAAATTCAAATTACTACTAAACCAAAAGTTTAGCATGTAGGTATTGTTACTAATCTTTTTTTTTTTTTTTTTTTTTTTTTGAGACGGAGTTTCGGTCTTTTTGCCCAGGCTGGAGTGCAATGGCGCGACCTCGGCTCAGTGCAACCTCTGTCTCCCAGTTTCAATCGATTCTCCTGCCTCAGCCTCCCAAGTAACTGGAATTACAAGCACCCACCATCACGCCTGGCTAATTTTATATTTTTAGTAGAAACGGGATTTCACCATGTTGGCCAGGCTGGTCTCAAACTCCTGACCTCAAGTGATCCACCTGCCTCAGCCTCCCAAAATGCTGGGATTACAGGCATGAGCCATAGTGCCCGGCCTATTAATGATCTTACAGGGCAGAGTAGTCCTTGAACACCAGGCATATTTTTAAAAAAAATTCTTTTAGAGTGGTTGATTTGAATCATTTTGAAAGGAAAACTAATTTTATACCTCAAAATGAATTTAGATTATGTCTAGTCATAATTATGTTATAGTCATAAATGTCTATTTTCTAAATTTGGGGGTCTTGCTCAGTGTAATAAAATATTCATTTTTGTACCTTATTAGATTCACTTAACCACGAAAGCTGGTTTTTTTTATTACCTCATATGCTGATAAGATAATTAGTATTTTATTAATGAATTTTTAGTAATATTATTGGGAAGATCATGATGCTATATGAATCATGTTTCATATATAAAGAAATCAAGGATTAGAAAGGCGTATAACCATATTATTTGTGGTATGTTACTAAGAATGGATATCATCTGTCTTAGCCCATCTGTGTTGCTAGAAAGGAATACCTGAGACTGGATAGCATATAAAGAAAAACAGCCACAATTCTGTTGGCTGAAAGATTGGGCATGTGGGGAGGGCCTCTGGCTGCCTCCGCTCTTGAAGAAAGATAAAGGGGAGCCGGTTTGCAGAGACTGCATGGCGAGAGAGGAAGCAAGAGAAAGAGGAGGAGGGGCCAGGCTCCTTTAACAACCAGTTCTCACAGGAACTAATAGAGCAAGAACTCACTCACCACCCACCCGCCAGGGAGGGCATTAATCCACTCATGAAGGAGCCACCCCCATGATCCAAACACCTCCCATTAGGCCCCACCTCCAACACTGGGTATTAAATTTTAACATGAGGCTTGGGGGCCAACATCCAAACCATAGCATCATCTGTTGTGAATAATAATAAAAATACTGAAGAATATTTATGGAAACATCGCTTGAGTCCATGCAAGATTTCACAAATACCTTGTCATTCTTAGAAATCAAAATGACCTTTTTGTAATTTTGGATTGGCACATTTATAAACATTTTCCAAATACAGTGTCACCATCTAGAGCAGTGGTTTGATTTAGTATCTCTTTAGATCTTTCTACATGTTCACAGGAGAGTTTTGGAAAATTAGTTCAGGTGTTCTAATTCTTTATGCATTTATTGGAATTTAATAGAAACTAAGGTATGTTTAATGTAGATTTCAGAATTGTCAATCAAATGTGCTGTGCTCATTACTCAACTATTGAAGCCATGACTTTTTCTCAATATCTTTACCTTTTTTTCAAGCATTTCATTACCTTTTTAAAAACGAATAGACTGTGTTTAGAGCTTGGTTTTACAGAAAAACCAAGCAGAAAATACAATGTTTCCTATATTTCCTTCCCTAATTTCTCCTCATCTCCCCTCTTCTAGTTTCCTCTGTCATTAACTTTCTTTACTGTGGTACATTTGTTACAACTGATTAACCAATAATGATGCATTATTATTCACTGAATCCATAATTTAAATTAGGGCTATATCTCTTTTTTTTTTTTTTCTTGTGACAGAGTCTAGCTCTGTCACCCAGGCTGGAGTACAATGGCACCATCTTGGCTCACTGAAATTTCTGCCTCCCGGGTCCAAGTGATTCTGCCGCCTCAGCCTCCCAAGTAGCTGGGATTACAGGCACACACCACTACACCCGGCTAATTTTTGTATTTTTAGTAGAGACAGGGTTTCATCATGTTGGCCAGGCTGGTCTTGAACTCCTGACCTCAGGTGATCCACCTGCCTCGGCCTCCCAAAGTGCTGGGATTACAGGCATGAGCTACCGCACCCGGCCGGGCTATGCCTTTATGTTTTGTACTTCTAGGGCTTTTGACAAATGCACAATGGCATATGTCCATCATCACGGAATAATACAAAATAGTTTTACTTCCCTAAAAATCCTCTGTGCTCCAGCTGTTTATTCCTTGCTCCCATCCCCCACCAACTACTGATCATTTTACTGTCTTTATAGTTTTGCCTTTTTCAGAATGTCAAATGGTTAGAATCTTACAGAGTATAGCCTTTTCTGACAGGCTTCTTTCACCTTGCAACATACGTTTAAAGTTTCTCCATGATTTTGCATGGCTTAATAGTTCATGTCCTGGACTGCATGGTGGCTCATGCCTATAATTTCAGCACTTCGGGAGGCTGAGGTGAGCAGACCGCTTGAGCTCACAAGTTCAAGACTAACCTGGGCAACATGGCAAAATACTCTCTCTACAAAAAATAAAAAATTACCTGGGCATAATAGTGCACGTCTGTAGTCCCAGCTACTCAGGAGGCTGAGGTGGGAGGAGGGCTTCAGCCTGGGAGGCAGAGATTGCAGTGAGCCAAGATTGCACCACTGCACTCCAGCCTGGGCAATAGAACCAGACCTTGTCTCAAAACAAAACAAAACAAAACAAAAAAACAGAAAAAATATATGTAGTTCATATTCTTTTATTGCTGAATAATATTCCATGATATAGATATATCACAGTTTGTTTATTCATTCACCTATTGCTTCCAGTTTGGGACAATTGTGAATAAAGCTGCTATAAGCACTCATGTGCATTTTTGCTGGGGATGTAAATTTACAACTTCTTTGGATAAATATCAAGGAGCTTGGTTACTAGATTGTATAGTAAGAGTATGCTTAGTTTTGTAAGAAACAGCCAAACTCTTCCAAAGTAATGGTGTTGTTTTGCTTTTCCACCAGCAATGAGTGAGAATTCCTGTTGCTCCACATTCTCACCAGCATTTGATGTTGTCAGTGTTCTGGATTTTAGCCATTCTAATTGGTGTTTAGTGATATGTAATTGTTGTTTTAATTTCCAATTCCCTGGTGACATATGATGTTGAGCATCTTTTCATACAATTATTTGCCATTCGTATATCTACTTTGGTGAGATATCTATTCAGATCTCTTGCTTGTTAATTAGATCATTAATTTTATTATTATTGACTGTTAAGAATTCTTTATATAATTTGGAGTAAACAGCCTACAGAATGGGAGAAACTATTCACAAACTACACATCTGACAAAGGTCTACCATCCAGAATCTATAAGGAATGTAAACAAATCAACAAGCGAAAAAGACATTTCTCAAAAGAAGACATATAAGTGCCCAAGAAACATGAAAAGATGCTCAACATACTAATTCATCAGAGAAATGCCAATCAAAACCACAATGAAAAATCATCTCACACTAGTAAGAATGGCTATTATTACAAAGTCAAAAAACAACAGATGCCAGCAAGACTGGAGAAAAGAGAATGCTTATATACTGTTGGTGGGAATGTAAATTAGCTCAGCCACTGTGGAAAGCAATTTGGAGATTTCTCAAATAACTTAAAACAGAACTAGCATTCAACCCAGAAATCCCATTATTAGGTATATATCCAAAAGAAAAATTGTTCTACCAAAAAGACACATGGACTCACATGTTCATCACAGCACTATTCACAATAGCAAAGACATAGAATCAACTTAGGTGCCCATCAATGGTGGATTTGATAAAGAATACATGGTACAGATATACCATGGAATACTATGCAGCCATAAAAAGGAACAAAATCCTATGCTCTGCAACAGCATGGATGCAGCTGCAGTCCATCATCCTAAGTGAATAAACCCAGGAACAGAAAATCAGATGCCACATGTTCTCACTTGTAAGTGGGAGCTAAACACTGGGTACTCATGGACATAAAGATGGCAACAATAGACACTGGGGACTAGTAAAGGGGGGAGGATGGGAGGTGGCAAGGGTTGAAAAACTATTGGGTACTATGCTTGACACCTGAGTGACAGGATCATTCATACCCCAAACCTGAGCATCACACAATATACCCAGGTAGCAAACCTGCACAAATATCCCCTGAATCAAAACTAAAAGTTGCAAAAAAAAAGAAAAGAAAAAAGAGTTATTTGTATATTTCGGATAACAGTCCTTTATCATATATATCTTTGTAAATATTTTCTCTCAGCCTGTGGCTTGTCTTCTCATTCTCTTAATAATGTCTTTCACAGAACACGAATTGTTATTTTTAGCGAAGTCCCACTATTGATTTTTCTTTTACGGATATTGCTTTTGGTTTCATATCTAAAAAGTCACAGCCAAACCCATGATTACCTAGATTTTCTTCTATGTTATATTTTTAAAGTTTTATGGTTTTTCATTTTACGTGAAGTCAATGATTCATTTTGAGTTAATTTTTGTAAAAGGTTTAAGGTCTATGTCTAGATTTTTATTACTATATATATATATATATATATTTTTTTTTTTTTTTTTTTTTGAGACAGAGTCCCACTCTGTCACCCAGGCTGGAGTGCAATGGTGCAATCTTGGCTCACTGCAACCTCCGCCGTCTGGATTCGAGCAATTCTCCTGCCTCAGCCTCCCTAGTAGCTGGGATTACAGGTGTCCACCACTATGCCCAGCTAATTTTTTATAGTTTTAGTAAAGACAGGGTTTCACCATGTTGGCCAGGATGGTCTGGAACTCCTGACCTCATGATCCACCTGCCTCGGCCTCCCAAAGTGCTGGAATTACAGGCATGAGGATTTTTATTATTCTTTGAGATGGGGTCTTGCTCTGCCACCCAAGCTGTAGTGCAGTGATGCAATCATGGCTTATTGCAGCCTCGGCCTCCCAGGTTCAAGCCATCCTCCCACTTCAGCTTCCCAAGTAGCTGAGACTACAGGCACTTGCGGCCACACCCAGCCAATTTTTTAATTTTTTGTAGAGAGGGGGGTCTCTCTATGTTGTACAGGCTGGTCTTGACCTCCTGAGTTCAAGTGATTCTCCCATCTCCGCCTCCCAAAGCATTGGGATTACAGGTGTGAGCCACCATGCCTGGCTAGATTTTTTTAAATGTAGGTGTCCAATCATTCCAGCATCATTTGTTTCTGTATTAAATTGTCTTTGCTCCTTTGCAAATATCAGTTGACTATACCTGTGGGCATCTGTTTTTAGGCTTTCAATTCTATTCGATTGGCCTATTCATCTAATCTTCTGCTAATACCACATTGTCCTGATTGTTCTAGCGTTATGTTCTCACTTATAAGTGAGTAAGTCTTGAAATCAGATGGTGTCAGTACTCTGACTTCATTCTCCTTTAATACCGTGTTGGCTATTCTGGGTATTTTGCCTCTTTATATAAACTTTAGAATCAATTTGTTAATATCCACAAAACAACTTGCTGAGATTTTTATTAGGATTGCATTTGATCTACAGATTAAGTTGGGAATAACTGACATCCTAACGATATTGGATCTACCTATTTATGAACATGGAATACTTCTCTATTCAAATCTTTTTTTTTTTTATCAGTTTTGTAGTTTTCCCCATATATATCTTGTATTTTTTCAAGATTTATTTTTAAGTACTTCTTTTTTGTGGAATTGTGTTTTACATTTTAAATTTTAATTGTTCATTGGTGTTATATAGAAAGCAATTGACTTTTGTATATATCTTTTGTATATAACCTTGTAATCTGCATCCTTACTGTAATCACTTAACAGTTCCAGAAGTACTTTTGTCAGTACTCTGGGATTTTCTACATAGACAATCATGTCATCTGTGAAGAAACAGGTTTTTTGTTCTTCTTAATCAATACACCTTTATTTCCTCTTTTTATCTTATTTTTCTAGCTAAAACTTCCAGTACAGTGCTGAATAGGAGTGGGGAGAGGGGATACATTTCCTTTGTTCTAATCTTAGGGTGAAAGCATCTGGTTTCTCATCAAGTATGATGATAGCTTTAGGGTTTTTTATTTTTTAGTTTTTTGAGACAGAGTTTTGCTCTGTCGCCCAGGCTGGAGTGCAGTGACACAATCTCAGCTCACTGCAACCTCTGCCTCCTGGGTTCAAGTGATTCTCCAGCCTCAGCCTCCCAAGTAGCTGGGATTACAGGCGCCTACCACCACTCCCAGCTAATTATTTGTAGTTTTAGTAGACACGGGGTTTTGCCATGTTGGCCAGGCTGGTCTCGAACTCCTGATCTCAAGTGATCTGCCTGCCTTGGCCTCCCGAAGTGCTGGAATTACAGGTGTGGGCCATTGCGCCAGGCCATCTTTAGGGTTTTTATAGTTGCTTTTTACCAAGTTGACCATGTTCCCCCCATTCCTGATTTGCTGACAGCTATCATAAATGGGTATTGGATTTTGTCAAATATCTTTTCTGCATCTATTGATATAATCATGACTTTCATTGTTATTCTGTTGATGTAATTAGTTAGATTAACTGATTTCCAAATGTTAACACAGGCTTGTATATCTGGAATAAGTCCCACTTGGTCATGGTGTATATATCTTTTTTCAAACTTTGTTAGGTTTGTTACTACCATTTTGTTGAGGATTTTTTCTTCTGTGTTCATGAAAGACATTAGTTTGTAGTTTTCTTTTTATGTAATGTGTTTATCTGTTTTTGGCATTAGGGTAATGTTGGCCTCATAGAATGAGTTAAGAGGTGTTTCTTCTGCTTCTATTTTCTGGAAGAGATTATAGAGAACTGGTACAATTTTTTACTTAAATGTTTGATAAAATGTAACAGTGACACCAGCTGCACCTGGTACTTTCTGTTCTAGAAGATTATTAATTAGTGATTCAATTTTTAAAATAAATGTAGACTTTTCAGATCATCCTTGGATGATTCTTTCAAGAAATTAGTCTATTTTACCTAGGTTATCCAATTTATAGGCATAGAGTTGTTCAAAATATTCCTTTATTATTCTTTAAAAGTCATTTAAACATTCATGAGGTCAGTAGTGATCACTCCTCTTTTATTCTGATATTAGTCATTTGTGTCTTTATTCTTTTTTCTTGATTAGCCTGACTAAAGATTTATCAATTTTATTAATATCTTTAATGAAAATGTTTCATACATTGTATGATTTCTATTTTATTCTATTCTTTTATATTTGTGGAAGTGTGTTTTATGGCCCAGAATATGGTCTACCTTGGGGAATATTTCATGTGAGCTGGAGGAGAATATGTAACCTGCTCTTGGATGAAGAAGTCTCTAGATGTCAATTAGATTCATTTAATTGATGGTGCTGCTCAGTTGAACTATATCCTTACTGATTTTATGCCTGCTGGATCTGTCCATTTCTGAGAGGGATGGGGAAGCCTCCACCTGTTATAACGGATTCATCTACTTCCCCTTGCAGTTATATTTTGATGCTTTGTTGTTACTCAAATACACATTAAAGACTGTTGTGTCTTCTAAGTGAAGTGATCACTTTATCATTATCTAAGGTCCCTCTTTAAATAGTTTTTCTTTTTCTGAAATCTTTTTGTCCAAAATTAATGTATCTGCTCCAGCTTTCTTTTTATTTGTATTAGCATGGTATATTTTTGCTTTTACTTTTTAAATAATAAAGCATGTGACCTTATTTTATTAGGAAAATTTACAAATGTAAAGTTGACCGAAAAGCATGAGGAGCACACATGTACCCGTCACCCAGCTTTAACAATTATGAACTGTGACCAATCATTTCCTCTGACTATTCCCACCCACTTTCTTCCCTCTCCTATTATTTTGAAGCTAATCTCATATATATCATTTCATTTGTAAATACTTTTGTATCTTTAAATAAGGATTCTCAATAACCATGACAACTAAAAATATCAATAATAATTCTTTAATATTATAAACTATTTTCACCAGGATCAAATTTTTAATTGTTTCATTAATATCATAATTTTTATATTTTATTTTTCTATTTTTACTGTGGTAAAATATATATAACCTATTATCTTTTTATTTTTTTATTTTTTTTTTATTTTTTGAGATGGAGTCTCACTCTGTCACCCAGGCTGGAGTGCAATGGCACAATCTCTGTTCACTGCAACCTCTGCTTCCCAGGTTCTAGAGAGTCTCCTGCCTCCGCCTCCCGAGTAGTTGGGATTACAGGCATCCACCACCACGCCAGTTAATTTTTGTATTTTTAGTAGAGACGGGGTTTCACCATGTTGGCCAGGCTGATGTCAAACTCCTGACCTCAAATGATGGGCCTGCCTTGGCCTCCCAAAGTGCTGGCATTACAGGCATGAGCCACCACACCCAGGCAATTGTTTATTTTAACCATTTGTAATTGAATAGCATTAAACACAATCACAATATGGTATAACTATCGCCATTGTCTATACTTGAAACTTTTTCATAGTCCCTAAACTTTGTGCCCATTAGCTAATAATCCCCTCCTCTTCCCTCTTCCCAGCCCCTAACATCTAGTTTACTCTCTGTGTCTAAATTTGCCCACTTAAAATACCTCATCTAAGAAGAATCATACAAGATTTGTCCTGTGTCTGGTTTATTTTACAAAGCATAATGTTTTCAAAAGTTCATTCAGTATATAGCATATGTCAAACTTCAATTCCTCTTTATGGCTGAATAGTGTAACTGCATGTATATACCACATTTTGCTCAAACATTCATCTGTCGATGGATACTTTGATTGTTTCCAACTTCTGGCTATTGTAAACAATGTTTCTATCAACATTAGTGTACAGATACCTTTTTTTTCCTTTTTTTTTTTGTTTTTTTTGAGACAGAGTCTACCTCTGTCACGCAGGCTGGAGTGCAGTAGTGCAATCTTGGCTTACTGCAACCCCCACCTCCCCAGTCCAAGTGACTCTCCTGCTTCAGCCTCCTGAGTAGCTGGGACTACAGCTACTGCACCACCATGCCCAGCTAATTTTTATATTTTAGTAGAGAAGGTGTTTTGCCATGTTGGCCAGGCTGGTCCCAAATTCCTGGCCTCAAGCGATATGCCTGCCTTGGCCTCCCAAAGTGCTGGGATTACAGGTGTGAGCCACCACACCCAGCCAGTGCACAGATATCTACTCTCAGACCTGTTTTTAGTTCTTTTGGATATCTACCTAGAGTGGAATATGGTAGTTCTATATCTATCTATTTGATAAACCAACAAATATTTTCACAGCAGCTTCACCATTTTACATTCCCACCAGCAATAGATGACAGTTCCAATTTCTCCACATCCTTTCCAAAACACAAATTTTCTTTATTTTTTAAATTATATCTATCTTCGTGCAGGTGAAGTGGCATCTCACAGAGCATTAGAGTTGCATTTCCCTAATGACTGATGATGTTAAGCATCTTTTCCTGTGTGTCCTCCCTGCTGGAACACAAATTTTTTTTTTTTTTTTTTTTTTTGAGACTGAGTTTCTCTCTTGTTGCCCAGGTTGGAGTGCAATGGCTCCATCTCAGCTCACTGCAACCTCTGCCTCCTGGGTTCAAGTGATTCTCCTGCCTCAGCCTGCCAAGTAGCTGGGATTACAGGCATGCGCTACCACGCCTAGCTAATTTTGTATTTTTAATTAGAGATGGGGTTTCTCCATGTTGGTCAGGCTGGCCTTGAACTCCCGACCTCAGGTGATCCACCCACCTAGGCCCCCCAAAGTGCTGGGATTACAGGCATGAGCCACCGTGCCCAGCCTTAGAACACAAAATTTTAACAGCTATCTGTACACAGAAAAGCACAATCACAAGAACCAAATATCAGGTGAGCAATCATGGAAAGAGGCATCGAGGAAGGCAGGAGAGTTATTCTCGACTCGCTGACACCACCCCACCCCACCCCTAGCAGCAGCTGTGCAGAGGCAGAGTGAGAGAGAGAATCTGTGCACATTGGGGAGGGAGAGCACAGCAACTGGAGGACTTTACATTGAACTCAGTGCCCTCCTGTCATGGTGGAAAATAAAGCCTTGCCAGGCTCAGCCAGTGCCTGTGCACAGAGGGAGCATGTGGACCAGCCATAGCCAGAGAGGAGTCATCCATCCCAGCAGTTAGAGCTTGCGTTTGTCAGCAAGCCTTGCCACCATGTGCTGGCTTGAAAGGCAGACTAGGACACAAGGACTACAATCCCTAGGCAACTCCTAGTGCTAGGCTGGGCTTAGAGCCAGTGAACTAGGGTGGCATGTGGCCTAGAGAGACACCAGCTGACATGGCTAAGGGAGGACCTGCACCATCCCTCCCCCAACCCTAGGCAGTGCAGCTTATAGCAATAAAAGTGACCCTTTCCTTCTGCTTAAAGAAAGGGGAGCAAAAAGTAAAGAGGACTTTGTCTTGCATCCTGAATACCAGCTCAGCCACAGTAGGATAGGGCACCAGGCACAATTGTGAGGACCCCTTTCCAGGTCCTAGCTCCCAGATAACATTTGTAGACACACCCTGGGCCAAAAGGAAACCTACTTCCTTGAAGGGAAGAACCTATTCCTGGCAGGATTCATCACTTGCTGAATAAAGAGCCCTTGGGCCCTGAATAACCATTAGTGATACAGGGAAGTACACTGTGCATCTTGGGCTCTGAGTTGCACTAGCTTCAGGGGAGAGCCAGCATTTTCCAAGCTGTGGTGGCTATGGTGAAAGACTCCTTCAGTTTGAGAAAAACAGAGGGAAAAGTAAAGGGGAGTTTGTCTTGCACCCTAGGTACCAGCTTGGCCATACTGGAGTAGAGCAACAAGCAGGCTCTTGGGATCCCTAAGTCCAGGCCTAAGTTCTTGTACAGCATTGCTAGAGTGGGCCTGGGACAGAGGGGAGCACACCGACCTGATGGGTGAGTCCCAGGTCTGGCAGCATGCATCGTGTGCTGATGGAAGAGCCTTGGGCTTTAAGCAAACATTGATGATTTGCTTAACCAGTGGTGGTGGTGGCTACAGGGAGGGGCTTCTCTGCCTATGAAATGAGGAGACTAAAGTGGGAAGGACTTTGTATTGTGGCTTGAATGCCAGCTTAACCTCAGTAGAATAGAACATCAGGTAAATTGCTAAGATTTTTTACTCCAATCCCTGGCTCCCAGATAGCATCTCTGGACATGCCCAGGGTTTGGGGGAACTTGCCACCCTGAAGGGAAGGGTCTTAGGCAAGGTCCAGTGCTGCAATGGCTTCATGTCTGACCCGGTGCAGTCTCAGTAGTGGTGATCACAGGAGTGCTTGCATCACCACACCTTCAGTTCTAGGTGGCTCAGCACAGAGAGACTCTGCATGTTTGGGACAAAAAAAAGGAAAAAGAATGAGTCTCTGCCTGATAATCCAGATAATTCTGGATCTCATCCAAGACCACCAACGCAATACTTCTATTCTACTAGTCTACAAAAACAACAGCATCATAGGGCTGGAGGCCCAAGGCCCTTCAAATAGCTAGAAAGCCTTCCCAAGAAGGATAGGCACAAACAAGCCCAGACTGTGAAGACTACAATAAATACCCAACTCTTCAATGCCCAGACAGCAAAGAACATCTACAAGCCTCAACACCATCCAGAAACATGACCCTACTAAATGAACTACATAAGGCACCAGGGACCAATCTGGAGAAATAGAGATATATGACCTTTGAGATAGAGAATTCAAAACAGCCATTTTGAGAAAACTAAAACAAATTCAAGATAACAAAGAGAAAGAATTCAGAATTCTATGATATAAATTTAACAAAGAGATTCAAATAATTTAAAATAAGCATAAACTCTAGAGTAGAAAAATATAATTGGCATTCTAAAGGATGCATCAGAGTTTCTTAAAAGCAGAATTGATGAATCAGAAGATAGAATTAGTGAGCTTGAAGACAGGAAGACAGGCTATTTGAAAATACACAGTCAGAGGAGACACAAGAAAAAAGTAAAAAAACACAATGAAGCACATCTATAAGATCTAGAAAAGAGCCTCAAAAGGACAAATCTAAGAGTTGTTGGCCTTAAAGAGGAGGCAGAGATAAAGATAAGGTTAGTTTATTCAAAAGGATAATATCAGAGAACTTCCCAAACCTAGAGAAATATCTCAATATTCAAGTACAATAAGGTTATAGAACACCAAGCTGATGTAACCCAAAGAAGACTACCTCAAGACATTTAATAATCAAACTCCCAAAGGTCAAAGATAAAGAATCCTAAAAACAGCAAGAGAAGGCCGGGTGCAGTGGCTCATGCCTGTAATCCCAGCACTTTGGCAGGCAAAGGCGGGTGGATCACGAGGTCAGGAGATCGAGATCATCCTGGCTAACACGGTGAAACCCTGTCTCTACTAAAAATACAAAAAATTAGCCAGGCATGGTGGTGGGTAGCTGTAGTCCCAGCTACTCGGGTATCAGGGGAACCCACCCCCAATATTTCAATGTAGGTTCTTTCTATTTTCCATAAGTGTTGGCTGGCTAAGAAATAAAGAGAAAGAATACAAAGAGAGGAATTTTACAGCTGGGCCTCTGGGGGTGACATTACATATTGGTAGGACCATGATACCCTCCTGAGCCGCAAAACCAGAGGGTTTTTATTAAGGGTTTCAAAAGGGGAGGGGGTGCAAGAACAGGGAGCAAGTCGCAAGATCACATGCTTCAAAGGGCAAAAAGGAGAACAAAGATCACATCCTTCTGAGGAAACAGGACAAGGGCAAAATCAGAAACTCCTGATAACAGTCCAACAAAGATCACAAGGCAAAGGGCAAAAAAAAAAAGATCACAAGGCAAAGGGCAAAAGCAGAATTACCGATAAGGGTCTATGTTCAGCGGTGCACATATTGTCTTGATAACCATCTTAAACAACAGAAAACAGGATTCGAGAGCAGAGAGCCAGTCTGACCTCAAATTTACTAGGGCAGGGTTTTTCCCCACCCTAGTAAGCCTGAGGGTACTGCAGGAGACCAGAGTGTATTTCAGTCCTTATCTCAACCACATAAGACAGACACTCCCAGAGCAGCCGTTTATAGACCTCCCCCCAGGAATATATTCCTTCCCCAGGGTATTAATTATTAATATTCCTTGCTAGGAAAAGAATTTAGTGATATCTTCCCTACTTGGACATCTGTTTATAGGCTCTCTGCAAGAAGAAAAATATGGCTCTATTTTGCTTGACCCCACAGGCACTCAGACCTTATGGTTGTCTTCCCTTCTTCCCTGAAAATAGCTGTTATTCTGTTCTTTTTCAAGGTGCACTGATTTCATATTGTTCAAACACACATGTTTTACAATCAATTTGTACAGTCAACACAATTATCACAGTGGCCCTGAGGTGATGTACATCCTCAGCTTATGAAGACAATAGGATTAAGAGATTAAAGTAAGACAGGCATAAGAAATTATGAAAGCATTATTTTGGAACTGGTAAATGTCCATGAAATCTTCACAATTTATGTTCCTCTGCCGCGGCTCCAGCCGGTCCCTCCGTTCAGGGTCCCTGACTTCCCGCAACACTCGGGAGACTGAGGCTGGAGAATGGCGTGAACCTGGGAGGTGGAGCTTGCATTGAGCTGAGATTGCGCCACTGCACTCCAGCCTGGGCAACAGAGTGAGACTCTGTCTCAAAAAAAGAAAAAAAAAAAAACAGCAAGAGAAAAGAAACAAATAACATAAAATGGACCTCTAATATGTCTGACCGCAGACTTTTCCGTGGAAAACTTAAAGGCCAGGAGAGAGTGGCATAACATATTTAAAGTGCTGAAGGAAAAATCCTTTCCTCTAGAAGAGTATATCTTGCAAAAATATCCTTTAGACATGAAAAAGAAATAAAGGCCTCCCCAGAACAAACAAAAGCTGAAGGATTTCATCAACACCAGACCTGTCCTACAAGAAATGCTAAAGGGAGTTCTTCAGTCTGAAAGAAAAGGATGTCACTGAGCAAGAAGAAGACATGTGAAGGTGCAAAACTTACTGGTAATAGTAAGCATATGGAAAAACACAGAGGAGTATAACACTGTAATTCTAGTGTGTAAATTTCTCTTGACTTAAGTAGAAAGACTAAATAATGAACAAATCAAAAATAATAACTACAACATTTCAAGACATGGACAATACAATAAGACATAAGAGAAACAACAAAAAGTTAAAAAGTAGGAGGATGAAGTTATAGTGTAGCATTTTTATTCATTTTCTTTGCATGTGTTTGTTAGTTGGTTTATACAATCAGTGTCAAGTTGTCACCAGTTAAAAATAATGGATTGGCCAGACACAGTGGCTCATGCCCATAATCACAGCACTTTGGAAGGCTGAGGTGGGCAGACTGCTTGAGCCTAGGGTTCAAAACTAGCCTGAGCAACATGGCAAAACACCATTTCTAAAAAAAAGAAAAAAAATACAAAAATTACCCAGGCATGGTGGCATGCACCTGTAGTCCCAGCTACTTGGGAGGCTGAGGTGGGAGAATCAACTGAGCCCAGGAAGTCAAGGTTTCACTGAGCTATGAACAAGCCACTGCACTATAGCCTGGGTGACAGAGTGAGACCTTGTCTCCAAGAAATTAATTAATTAATTAATTAATCAGTTATAAGATAGTATTTGCAAGCCTCATAGTAACTCAAATCGAAAAACATGCAGCAGCTGCACAAAAAATAAAAAGCAAGAAATTAAAGCATACCACCAGAGAAAATCACCTTCACAAAACAGAAGACTGGAAGAAAGGAAAAAAGGAAGAGAAGACCACAAAACGACCAGAAAACAATAACAAAATGGAGGAGTAAGTCCCTACTTATCAAAAATATCATTGAATGTAAATGGACTAAGCTCACCAATCAAAAGACTCAAAGAATGGTTGAATGGATGAAAAAACAAGACCCAATGATCTGTTGCCTATAAGAAACACACTTGACCTACAAAGATACACATAGACTGATGGTATGGTAAAATCATAAGGTGATAGTAAAATAAAGGGATGATAAAAGATATTTCATGCCAATGGGAACCAAAAAAGAGCAGGAGTAGCTATAGGTATTTCAGACAAAATAGATTTCAAGATAAAACTGAAAGAAGAGAACAAGAAGATCATTATATAAATGATACAGGGGTCAAATCAAGAAGATATAATAATTGTAAATATAGATGCACCCAACACTGGAGCACCCAGGTATATAAAGCAAATATTATTGTAGCTAAAGAGAGAGATAGACCCCCAATACAATAATAGCTGGCGACTTCAACACCCCCCTTTCAGCATTGGACAGATCTCCCAGACAGAAAATCAACAAAGAAACATCAAACTTAATCTGCCCTATAGAAAAATGGACCTAATAGATATTTGCAGAACATTTCACCCAATGGCTGCAGAATACACATTTTTCTCCTCAGCACATGGATCATTCTCAAGGATAGATCATATTTTAGGTCACAAAATGAGCCTTAAAACATTCAAAAAAGTGAAATAATATCAAGCATCTTCTCTGACCACAATGAAAGGAAACAATAACAAGAAGAATTTTGCAAAACTATACAAGCATATGGAAATTTAAAAATACACTCCTGAAGGACTAGTGGATCAGTGAAGAAACCAAGAAAGAAACTGAAAAATTTTTTTTTGAAACAAATGATAATGAAAACACAACATACCAAAACCTACAGTGAAAGCAGTTATAAGAGGGAAATTTATAGCTGTAAGTGCCTACTTCAAAAAATACGAACAACTTCACATAAATAACCTAATGATACATCTTAAAGAATTAGAAAAGCAAGAGAAAACTGATCCCAAAATTAGTAGAAGAAAGGAAATAATAAAGATCAGAGCAGAAATAAATGAATTTGAAATGAAGAAAACAATACAAGGCCGGGCACAGTGGCTCATGCCTGTAATCCTAGCACTTTGAGAGGTTGAGGCAGGTGGATCACCTGAGGTTGGGAGTTCAAGACCAGCTTGACCAACATAGAGAAACCCCATCTCTACTAAAAATACAAAATTAGCTGGGCGTGGTGGCACATGCCTGTAATCCCAGCTACTCAGGAGGCTGAGGCAGGAGCATCACTTGAACTCGGGAGATGGAGGTTGCAGTGATCTGAGATCACGCCATTGCACTCCAGCCTGGGCAACAAGAGTGAAACTCCGTCTCAAAAACAAACAAACAAAGAAACAAACAAACAAACCAAAAGGAAACAATACAAAAAATCAATAAAACAAAGAGTTGTTTTTTGCAAAGATAAATACAATTGACAAACATTTAGGCAGACTAAGAAAAAAAGAGAAAACACGCATAAATAAAATCAGAGATGAAAAATAAGCCATTATAACTCTGAAATTCAAAGGATCATTAGTGGCTACTATAAGCAACTATGTGCCAATATATTGGAAAATCTAGAAGAAACAGATAAATTCCTAGACACATACAACTTACTGATATTGAACCATGAAGAAACCCAAAACCTGAACAGATCAATAACAAGTAACAAGAGCAAAGCCATAATAATAAGTCTCCCAGTAAAGAAAAGCCTGGGACTTAATGACTTAACTGCTGAATTCTACCAAAAATTTAAAGAAGAATTAATACTAATCCTACTCAACTATTCCAAAAAATAGAGGAAGAGGGAATACTTCCAAACTCATTCTTTGAGGCCAATATTACCCTGATAAAAAAACTAGACATAGACACATCAAAAAAAGGCAACTACAGGCCAATATCTCTTATGGATATTGGTACAAAAATCCTCAACAGAATTCTACATTAAAAAGATCGTTCATCAGCCAGGCATGGTGGCTCATGCCTGTAATCCCAGCACGTTGGGAGGCCAAGGCAGGAGGATCACCTGAGGTCAGGAGTTCAAGACCAGCCTGGCCAACATGGCAAAACCCCGTCTCTACTAAAAATACAAAAATTAACCAGGCATGATGGTGGGTGCCTGTAATCCCAGCTACTCTGGAGGCTCAAGCAGGAGAATCGTTTGAACCCAGGAGGTGGAGGTTGCAGTAAGCCAAGATTGTGCCACTGCACTCCAGCCTGGGCAACAAAAGCAAAACTCTGTCTCAAAAAATAAAATAAAATAAAATAAAATAAATAAAATAAAATAAAATAAAATAAATAAAATAAAATAAAATAATAAAATAAAATAAAATAGATTCTGACCAGGCCCAGTAGCTCATGCCTGTAATCCCAGCATGAGGCTGAGGCAGGTGGATCACCTGAGGTCAGGAGTTCAAGACCAGCCTGGCCAACATGGCGAAACCTCATCTCTACTAAAAATATAAAAATTAGCTGGATGCTGTGGCACATGCCTGTAGTCCCAGCTACTCAGGAGGCTGAGGCTGGAGAGTTGCTTAAACCTGGGAGGCAGAAGTTTCAGTGAGCTGAGATCACGCCACTGCACTCCAGCCCGGGCGACAGAGCGAGACTCTGTCTCAAAAAATAAAATAAAATAAAATAAGATTCTATCATTTGATGTTCATGGAACTGGAAGTCATTATGTTAAGTGAAATAAGCCAGGCAGAGAAAGACAAACATTGCATGTTCTCACTTAACTGTGGGATCTAAAAATCAAAACAATTGAACTCATGAAGATAGAGAATACAAGGATTGTTCCCAGAACCTAGGAAGGGAAGTGGGTGGGCAGAGGGGAGGTAGGCATGGTTAGTGGATACTAAAAAAATGTTAGAAAGAATGAATAAGACCTACTATCTGATGGCACAGCAGGGGAACTGTAGTCAATTATAACTAAACTGTACATGTTAACATAACTAAAAAAGATATAACTGGATTGTTTGTAACACAAAGGATAAATGCTTGAGGGGATAGATGCCTACAGCAAAATGTCTCATGTAAACCATAAACATATACACCTACTATGTACCCACAAAACTTGTTTTTAATTATTTTATTTTATTTTTGAGACGGAGTCTTGCACTGTCGCCGGGGCTGGAATGCAATGGCGCGATCTCAGCTCACTGCAACCTCTGCCTCCCGGATTCAAGCAATTCTCCTGCCTCAGCCTCCCAAGTAGCTGAGATTACAGGTGCCCACCACCACACCCAGCTAATTTTTTGTATTTTTAGTAGAGAGAGGGTTTCACTATGTTGGCCATGCTGGTCTTGAACTTCTGACCTTGTGATTTGCCTGCCTCAGCCTTCCAAAGTGCTGGGATTACAGGCGTGAGCTATTTTTTTTTTTAAAGACACACACACAGACTGAAAGTAAAGAGATGGAAAAAGATATTCCAGGAAAACACAAACCTACAGAAAACATGGTTGGGTATACTTAGATAATGTAGACTTTAATTTAAAAACTATAAAAAGAGTCAAAGAAGATCATTACATAATGATAAAGGGCACAGTTTAGCAAAAGGATATAATAAGTATAAATATATTTGCACCCAACACTGGAGAAATCAGATATATAAAGCAAATATTATTAGACCTAAAGGGAGAGATAGATCCCAGTACAGTAATAGTAGAGGACTTCAACACACCACGTCAGCATTGGACAGATCATCTAGACAGTAAATCAACATAGAAACATCAGATTTAAACTGCACTTTAGACCAAATAGACCTAACAGACACAGAGCATTTCATCCAGCAGCTGTAGAACACATATTCTTTTCATCAGCACATGGAACACTCTTCAGGATAGACCATATGTGCAGACACAAAACAAGTCTCAACAATTTTTTCAAAATTGAAACTATATCAAGTATCTTTCCTGATCACAGTGAAATAAAACTATAAATCAATAACAAAAGGAACTTTGGAAACTGTATGAATACATGGAAATTAAACAACATGATTCTGAAGGACCAATGAGTCAATGAATTAAGAATAAAATTTAAAAATTTCTTGAAACAAATGAAATTAGAAACACAACATACCGGCAGGGTGCGGTGGCTCACACCTGTAATCCCAGCACTTTGGGAGGCCAAGGTGGGCAGATCACAAGATCAGGAAATCAAGACCATCCTGGCCAACATGGTAAAACCACATCTCTACTAAAAATACAAAAAAATTAGCTGGGTGTGTGTTGGGGTGATCAGATCCAACACCAGGCCATGGGGGCTACAAAGTCCTGTGGAGCCAAAGGAACAAGACAAGACAAGCGTACATAAAGTGGGACCAGGGGGCCAATGCTGGTATGGAGGCTGCAAAGGTCCTGAGCTCTGGAAGCCTGCGGTATTTATTGGTGATCAAACAAAGAAGCAGGTAGTGAGGATGTGGGGGTTGAAAGAAAGCAGTGCATCAAGTGCATAATCTACAGCTGTGACAGTTTAGCATTTTCTTTGAAGCATATGGAACATGTTCTGCTACTTGAGATAATGGGAAACATGTTCTTCTAGTTTAAGATACAATCGATCTATGAGCCTGGGAATGCTAGAAGCAAGAAGCCAGCAAGCCTAGACACATTCCAGAGACCACGAGGGGTTTTATACCCTGAGCCCTGGATTCCATCCAAGCCACGAGGGGTTTTATGCCCTGGGCTTAGATTATGGTGTGACAGGGCAGCCTTCCACCCTTTAGCACAGAGCTTGGTGTTCCAAAGGCCACGAGGGGTTTTAGACCCTGGACCTCGGACATACTCCAAGACTCTTTTACATTATATCAGTCATGCAAGCCCTGACTCAGCTTTTTTCCCAACACTCAGCTTTTCCCCAACAGGTGTGGTGGCGCGCACCTGTAATCCCAGCTACCCGGGAGGCTGAGGCAGAATTGCTTGAATCCTCAAGGCAGAGATTGCAGTGAGCCAAGATCACGCCACTGTACTCCAGCCTGGTGACAGAGCTAGACTCCATCTAAAAAAAAAAGAAAAAAAGAAACACAGCATACCAAAAGCTATGGGATAAAGCAAAAGCAGTACTAAGAGGGAAATTTATAGCAATAAATGCTGACATCAAAAACAAAAGAAAGATTTTAAATAAACAACCTAATGATGCACTTCAAGGAACTAGAAAAGATAGAACAAACCAAATTAGCAGAAGGAAATTAGTAGAAGGAAAAAAATAATAAAGATCAGAGCAAAAACAAAACAAAATAGAGACTAAAATATATATATGAAAGATCAATAAGGCCGGGTGCAGTGGCTTACACCTGTAATCCCAGCACTTTGGGAGGCCGAGGCAGGCAGATCACCTGAGGTCAGGAGTTCAAGACCAGCCTGAGCAGCATGGAGAAACCCCATCTCTACTAAAAATACAAAATTAGCTGGGCATGGTGGTACATGCCTGTAACCCCAGCTACTCGGGAGGCTGAGGCAGGAGAACTGCTTGAACCCAGGAGGCAAAGGTTGTGGTGAGCTGAGATTGCGCCAGCCTGGGCAACAAGAGTGAAACTCCATCTCAAAAAAAAAAAAAAAAAATCAATAAAAAGAAAAGTTGGTTTTTTGAAAAGATAAACTAAATTACCAAACCATTAGCTAGGCTAATTTAAAAAAGGACAGAAAACCCAAATAAATAAATCAGAAGTGAAAAGGGAGACATTACAACTGATACCACAGAAATACAATGAATCATTAGAGATTATGAAGAACTGTATGCCAAGAAATTGACAAACCTAAAATAAATGGACATATTTCTAGACACATATAACCCACCAGAATTATACCGAAAGAAATAAAAAGCATGACCAGACCAATAATAGGCAATTAAATTAAATCAGTAATAAATAAAAGTCTCACAAAAAGAAAAGCTCAGGGCCAGATAGTTTCACCGCTGAATTCTACCAAACTTTTAAAGAACTCGCTCCAATTCTTCTTAAACTCTTCCCAAAAATTGAAAGACAGGGAATTCCAAATTCATTTCACAAAGCCAGTATAAACCAAAAAAGTGTCTGAGACAGGCCTCAATCGATTTAGAAGTTTATTTTGCTAAGGTCGAGGATATACCCAGGAAAAAGAGACACAGTCACAGTAGAATTTGGGGCCTACACTTTTTCCAAAGTGGGTTTTGAGGGCTTCAATATTTAAAGTGGAAAAACTAGGCAGGAGGAAAAAGATGAAAGAAAAAGAAGAGGGAGGATATACGGTGAAGTAAGTGGTCACATTCTTATGAGGCTTTGACCAGCACTCACTGAATCCACATGTTGCACATAATAGGAGGGAGTAAAGGAACAGTCAATTATGTATTTGTCTTGTGCTCAGTAAATCTTCATTTTACGTAAGATAAAGTAAACATAGAGAAAGAAGTCAAATATGCATTTATCTCAGAGTAGGTAGGGGGATGATTTCTAGCCTTGCCTTATCCTATACTCATAAAGATAAGCTGTTAATTTACATTATCAGGGTGAGGGAGGCCACCTGAGGAGATGCATGCCCTTCTATCTTTCAGCTGTTGCTTTAAGAACAAGAAGAAAGGCAGTTTTTTGCTTGACTCAGTTTCCAAGCTTAACTCTTCCCTTTGGCATAGTGAGTTTGAGGTCTCAAGATTTTATTTTCTTGTCACACCAGCATTACCCTGACACCAAAACCAGAAAAAGACACAGCAAAAAAGAAAAGTACAGGCAACCCTCAATAAAATACTAGCATATCAAATCCAACAGAACATCAAAAAGATTATACACCATGGCCTACAGGGATTTATTCTAAGGATGCAAGAATATTTCAAGACATACCAGTCAATAAATGTGACATATCACATCAATAGAAACAATAACATAACAAAGACGATAACTTGGCTGGGCATGGTGGCTCACGCCTGTAAACCCCGCACTTTGGGAGGCCAAGGCAGGTGGATTGCTTGAGCTCAAGAGTTGGAGACCAGCCTGGCAATAGGGTAAAAACCCATTTCTAAAAAAAAAAAAAATACAAGAATTGGCCAGGTGTGGTGGTGCATGCCTGTAGTCCCAGCTGTTTGGGAGGCTGAGGAGGGAGGATCACTTAAGCCTTCAGTGAGCCGAGAATGCACCACTGCACTCCAGCCTGGACGACAGAGCCAGAACCTGACTCAAAAAAACAAAGTAACAAAAAAAAGGTAATTCAATATTCAATATATGCAGTAAAAGCATGTGATAAAATTCAATATCCCTTCAAGATAAAAACTCTCAACAAATTACTATAGAAGAAACATACCTCAACATAATAAAAGCCATAGATGACAAACCCCCACAGCCAATGTCATACCGAAGAGCAAAAAGCTGAAAACCTCTCCTCTAAGAACTGGAACAAGACAAGGATGCCCACTTTTACCACTCTTACTCAGATAGCACCGTAAGTCTTAGCCAGAGCAATTAGACAAGAGAAAGAAATCAATGCATCCAAGTTGGAAAAGAGGAAGTCAAATTGTCCCTGTTTGGTTTTCATCCACTGTTTCTGGATCATAATTCCCATACTCCTTGATACAGTCTTTTGTTATAAGGTTGGGGGCATTAGGCCTCAAGGACAGGCCTCTGACATTCTCCTGCCCTCCTTTCACTCTAATGTTCCCCTGCCTTTCTGATTGTGAGTCTCCAGGGGGTCTCACCCTATACCTCTGGGGGAAGAATGCTGCTGCCTTGAAACTTCCATAAAAATCCAAGAGGACAGGGTTCAGTGAGCTTCCTGATAGCCGAACACATGGAAGCCGACAGGAAGGTGAAGAAAAACTCGCCCACGTGCTGGGAGGGTGGCGCACTCCAGCTCCACAGGATCAGAAGCTCCTGCATTTGGGACCCTTGCAGATCTCATCCTATATATCTCTTCATCTGGTTATCTGCATCCTTTAAAATATACTTCTTAGTATAACAGTAAATGTAAGCGTTTGAGTTCTGGGAGCCACTCTAACAAATTAATTAAATCCAAAGAGGGTGTTGTGGGAACCCCAACTTGAAGGCAATCAGTCAGAAGTTCCAGAGGCCTGGACTTGGGACCGGTGGGTGAGGGGAAGGAGAGAATAGGCTTGGGGACTGAGTCCTTAACCTGTGGGATCTGGCACTCTCTCCATGTAAATAGTGTTAGAATGGAATTGAAGAACATTCAGCTGGTGTCTGCTGCTTGGTTGCGGGGAAAGATCCCCATACATCTGGTCATAGAAGTTTTCTTCTGTGTAGATGATTGTTGAGATGGGAGAGTAGAGGAAAACATGATTTGAGGAGAGATTTTTCCCCATGCATATGAAGAAAAACTTTCTCTGCTGAATTCTACCAAATTTTCAAAGAACTCACTCCGATTCTTCTCAAACTCCTCCAAAAAATTGAAAGAGAAGGAATTCTAAATTCATTTCACAAAGCAAGCATACACCAAAAAAGTGTCTGAGACAGGTCTCAATCAATTTAGAAGTTTATTTTGCCAAGGTCGAAGATGTACCTAGGAAAAAGAGACGCAGTCATGGTAGGATTTGGAGCCTACACTACTTTTTGGTAGTGTTAGAACTGATAAACAAATTCAGTAAAGTTGAGAATGTAAAATCAGCATACAAAAATTAGTAGCATTTCTATGCACCAATAACAAACTTTCTGAAAATGAAATCAAGAAAGCAATTGTATTTTAAAAGGCGACCAAAAAAAAAAAATGCCTAGGAATAAATTTAACCAAGGAGGTGAAAGACCTTTACAATGAAAACAATAAAAGACTGATGAAAAAAATTGAAGAGGACCTAAAAATGAAAAGACATTCCATGTTCATGGGTTGGAAGAATTAATATTGTTAAAATGACCACACTATTCCAAATGATCTACAGATTAAGTGCAATCTCTATCAAAATATCAATGATATTCTTTGCAGAAATAAAAACAATCCTAAAATTCATATGGAACCACAAAAGACTTGGACTAGCCAAAGCAAACCTGAGAAAAAGAACCAAGCTGGAGGCATCACACTACCTGACCTCAAAATATAGTACAAGATAGTAACCAGAAAAGCACAGTACTGGCATAAAAACAGGTACATAGACTACTGAAACAGAATAGAGAACCCAGAAATAAATACATGTATCTACAGCCAACTGATTTTCAACAAAGACATCAAGAATATACATTGGCAAAAGGACAGCCTCTTCAATAAGTGGTAATGAGAAAACTGGATATCCATATGCAGAAGAATAAAACTAGACCCCTATCTCTCACCATATACAAAAATAAACTCAAATGGATTACAGACTTAAATGCAAGACCCAAAACTATAAAACTACCAGAAGAAAACATAAGGAAAATGCTTAGGTCATTGATCTAGGCAAATATTTTATGGATGAGAACACAAAAGCACAGGCAACAACGAAAAAATAGACAAATGGGATTATATCAAACTCAAAAGCCTCTGCACAGCAAAGGAAACAATCAACAGAGTAAAGAGTCAACTTGCAGAATGGAAGAAACTATTTACAAACTACTCATTTGACAAGGGATTAACATCCAGAATAAACAAAGAACTCAAATAACTCAACAGCAAATAAAACACAACAAAAAATAACCCTGTTTTTTTTAAATGGGCAAATGATCTAAGTAGGCATTTTTCAAAAGATCTACAAATGGCCAACAAGTATAAGAAAAAAATGCTTAATATCACTAACCATCAGGGAAATGAAAATCTAAACTGCAATGAGATTTCATTTCATCCCAATCAGAATAGCTATTATCAAAAAGACAAAAAATAACAAATACTGGAGAGGATGCAGATTAAAGGGAATTCTTACACACTGTTGGTGGATATGTAAATTAGTACAGCCGCTATGGAAAACAGTATGGAGGTTCCTCAAAAAACTAAAAATTAAGCTACCATATGATCCAGCAATCCCACTACTCGATATACATCCAAAGGAAAGAAAATCAGTATGTTAAAGAGATATCTGGCTTTCTGCCTCCACTACTGCCATGGTGCCCGTGAGAAAGCTTGTGGAGAAGGTGGGCAAAAAAAAAGCAGGTTCTGAAGTTCACTCTTGATTGCACCCACCCCATAGAAGATGGAATCGTAGATGCTGCCAATTTTGAGCAGTTTTTGCAAGAAAGGATCAAAGTGAACGGAAAAGTTGGGAACCTTGGTGGAGGGGTGGTGACCATCGAGAAGAGCAAGAGCAAGATCACCGTGACATCCAAGGTACCTTTTTCCAAAAGGTATTTGAAATATCTCACTAAAAAATATTTGAAGAAGAATAATCTTCATGATTGGTTGTGCATAGTTGCTAACAGTAAAGAGAGTTACAAATTATGTTACTTCCAAATTAACCAGGATGAAGAAGAGGATTAAATTTCATTTATCTGAAATATTTTGTATGAGTTCTTGAATAAAACTTGGGAACCAAATTGGTGGTTTATCATTGTGTCTCTGCAGTGTAGATTGAACAGAGAATTGGAAATCATAGTCAAAGGGCTTCCCTTGGGCCGCCACTCGCTTATTTGTAACATGATTTTTTTTATTTTTTATTTTTTTCTGCTTGAAATTTTCAGTTCTTGTGGTAATACTAGAGTAGAAGGAGAGGGTAACTTTACGGAACTGACAGACATTGGGCAGACAGATGAGGGCGTGGAGGTATGGACTGAAGGGAGTGACTGTTTTATTTTAAAAAGTGTGACTGTCAATTGTTTCTGTTGCTTTTCCCAAAGAATGATTCAGGGATACACGTGGGCTCCTCTCATTCATTAAAAGAAAAGGTGGCCAGGTGCCGTGGCTCACACCTGTAATCCCAGCACTTTGGGAGGCTAAGGCTGGAGGATCATGAGGTCAGGAGTTTGAGACCAGCCTGGCTAACATGGTAAAAGCCCGTCTCTACTAAAAATACAAAAATTAGCCAGGCGTGGTGGCAGGTGCCTGTAATCCCAGCTATTCGGGAGGCTGAGGCAGGAGAACTACTTGAACATGGGAGGTGGATGTTGCAGTGAGTCGAGATTGCACCACTGCAGACTCCGTCGCAAAAAGAAAAAAAAAAAGTGACATCTTTCTAAGATTCTCTGTCTGCAAAAATGACAGTGTCAATTGTCAATAAAATGCAGGTTTCTGGGCCATTAATCTTACTTTGATTTTTTTATTACAAATTTCTCTTCATGCACACAATTATGTCTACTAATCCTCTTCTTCCTAGAGAGAGAAACTGTGCTCCTTCAGCATTGCTGCGTAGTCTGTCACTCTCCATAAAGGGGTTTGGGGAATCTATTGTAAAAGTCCCAGGTTCTAAATTAACTAAATGTGTACAAAAATGAATGTGTAAGTAATCTGTTTCTACACGTCTTTGCAACAATCTGTCACTTTGGTCTCCAGCAGAGGGAGCTGGAGGAATAGTGCTTCCAGATGTGGCCTCCTGTGTGGGGCCTGAAGTGGTTGGGAAGCCTCCCATGCCAAGGAGAAGGGAGGTGCCTGGGAAATAGCTGCCTCATGCGACTTAGGCCATGACTGGATTTAATGTCAGAAGTCATTCTACAGTGGTGAGGCGCAGTGTGTGCAGAGGCTAGAGAACTGTGGAAGGGGGCTACCAAGGCTGGAATAAAAAGACAGAATTGTTGCCGTGAGTGACTTTGAAAGACCCTGGTGACTTGTGGTGCCCTTCTGAAATTTGAACAATAATGCAGAAGTGTGTGTTTTAGAATTTACGGTGTATAAAATTCATGTTTTTAAAAGAACTTGCCTACAGATGGTTTCCACACCTGAAATTGTGCTCTGTGAGTTGCATAGCTGGAAATTCAATGTTCAATCCTACTTTGGCTCCAATTTAACATTTGGTGCTCTGTGGATTGAGCTGAACGTGTTGAGGCTTTGCAATTTCACTTGTCTTAAAGGCTTTAGCATTTTCCATTCCTAGCAGATTTCTTTGAAGCAGAATTGCCTGCATATTTCTTCTCTGCCTTCACAGAAGGCAGAGTTTCTTTCAAACTTCACTGAGGCATCAGTTGCTCTGTGGCAATGTCCCTTACCATGATTATTAACTGTAAGTTTGTGGCTTGAGTTTACAAATTTTACTTGTTTGTTGCATTGATGTTCCCACGTAGTAAGTAATTTTTAGTTTGGTTGTGAAAAAACCCGGAGCTGAAGTTAGCATTTAAGTTAAAAAACAAAACAAAACAAAAACAAAAAAACTAGTTCCAGATTTAAAAACTTGTAATGAAATTGAAACTCACTGGTTTTTCTCTGAACTCTTGTAGTCAGGTTTTGATCACATTTTCTATTAAAGTGACTAACACATGGCTACAAAAAAAAAAAAAGATCTGCATTCCTGTGTTTATTGCAGCACTATTCATGATGGCCAAGATATGATATCAACCTAAGTGCTCACCAACAAATTAATGGATAAATAAAATGTGGTCTATAACCACAATGAAAAATAAAAATAAAAAATAAAATTCTGTCATTTACAGCAACATGAATGAACCTAGAGGATTTTGTGTTAACTGAAATAAGCCAGGCACAGAAAGATAAATACCACATGTTCTCACTTATAAGTGGAAGAATAAAAAGTTGAGCTCATAGAAGCAAAGAGTAGAATAGTGGTTACTAAAGGCTGGGAAAGGCAGGGAGGTGGGGAGAATAGGGGGAGGTTAGCTAATGGACAAAAAATTGCAGCTGGATAGGAGGAAAAAGTTCTAATGTTCTGTAGCATTGTAGGGTGACTATAGTTAACAATAATTTATTATGTATTTTTAATAGCTAGAACAGAGGATTTTGAATGTTCCTACCACAAGGAAATTATAAATGTTTGAGGTGATTGATATGTTAATTATCCTGATTTGAGCATCACACTTTGTATACATGTATCAAAATATCATACTGTGCCCCAAAAATCTGTGAAATTATTATGTGTCAGTTAAAAACAAAAAAAGAAAAAATCCATTCACCATATATATGAGACCTTTTTCTGACTCTCGATTCTATTTCATTGGATATGTCTGTCCTTATGCCAGTGCCTTCTGTTTTAATTACTGTAGCTTTGTAGTAAGTTTTGAAATCAGAAAGTGTGAGTCTTCCAACTCTATTCTTCCTTATCAAGATTGTTTTGGCTATTCAGGGTCACTTTCAATTCTATGTAAATTTGAGGATCAGCTTCCTCATTTGTGGAAAAGAAAAGGCTGTTGGAATTTTAGAAGAGATTGTGTTGAATTTGCTGATCATTTTCAGTAGTATTGACATCTTAACAGTGGTAAGTCTTCCTATCCACAGACACAGAATGTATTTTCAATTACTTTGATCTTTTTAATTTTTTGTAGTTTTTATCTTTTATAGTTTTCAGTGTATCAATCTTTCACCTCTTCAGTTAGATTTATTTCTAAGTATTTAATTTTTTAGATGCTATTGTAAATGGAATTTCTTCTTAATTTCCTTCTAGTGTATAGAAAACAATTTGTTTTTGTGTGCTGATTTTGTACACTGCAACTTTGCTGAATTCATTCATTAGCTCTGAGTTTTCTTGTGGATTCTGTGGGGTTTTGTATACAAAGAATTATGTCATCTACACACAGAAATAGTTTCACCTATTCCTTTAGATTTGGATGACTTTTTTTTTTTGAGATGGAGTCTCACTCTGTTGCCCTGACTGGAGTGTAATGGCATGATCTTGGCTTACTGCAACCTCCACCTTCTAGGTTCAAGCAATTCTCCCACCTCAGTCTCCCAAGTAGCTGGGATTACAGGCACCCGACATCATGGGGGGCTAATTTTTGCATTTTTGTAGAGACAGGGTTTTGCCATATTGGCCAGGCTGGTCTTGAACTCCTGATCTCAGGTGATTCAGCTGCCTCAGCCTCTCAAAGTGCTGGGATTACAGGTGTGAGCCATCGCGCCCGGCCACTTTGTTTTTTGTATTTTTTGTAGAGACAGGGTGTCACTATGTTGCTGAGGCTGGGCTCAAACTCCTGCGCTCAAAGGACCTGCCCACCTCGGCCTCCCAAAGTGCTGGGATTACAGGCGTGAGCCACCACACCCGGTCTATTTGCTTTTCTTGTCTAGCTAGAACTTTCAATTCAGTGTCAAACAGCACTGGGAAACTTTTTCTTGTGCCTTGTCTTAAGGGGAACTTATTCAGTTTTTTTTACCATTGAATATAATGTTAGCTGTAAGTTTTCCAGAAACACACTCTATCATGTTGAGAAATTTTCCCTCTGTTCCTAATTTGCTGAGAGTTTTGTTTGTTTGTTTGTTTGCTTGTTTTTGTTTTTTGTTTTTTGAGATGGAGTCTCACTCTGTTGCCGAGGCTGGAGTGCAGTGGCACCATCTCAGCTCACTGCAACCTCTGCCTCCCTGGTTCAAGCAATTCTCCCTGCCTCAGCCTCCCAAGAAGCTGGGATTACAGGTGCCCACCACCATGCACGGCTAATTTTTGTATTATTTAGTAGAGACGGGGTTTCACCGTGTTGGCCAGGCTGGTCTTGAACTCCTGACTTCAGCTGATTCACCCATCTAGGCCTCCCAAAGTGCTGGCATTACTGGTGTGAGCCGCTGCACCCAGCCGAGAGTTTTTATTATGAAAGGATGTTAAAATTCCTCAAATGCTTTTTCCATGTCAATTGAGATGATAATGTGATTTTTTTTCCTTTGTTCAAATAATGTGATGTACTACATTGATTAATTTTCTTCTGTTGAAACGTCCTTGCATTCATGGTAAAATCCCATTCAATTGTGAATAATCCTTATAGTATACTGATGGAGTCAATTTGCTAATTTTTTTTTTTTTTTTTTTTTTTTTGAGCTGGATTCTCACTCTGTCACCCAGGCTGGAGTGCAGTGGCATGATCTCAGCTCACTGCAACCTCCGCCTCCTGGGTTCAAGCAATTCTCCTGCCTCAGCCTCCAAGTAGCTGGGATTACAGGCACCTACCACCATGCCAGGCTAATTTTTGTATTTTTAGTAGAGGCAGGAGTTCACCATGTTGGCCAGGCTGGTCTTGAACCCCTGACCTCAGGTGATCTGCCTGCCTCGGCCTCCCAAAGTGCTGGGATTACAGGCGTGAGCCACCATGCCCAGCCTTGCTAATATTTGTTAAGGATTTTCCATCTATATTTATAAGCAATGTTAGTCTGCAATTTTCTTTTCTTGCAATATCATCTGGCTTTAATAGCAAGGTAATGCTGGTTTCACAGAATGCATAGCAAGTGTTCCTTGCTATCCCCAAAACTTCAATTTTTTGGATTATCTGAGAAATAATTTGTGTCAATTTCTCTTTCTTTAGTAGAATTCACCTGTGAAGCCATCTGATTCAGGACTTTTCTTTTGGGGAAGTTTTTTCTTAATTATGTTTACAATCACTTTGTTATAGAACTGTTGAGATTTTCTATTTCTTCTGTCAACCTACATAATTTCTATGTTTCAATAAATTTCTTCATTTCATCTAGGTTGTCTATTTTTTCATCTATTTTTCTATTCTCTTTTAATCCATTATTTCTGTAAAATCAGTGGTAATGTCTCCATTTTTACTTTTATTATTATTTTTTGCATGTTTAGAGCTTTATCATCAGTCTATGCATAACTAAAGTTCAAGGCAAATTTAATTTTGCTTAAGGGAACATTGTAAAGTAACAATTCTTGGTATTACATGCCTCACATGATCCATTTCAAACCATAGAGAATTATACCTTTGTGTCACTGTTTCAAGAGACAAACACATTTGAACAGCTAAAACATCTTAAAAATGCACCAAGCTTATGAAGTCTCAAACAAAACTTGAATTTTCTGTACATACTCCTGTCAAATGAAGTAATTTCTTGTACACCAATTCTCTTGCCAACTAGTCTTCTTTTTATTTATTTATTTATTTTTTTATTTGACCTAGATCGGCTACGAGACCTAGAGAAGGATCTGGACGGCTTGTGATTTCCCTCCCAAGACAGAGATCTCTCTCTTCTCCTATCTCTAGAAAGGGACCTGCTCCGGCTGCGAGAGAGGCTTCTTCTTGGAGATCTACGACGAGGTGGAAGACTCCTCCTATGATAATCATCTCAAGGACGATGACCCCAAGAGGGAGGTGGGCTACGATTTCTACTTCTTTTATCACCATTCGACAGTTCCACTCTTACACAGCGGCCACATAGTGTTCTTCCATCTAGTTCTCAGACCACATCAGCTGCATCTCGGGGATCTTCAAATTCAACAAAAGCAAAGCCGCGAGGGTTTCTAGCAACCCACACACTTTGGAGTGGTCCATACTAGCCAAAAGCCCGTTCCAGTTCGGTCTTGTTGCCATTGTTTCCAAGATTGCCTACATAAACCTTACAGTCCAATGGACAGGAATCACGATGCATTTCGACATCTAGGATAAAAAATGCGGAGGCTCAAATCCATACGCTCCGATGGGTCTTCCCGCTTTCCTCCGGCCCAGTACCCAGCGATGCTCTCGCTCACCCGGCGTCCACGAAATGGCAGTCCATTTTTATTTTTATTTAAGTCATTTGCATCTTTTCTCTTTTGTTTTTTGTCAGTCTAGATAGAAGTTTGTCAATTTTGTTTCTCTTTCCCAATCAATTATTTATTGATTTTTTTCTATCGTTTATTGTCTCTACTTTTTAAAAATCTCTGCTCTAATCTTTATTACTGTCTTATTTCTGCTATCTTTGGGTTTCGTTTGCTCTTCATTTTCTAGTTCCTTACGATATAAAGTTGAGTTATTGATTTGAGATCTTTTGTAATATAGACATTTACAGCTGTCAACTTCCCTCTTAGCCCTGCTTTTTTGTTGCATCTCATAAGTTTTGATATGTTGTGTTTTTATTTTCATTTATCTCAAGATACAAATATTCTTTGTGGTTTCTTCTTTGATGCATTAGTTTTGTGAGAGTGCATTGTTTAATTTCCACGTATTTGTGAATTTTCTGGTGTTTCTTCAGTTATTGATTTCTGACTTCATACCATTGTGGTTAGAGAGGATACTTTGTGTGATATCTATACTTTTTAATCTATTAAAACATGTTTATGGTGGTCTATCCTAGAGAACATCCCGTGTGTGCTTCAGAACAATGTGCATTCTATTGTTATTGGGCTGAGTGTTCTGTATATGTCTGTTAGGGCTAGTTGGTTTATTTTGTCGTTCAAGTCCTCTAATTTCTTATCTTCTCTCTGGTTGTTTTATCCATTATTGAAAGTGGAATATTGAATTCTCAAACTATTACTCTAGGATTGCCTGTTACAATTCTGTCGTTTTTGCTTCATATATTTTTGTTATTAGGTATGTAAATATTTATACTTGCTATATTTTTTTTCTGTTTTAAACCTCTTATTAATGTCCTTCTTTGTCTCTTGTAACCTTTGTGGATTTAGAATCTATTTTATCTGATATTACTATAGCCACCTCAGCTCTCTTTTGGTTACTATTTGCATGAAATATTTTTTACCATCCTTTCACTTTCAACCTATTAGTGTCTTTTGTCCTAAAGTGAGTCTCCTGTAGATAATAATTAGATCCTGTTTTTCTGTATCCATTTTCCGCATCTCTGTCTTTCAATTAGAGAACTTAATCCATTTATACTTAAAGTATTTACTGATAAGGAGTAAATATTATTGCCATTTTGTTATTTTTTTTCTATTTGCCATTTCTTTATTGTCCCCTTTTTCTTCCATCATTGCCTGTTTTGTGTTTAGCTGACTTTTTTCAGGGAAAAATTTTTATTTTCTTCTTATTTCCTTTTGAGTATATTGTATAGATATTTTCTTTCTAGTTACCATGAGGATTATATTTAACTTATTAAAGCTACAACATTCTATTTTGAATCTACACCAACTTAACTTCAGTAGCATACAAAAACTCTGCTGCATGCATCTTTGTCTTCTGCTTTTTGTTATTGATGTCCCAAATTACATCGCTATATATTGTGTGCCCAATAAATAGGTTAATACTTGTTTTTTGCATTTGTCTTTTTAAAGTGCAGAAAATTATTAATAAAAATGGAATTATAAGTGAAAATTACAATAATACTACCTTATAATTGCCCATGTATTTATCTTTACCAGAGATCTTCATTTTTTTCATATGGCTTCGAGTTAATTCAAATATAGATGTATTTATTTAAGGCATGTTTCCTACCACCAGCACTGGGCACATGTTCAGATTGGCAATCAGATCCATAAGTCTCAATGGCTTTAATTTAGCACTGCATTTACTTAGCTGTACAGAGAATGAAGAACAGAAAATACAGTATACCCAACATCTTACAGCTCACTGGGAGGCCCAGCAGTACCCATGCACATAGTTTCTCATCCCTTCACTCACCCACATGCAGAGCGTGCACAGTGACTAGAGATGAGACGAAGAGCCAGGCGTGGTGGCTCACACCTTTAATCCCAGCTCTTTGGGAGGTCAAGGAGGGCAGATCATGAGGCCAGGAGTTTGAGACCAGCCTGGCCAACATGACGAAACCTCGTCTCTACTAAAAACCAAAAATTAGCCGGGTGCAGTAGCACGCACCTGTAGTCCCAGCTACTTAGGAGGCTGAGACAGGATAATCACTTGAAACCAGGAGGCGGAGGTTGCAGTGAACGGAGACCACACCATTGCACTTCAGCCTGGGCTACAGAGCAAGACTCCATCTCAAAAACAAAAACAAAAACAAAAACAAAAGAGGTGAAGGTGTATGTGGTTCATATTGACAGAGGGAAGTCCCCGCCTTGGTTTCCCATGAGTCTTTTATATTCTCCTTGTGATGAAGGCTCCAGGCTTGTGTGCATTCCCAGGGCAGGAACAGTTACAGACCAAGGGCTTCACAGTAAACAAAGTAGGTGACCAGTTCCCAACATACATTATTCCACATTGAACTTGATACATTTCCAAGGAAACAGTGTTGTGAGAAGGCGGCCTAGGTCTGTCCAGGATCTAGGCCCACAATTAATTAATACTTTACTCACAGCATTCAAAAGGGAAAAAAGAATAATATATACACGTATGGCCAGGCATGCTGGTTCACGCCTGTAATCCCAACACTTTGGGAGGCTGAGGCGGGTAAATCTCTTAAGCCCAGGAGTTTGAGACCAGCCTGGGCAACGTGGCAAAACCCTGTCTCTACAACAAATAAATACATAAATAAAATTAGCTGGGCATGGTGGTGTGAGCCTGTGGTCCCAGCTACTCAGGAAGCCAAGGTGGGAGGATCACCTGAGCCCTGGGAGATGGAGGCTGTGGTGAGTCATGATGGTGCCAGTGCACTCCAGCCTGGGTGACAGAGCGAGACCCTGCCCTCCCCCAAAAAAACAAAAGAAAGAAAGAAGAATACTTAAGTATCAAATCCTCCAGCTTAAGAAATGAAACAGGCCAGACATGGTGGCTCATGCCTGTAATCCCAATACTTTGGGAGGCCAAGGCTGGGGGATCACCTGAGGCCAGGAGTTCAAGACCAGCCTGGTGGCCGTGCATGGTGGTTCACGCCTGTAATCCCAACACTTTGAGAGGCCAAAGGGGGCGGATCACAAGGTCAGGAGTTCGAGATCAGCCTGGCCAATATGGTGAAACCCCACCTCTAGTAAAAATGCAAAAATTAGCCGGGCGTGGTGGCGGGCACGTGTAGTCCCATCTACTTCCGAGGCTGAGGCAGGAGAATCGCTTGAACCTGGGAGGCAGAGGTTGCGGTGAGCCGAGATCATACCACTGTACTCCAGCCTGGGTGACAGAGTGAGACTCTATTAAAAAAAAAAAAAAAAAAAAGACCAGCCTGGCCAACATGGCGAAACTCCATCTCTACTAACAATACAAAAATTAGCTGGGTGCAGTGGCATGCCCTGTAATCCCAGCTACTCAGGAGGCTGAAGCTGGAGAATCTCTTGAACCTGTGAGGCAGAAGTTGCGGTGAATGGAGATCATGCCACTGCACTCCAGCCTGGGCGATAGAGCGAGACTCTGTCTCAAAAAAATAAAATAAAATAAAACAAAATAAAATAAAATAAAATAAAATAAATAAAAATAAAGAAAATAAAATAAATGAAACAATAGCAATTCCTCTGTGCATCCTTCCCCTCTTCACCCCTCCAGGTCTGCCTTCGATTTGAAATTTATCTTCTGCTGCATTATTTTAGTGTTAAACAAGTTTACATCACTGACAATATACTTTAATGTAAGCAAAATATATGTAGCGATAAACAGATGACAATTTAGTGACCTCTACATGTGTAACAGATAAAAAAAAAAACTGCAACAACAAGCAGTCCTCTCTTCTACACTTCCCACATCCATCTGCCAGCCAGAAAATCTTCAGATATCCATATATATTCTGACAGTTTAAAAATAAATAAATAGTTATCAATACCAGTACTACGCTTTCAGCTTTTTCATCATATGTCATACAGGGTACCTGTCACCTAGAAAATTGAGCTATTTGGGCAGGGCGTAGTGGCGGGCACCTGTAATCTCAGCTACTTGGGAGGCTGAGGCAGGAGAATCACTTGAATCTGGGAGGCAGAGGTTGCAGTGAGCCGAAATCGCTCCAGCCTGGGCAACAGAGTGAGACTCCATCTCCAAAAAAAAAAAAAAAAGAAAAGAAAAGAAAAATATGAGTCATTAATAAACACACCACCTGTTTTAACACACAGTCAACTTAACTATCAGATTGGCAAAAATACTTACAAATCCCAGAACTCGCCATTGGCACAAGAGTAAGGAAAATAGCCTCTTGGTGAAGGCTTTCTGGAAGGTAGACTGTGTGTGTGTGTGTGTGTGTGTGTACACACATATATAATTATATAGAGTTATATAATTACATCTGTTAATATTTAATGTATGTATTCATTTGAGCCAACAATGCCACAGTTAGGAATTTCTCCTCTGGAAATATCCAAACAAGTGTCAATGCCTGACGCTCACGGCAGGACCGTTAATCTAGTAGTAAATGGGACCCAGCCTACATGTCCCTCAGTTGGGGTTAATTAAACATATTGTAGTTCATCCATTCAATAAACTCTCATTCGGTCATTAAAAATGTCTGTGTCGGCCGGGCACCGTGGTTCATGCCTGTAATCTCAGCACTTTGGGAGGCTAAGGCGGGCGGATCACGAGGTCAGGAGATCGAGACCATCCTGGCTAACACAGAGAAACCCCGTCATTACTAAAAATACAAAAAATTAGCCGGGCGTGGTGGCGGGCACCTGTAGTCCCAGCTACTCGGGAGACTGAGGCAGGAGAATGGCGTGAATCCGGGAGGCTGAGCTTCCAATGAGCCGAGATCGCGCCACTGCACTCTAGCCTGGACGACAAAGCGAGACTCCGTCTCAAAAAAAAAAAAAAAAAAAATGCCTGTGTCAAACTGTATATACTGACATGAATAGAAAGGTTATGTTGTATTGTTAAATTTTATTTGTTTTGTTTGTTTGTTTGTTTTGAAATGGAGTCTCACTTTGTCACCCAGGCTGGAGTGCATTGGCACGATCTCGGCTCATTGCAACCTCTGCCTCCCAGGTTCAAATGATTCTCCTGGCTCAGCCTCCTGAGTAGCTGGGATTACAGGCGCGTGCCACCATGACCGGGTATTTTTTTTTTTTTTGTATTTTTAGTAGAGACGGGGTTTCGCCATGTTGGCCAGACTGGTCTTGAACTCCTGACCTCAGGTGATCCACTCACTTCAGCCTCCCAAAGTGCTGGGATTATAGGCATGAGCCATTGCGCCCGGCCTGTATTGTTAAATTTTAAAAAGCAAGTTACAAAACAGTATGTGGAACATGACCCTGTCTCTGGATTAAAAAAAAAAAAAAAAGTCTATGTACATATGCAGAGAAAAAGCCTGAAAATCAGGACAGCCAAATGCCAGCAGCATTTTTGAGTGGCTGGGTAATAAGTGATTTTTTTCTGTATTTTCTGAAATGTTTACAGTGAACATGGATTATCGTTATTAAAATAAAGCCACAGAACAAAGAAATAAATAATATTACAATAAGTATTTGATTAAGGATACTTCCTTTTAAAGATATGAGATATATATTTCTTAGAACTTCACAGGTACTTATTTTTGTGATATATTATATACAATATTAACCAGTACTTTGACGAGGGGTATAGAAGTTATTTTGACTAGGCCGGGCATGGTGGCTCATGCCTGTATTCCCAGCACTTTGGGAGGCCGAGGCGGGCGGATCACAAGGTCAGGAGATCGAGACCATCCTGGCTAACACGGTGAAACCCCGTCTCTACTAAAAATACAGAAAAATTAGCTGGGCGTAGTGGCGGCCACCTGTAGTCCCAACTACTTGGGAGGCTGAGGCAGGAGAATGGCGTGAACCTGGGAGGCAGAGCTTGTAGGGAGCCGAGATCCCGCCACTGCACTCCAGCCGGGGCAACAGAGCGAGAAGTTACTTTGACTAAATTTAGTGTTACTGACTGAAATTTGGACATAATCCACTACTACATCTTTTATTCAATAGCAACCATATCCATGAATCTTAAAGCCCTTCACTGCCATAATAAATAAATCTCCACATTATTCCCTCACAGGGAAGATAAAGAAATGCTGTCGTGATTTGGGGAGCGTTCAGTCTGAGAGGCGGGATGACTAGACCTGGCTGGTGGGAGGGTCCTGGCCCTTCTCCTCCATCATCGACACATCCAGGGTTTGCGGGCAAGACCCCTGGGCTTGGATTTTAATTCTTTGTTCATAAAATAATGGAAATAATCCTTCCCATTCCTTTCCTCACAAAGGTGTTGAAGGGGTCTTAGTGGCTTGAATGAAGGTGCCATTTCAACGTATTCAACACTGGGCTTTGTCATTGGAAGTACATCAAGGTTAGTACTGGCAATTGGCTCCAACTGTGAAACTCACAAAGTGGGCCTTTTCCCTCACATCACTTCACCATTTTTGTCCCTGAATCCGATCATAATTCTACCTGAAACCTCAGTGCTGAATGAGGGGCTTTCCAAAATACACAGTGAACAACTCAAATCTCCATATTCTTGCCTGTTTCTTGGAGACAGCCCTGATAATTAGCTGATCTCTGTCTGAGGTGCTAAAAACCTTCAGCCTGAAACACATTTTTTTTTTTTTTGAGACAGAGTCTTGCTCTTGTTGCCCCAGCTGGAGTGCAACAGCACAATCTCAGCTCACTGCAACCTCCCACCTCCCAGGGTCAAGCGATTCTCCTGCCTTAGCCTCCTGAGTAGCTGGGATTACAGGCACCCGCCACCACGCCCAGCTAATTTTTTGTATTTTTAGTAGATACGTGGTTTCATCATGTTGGCCAAGATGGTCTTGAACTCCTGACCTCAGGTGATCCACCCACCTCAGCCTCCCAAGGTGCAGGGATTATAGGTGTGAGCCACCGTGCCCAGTCACCTGAAACACACTTGGAACTTCTTGCCAAGAAATAACAATTTTGGGTTGTGAATTATGACCAGAACATCCACAGTGAAAATGCATGTTTCTTGGCAGTGAGCATATTGGAAGTGTAGATTAAGGAGAGAGGGGAGACACAGTAGCCAAGAGCAGGCCCAGGTGGAAGAAGGGGAGAAGGGAGGATGAGGGAACAGAAGACAGGGAAAGGAGGGCTGTGTCACACTGAGTGGGCTCCTTCTGCCAGAGCCTGCCACACTTTGTGTACACCTCCTGCAGCCTGCGTCCTCCCTGCATTCTGTACAGGGCTTTGGTATCTATTTAGGTACCTAAAATGAAATAAAAAAGAGTCTTTTTAAAGAGTTGGCCCAATGTATGTACTGAGGGACAAGTAGGAGAATTTTTCTGTAGCCAGCTTGGGGAACACTTCTCTCTCTCCTTTCCTGGGGTTCACCAGCAACAGGCCAAGTAGCCCAAGAACAGAGAGGCTGCCCTGAATTTCTTTTTTTGAAATGGAGTCTTGCTCTGTCACCCAGGCTGGAGGGCAGTGGTGTGATCTTGGCTCACTGCAACCTCCATCTCCCAGGTTTAAGCAATTCTCATGCCTCATCCTCCCTAGTAGCTGGGACTACAGGCGCACGCCACCATGCCTGGCTAAGTTTTGTATTTTTAGTGGAGATGAGGTTGCACCATGTTGGCCAGGCTGGTCTCAAATTCCTGCCCTCAAGTGATCCGGCATCCTTGCCCTCCCAAAGTGTTGGGATTACAGGTGTTGAGCCACCGCACCTGGCCTGAATTTCCCTGGAGTCTTCGCTTGCCTCAAGCCAGCACTTCACCTGTTTCTGTGTTCTGGGATCTTGGTATTGTACTCCCTCTTGGGGTTTTCTGAGTGTAACCAGTTATCCTATTTTCTAACTACAACAATCATAAACCAGGGAAGCATTTCCTAAATGAAATAGTGTCAGAATATTCACTCTTTGGCCTCAGTCTATTACCACTCGATCCAACTACGTCCACCCATTTTCCTCTGGAAAGTTAACTATCAAAGGCAGAACAATGCTTCCCCAGCAGGATGGGTCATGTTCCTGGATTATAAGACCTGGGCAGGGCAGGACACTGGTTTCCAATATCTCAGGCATCCTCTTGCTAAGGCCCTGTCTAATCTTTGCAGTGCCTGCTTGGAGAAAGCCCCAGTCCCAAGCCCAGCCCAGCTGTCCTCAGCAGAGGGACACAGCTCCACCTCCATCCCAGCCCTCTGCCTCTGCAAGGCTTCCCCTGGCATGAAGTGACAGGAATAGGACAGGACGTGCTTGAACTTGAGAAAATTCCTCGTGTGTCTAAAGACTAGTGATGCTGAGTGCTGCAGGCCAGGAGGTCAGAGGATAAGACCCATGGGAGCCCAGATGAGCAGCACCTTCTCCCCATCAGGTGTGGGTGCAGGAGTCCTCGAGTAAATGACAAGCCTGAGCTGGGTCCCGAAGGATGGAAGGCAGTGGGCTGAACCAGGAGGGAGGAACAGAATGTTCCAGGCAGCAGCAGGAGCTAAGAAGTGTGGGCGCTCATTGAGAGGCTTGTAACCAATGCAGGCCAGTGGGCACCCGGCACAGGAAGGGGAGCAAGCAAGGCTGGGTCGGGAGGGCTTAAATACCACGTCAGGGACTCAGACTGCCCGTACTGGGGAGCCATCAGGAGCTTTTAAGTCAGGGAGGGTCTGATTGTTCCTTTTCTTTTCTTTTTTTTTTCTTTTTTCTTTTTCTTTTTCTTTTTTTTTTTTTTTTGAGACAGAGTCTTGCTCTGTCACCCAGGCTGGAGTGCAGTGGTGCGATCTCAGCTCACTGCATCCTCTGCTTCCCGGTTCAAGCAATTCTCCTGCCTCAGCCTCCCAAGTAGCTGGGATTACAGGCGCCTGAGGCCGTGCCCAGCTAATTTTTTGTATTTTTAATAGAGACAGGGTTTCGTCATGTTGGCCAGGCTAGTCTTGAACTCCTGACCTCAGGTGATCCACCCGGCTTGGCCTCCCAAAGTGCTGGGATTACAGGCGTGAGTCACCATACTCGGCCTTGATTGTTCCTTTTCAAACTTTCTGTCCATTAATTATTGACAGAGGTTGTATCCAAATGTACGGGAAGAATCCCCCTTTCTGTTAGCAGCCATTGATCTACAGGAGCAAAATCAAAAAACAATCAGAGCAACCCAACGTCTGTTATTTCATTTTTTAAATGACAACTACCAAATATTTTACTTTTTTCTTTCTTCTTTTTCTTTCTTTCTTTCTTTTTTTTTTTTTTTTTTTTTTTTTTTGAGACAGAGTCTCATTCTGTCTCCCAGGCTAGAGTGCAGTGGTGCAGTCTTGGCTCACTGCAACCTCTGCCTCCCAGGTTCAAGCGATTCTCCCACCTCAGCCTCCCAAGTAGCTGGAATTACAGGCACGTGCCACCACGTCCAGCTAATTTTTGTATTTCTTTCCTTTTTTTTTTTTTAGTAGAGATGGGGTTTCACTATGTTGGCCAGGCTGGTCTCGAACCCCTAACCTCAAATGATTCACCTGTCTCAGCCTCCCAAAGTGCTGGGATTACAGGCATGAACCACTGCGCCAAGCCTATTTTACTTTTTTTGTTTTGTTTTGTTTTGTTTTTGAGACAGAGTCTCACTTTGTCACTCAGGCTGGAGTGCAATGGCATGGTCTCGGCTCACTGCAACCTCCGCCTTCCAGGTTCAAGCCATTCTCCCGCCTCAGCCTCCCCAGTAGTTAGCATGTGCCACCAAGTCCGGCAAATTTTTGTATTTTTAGTAGAGACGGGGTTTCACTATGTTGGCCAGGCTGCTTTCAAACTCCTTACCTTGTGATCCGCCAGCCTTGGCATCCCAAAGTGTTGGGATTACAGGCATGAGCCACTGCGCCTGGCCCTATTTTACTTTTAAAAGTAGGATTTCGGCCAGGCACGGTGGCTCACGCCTGTAATCCCAGCACTTTGGGAGGCCAAGGCAGGTGGATCACGAGGTCAGGAGTTTGAGATCAGCCTGACCAGCATGGTGAAACCCCATCTCTACTAAAAATACAAAAATTAGCCAGGCTTGGTGGCGTGCACCTGTAATCCCAGCTACTCAGGAGGCTGAGGCAGGAGAATCGGGTGAACCTGGGAGGCGGAGGTTGCAGTGAGCCGAAATTGTGCCACTGCACTCCAGCCTGGGTGACAGAGCTAGACTCCGTGTCGGAAAAAAAAAAAAAAAATAGGCAGTGTTTATGAGTTAAGTGTAGATAATCCAACCCACATGGATGAAATTTCCCTTTAAGTGCTTGACTTTGCTTTTAGAAATTGAGCTTAGATGAGGGGGGAAGGGAGGAAAAGAGCGTTTGGCGGAAGGAATTTTAGAGTTTGTGGAACCAGAATGTAGCAGGGAAAAAAATCTCAAAGGCCTGGCTGGATTTTGTCATTGCTAATGAGAAACAGGTATTGAAAATATGCTACAGCTCCTTGCAAGGAATTGTTGCCTGCTGACCCCTCTGCTCTTCTATGCCTGCTGACCCCAGATGCTAGCACAAGATAAAGCTGCCCAGTTTAAATGTAAATTCTATGCTGTTATTTGCCCTCAGTGGATTTGAAAAAAAAATGTTAGAATTCAGGCTGCAAAGGTCAGTCTAGGAGGCCTATGGAATGTCACATGTTCCCCAACCCATGTGCACCTATTTGGCAAGCTTGCCCTTTCTCTGCTGCCCAGGCATGCTGTTTGGGTCTTTCCAAAAGCCTGTCTGCAGCTCCCAGGGCTGTCGTAACTGCCTACCAGATTTTCAGGCAGAGGTAACAGGTTCCTAGAAAATGTCTTCCAGGCTGGGCATGATGGCTCACGCCCCCAGCACTTTAGGAGGCCGAGGAAAGGGGATCATCTGAAGTCAGGAGTTCAAGACCAGCCTGGCCAACATGGTGAAACCCCGTCTCTACTAAAAATACAAAAATTAGCTGGGCATGGTCTTGGGTGTCTGTAATCCCACCCACTGGGGAGGCTGAGGTAGGAGAATTGCTTGAACCCAGGAGACAGAGGTTGCAGTGAGCCGAGATCGCACCATTGCACTCCAGCCTGGGCGACAAGAGCGAAACTCCATCTCAAAAAAGAAAAAAAGAAGGGAAGAAGAAAGAAAATGGCCAGGAAAGGAAGCTGTGGACAGTGTTTAGGTAGAGGAAACAATTTTACATTGATTTTAAAGGAAAAGTAGGGCTCCAACGGAGTCTCTTTTCAGCTCACAGGAGGCTGCCCCTGTCAGGGGACTGCAGGGGTGGCGCTCCTGAGAGTGTGCCCAGGAAGGACAAGTGTTCACTGGAGAGCCTTCACAGAGCCAAAGCCATCAGAGGGTGTCCTCTGAGGAACGAGGTCCAGTCTATACAGCAGTTTGTCCCAGGGAGGGGTTGCTAAGGCCTGGACCCCAAGATCTCATTCACAGGGCACCATGGGCCTCAGGAGGGCCTTTCCTGCTGTTGCCCTGAGAAATAGGCAACTCTGTGACTCCTCGGGACTGAAAACCAAACAGAACGTACACTCCAACAAGACAGGTCACAGCCACACATGCGGAGCAGTTTCCCAGTCAAGCATTGCTGGTCCCAAGACCCTGGGGTGTCATTTTCCTTCTGTCTTACCACCCTCTCCCACCCAGGCTCTCCTTTCCTATCACTATTTTTGTTTTCTGGTTTGTTCATGTCATCATTAAAATCTCCTGACCCAGCCTGAGCAACATGGTGAAAACCCCATCTCTCTTAAAAATACAGAAAAATTAACTGGACATGGTGGTGCACGTGTGTAGTCCCAGCTACTCAGGAGCCTGAGGTGGAAGGATCACCTGAGCCCGGGAGGTCTGAGGCTGCAGTGAGCCATGATCGTACCACTGCACTCCATCCTCAGCAACAGAGTCAGCCCCTGTTTTTTTTTTTTTTTTTTTTTTTTTTTTTTTTTTTTTAAAAAAAACAACCCTGACCTAAGTGCAAGGCTCTTGTATCGGTTGGAACCCGGAGAGTGCACCAACAAACAACACAAGGCGCCATGGAGCAACACGCTGTTTTAATGAGCACCTGGGTGCAGGCGAGATGAGGTCTAAAATGGCGTCAGCCCCAAGTAAGGATAGGGCAGGGGTTTTTTTGTTTTGTTTTTGTTTTTGAGACAGAGTCTCGTTCTGTCGCCCAGGCTGGAGTGCGGTGGCGCCATCTCGGCTCACTGCAAGCTCCGCCTCCCGGGTTCACGCCATTCTCCTGCCTCAGCCTCCCGAGTAGCTGGGACTACAGGCGCCCGCCACCGCGCCCGGCTAATTTTTTGTATTTTTAGTAGACACGGGGTTTCACCGTGTTAGCCAGGATGGTCTCATCTCCTGACCTCGTGATCCGCCCGCCTCAGCCTCCCAAAGTGCTGGGATTACAGGCGTGAGCCACCGCGCCTGGCCCGAGGCAGGGGTTTTATAGTCTTCCGTAAACAGGAAGTGTCCCACTCTGACGTGACTTCTACATAGTACCCAGAAGGCTTCCCTGTCGCTCTTCAGGGGATATGTGTCTTCCGACCAGCTCTCTTCCTGCTTCTGCTGTCTTGCTGAGGCACGCTGCTGGCCCAAGTGGTCTTGTGCCTTGGGACTGGGCCTGAGAAGGGAGGAGTTATTCATTCCCTTAAGCTTTCAGGCCCTGGGGGAGAATCTTTCACTAAGGAACTTTGGAAGGCAGTTCTGTGGCTGGATCTCATCAGGCCAGGACCATAAGAATGGCACAAAGATGCTACAGTGCAGGTGTGGATTTTCACCTCACAGGGGCAGGTGTACACTCGGGTTGAAGACAGTAAATGTACTATGGTCAAGGAGAGCCAGGTTTCTCACAGCTGGAGAAATAAGTTACAAATGAGGCTAGGTTGAACTTGTGGTGTGAGATCGGCCTCACAGGTGTGGATATGAATTCATGGAGGTTTAAATAGATATACACGGACCAGGTTCAGTGGCTCACACATGTAATCTCAGCACTTTGGGAGGCCGAGGGGGGAGGATTGCTTGAAGCCAGGAGTTCAAAACCAGCCTGGGCAACGTAGCAAGACCCTGTCTCTGTATTAATCCTAAAAAACAGACATACATAGATAGAAATGACAGAAGTGCATACAGATGTGTGAGCATGAGTCACTGTAGATACAGGCCTTGCTAGGTCTGTTGACTGAGAAAATCTAGCAGTGACACCTTAGTAACATGAGCATGCCCTGCTCCCAGATATTGTTTCTAGAGCCCATTCTCCAAGAAGAGAAACCAGGGCTCCTCAGAGAGGAGTTGGTTCTAGGGATGGGGCAGGGAAAATACAAGATGGGCCTGAAGGTCTTATGGAGCCAAAATATAAGAAGTGCTCAAAAATCAAATGGGGACTATTAAAAGGATACAGGGCTCAGCATGCAGGAGCTCATGATGTTCTTAATTATAACCCCCAAATAAAAGTATTTGTTGATACAAATAAATAACTGAATGAGCCACTTGAGTGCATTGAGCCCTATAACACTTTGGGAGGCAGATTGCTTGAGCTCAGGAGTTCAAGACCAGGCTGGACAACATGGTGAAACCCCGTCTCTACAAAAAATACGAAAAGTTATCCGGGCGTGGTGGCACACATCTCTGGTCTGAGCAACTCGGGAGGCTGAGACAGGAGGATCACTTGAGACCAGAACGTGGAGGTTACTGTGAGCCGAGATCATGTCACTGCACTCCAGCCTGTATAATAGAGTGAGACTCTGTCTCAAAAAAATAGCAAGAAAAAAAAAAGTACTGAAACCAATTGATTTAAACATGATTTGAGCTTGATGCTCCAGTTCCACCTAAGAAATGTCCAGCCTCCTGTAGAACTTCCAGTGGCCACTGGCTCAAGGTTTCACTTGCTTCAACACAAACCCAGGGCCCTCCCTGACCTCCTCCCAGCTCCCCAACAACACTGCCAGTGGTCCCCAAGATACCGATGTCCAATCACCATGTGACTGAGCAAAAATGGCGAAACCACCTAAAAACTAAGAATAAAAAGGTATTGAGATATGAAAGCCAGAGGCTGGGAGACAAGGAAATTCTATAATTTATGAAATTAACTACAACCCCCCCACCCAAAAAAAAAATAACTGTTGTGTGAAATTTTCCAGGCATTTTTAAACACCCATATCTTCTCTCATGGTTTAGATTTTGTATTTTGGGTTTTTTTTTTTACCCAAAACTCTGTCTCCTCCCTGTGTTCCATGCTCTTCTCCACTCTCCAGCACCTGATGACTCCAGAAACCATTCATCTACTCTACCCTTGTCCTCACTCTGTCCTTGTCCCTCCCTTGCCCTCTGAATCTGAACCATTTCCTCCTTTGTTTTGTGACCTTCATATAACCCTTCCCACAAACTGACAGCCATTTAAAATAAACCATAACCACAGCAAACCAGCAACCCCAATCCACACGCCCTCTGTGAACCTCACTGACTTGAACATTGCTGCTGATCTCATGGGGCTGCTCTGCCCAGCAGGGGAGGACCACCAGGCCGCCCCGGGGGCAAGTGCTGCTCCTATCACAGCCTTCCACATGCTGGCAGCACCCAGCAGAATGCTGTGCACAGGACGAGTGTTCAGCAAACAGCTTTTGCCTCAAGATCAAACCACATGCTAGATTTCTGAGGGTGTGAGAAGCATGACACTTCTTATATTGCTTGTGAGTATGTAAATTGGTACAACCTCTACAAAGGCAATTTGACAATATTGGCCAAAATTTGAAATATACATACATACCCTTAGATCCAGGGATTCTATTCTTCAGTAATTATCCTAGATATACTGGTGTAAGCGCGAACCTATGTAATCATGAGCATATTCATTGCGACATTGCTTGTCCCACATGTTCATCAATGGTGGCCTGGCTAAATGATCATGTGCACATCTGCACCATGGAATAGTATGCAGCTATTAAAAAAGAAAGAGGGTAGCTGGGCACGGTGGCTCACGCCTATAATCCCAACACTTTGGGAGAGTATGAGACCAGCCTGGCCAACATAGTGAAACCCTGCCTCTACTAAAAATACAAAAATTAGACTGGGGTGGTGGCACACACCTGTAGTCCCAGCTACTTGGAAGGCTAAGGCACGAGAATCACTTGAACTCGGGAAGGTGGGGTTGCAGTGAGTGGAAATCGTACCACTGCACTCCAGCCTGGGCAACAGAGAGAGTCTGCCTCCAAAGGAAAGAAAGAAAGAGGAAGGACTATGTATACTGATACAGACGATGCTGCAAGATATAATGTGAGTGACAAAGGCAACATGCAGAATAGTGAATATAACATATTACCATTTATGTGAAAAAATATATATATTCACAAATGTTCATAAGCATATAAGATATTTATCATAGGATAACCAAGAAACCTAGGAGTGATTGCATTGGGGGTAATTAAATGAAATGAAAGGCAGAGGAGAGAGGAAAACTTACTTTTCCCTTTAGGACCTTCAAAAGTTTGTTCATGTGTGTATTTACCAGTAGAAAATATGGTCGGGTGCGGTGGCTCACGCCTATAATCCCAGCATTTTGAGAGGCTGAGGCGGGCAGGTCACGAGGTCAGGAGTTTGAGACCAGCCTGGCCAACAAGGTAAAACCCCGTTTCTACTGAAAAACAAAAATTAGCAGGGCGGTAGTGGTGCGGACCTGTAACCCCAGCTACTGGGGAGGCTGAGGCAGGAGAATCGCTTGAGCTTGGGAGGCGGAGGTTGCAGTGAGTCGAGATCGCACCAGTGCACTCCAGCCTGGGCGAGAGAGTGAGACTGTCTTGGAAAAAAAAAAAGTATAAGTTTTTGCTTCCAATAACATTTGGGGGAAACTAAAAGCGTTATTAAACTTTAAACCACATGAAAGAAGAATATGAAATAGTCTCCGCTCAGAGTGAAAATGATGAGTAACTGTTGGTAGACAATACCAGTAAAGACACAGTGAATTGGCAAAAACGGACCCCTAAGCGACGGTGCCCTGAGGAGTCACGGAAGTTCGGGTGAAGAGTGCGGGGCCTGGGCAGGAAGTTCCTGGGAGTGGTTTGAACAAACGGTCCTGCAAGGTCAGCCAGACGGGGAGCGTGCTTCAGGGAGACAGCGAGTTCAGCGCTCGGTGGAGCAGCACCGTCGGCCAGGTGCATGGTCACTGAACAGAGGAGCCCAGGCCCACAGCCAACAGGAACACGGGAAGTGACTGGCCCATGTACTAGAAGTCGTATTTACTCTGTGTCCGTCAACCCGCGCCAGCTGTCAGCTCACGGCTCTCGGCCGCCTTTGGGTGGAGGGAGGGCGTTGCCAGAGCAGCATCATAAAGTACATAGGTCTGCCCACGTCGGGACGCGTGGGTCCGCGTCTGCAGGTTCCTATCGCTCCCCGTTTTCTGAATATTGGGAGATATTCCACACCCTGGTCACACTCCCTAACCCAGCTCGCTCCAGGCGTCCCACGCTCAGCGTTCAGGGTCACCTCCCTGCACCCTGGCCGGCCCCGCCCCACCAAACCACGCCCACCTACCGAACCCACCCCCCACCGAACCAAGCCTGGCGGATCCTGCTTCATCAAACCACGTCCACTCGGTGGCTCCTAACTGGGCCAAAGCCCGCTGCCCCTCCGCACCAGCTGGGGTCCTACTTCTCCATCAGGCTCATTACGCACTTCAGTTTTCTTTCCCTAACATGTTATAAGCACTTTAAGGGCGGAGCCAGTGCCTGTGGGATACTTTCAATATCCCTTGAAGAAATGAATGACATAATTGCCCCTTCCCAATCCTGATCACCCCAAAGATGGGGCCAGCTGTCCTCACTGAGGCCAGGAGACTCTCAGGAATGTGAGTCCTGCTAACCCTTAAAGGGACACTTACAGAGCAAGAGTAGCAACAGTGAGAAGAGGGTGGGGTGTCCCGTCACAGCCCTTAGCACATGTCCGCAGAGCAAAGCTAGGTGGCTCCCAGCCCTCGGGGCAGCAACACAGGCCCGCACCTCCACTGCCACAGCTATGCTCTCAGCTGTTGGTGAAAACTTCCCTGGCACCACTCGGGACCTGGGCCCCTCCGCAAGCACTGCGTTGTAGTGACCATGGTTTTTCCTGTGCCTGTGGTTCCTGTGTGTGTCCCTGTCACTCTCGGTCTCTGCAGCCACCCACACCCTTTGCAGCCTTTAAGTCTCTGCGAGTTGGGGAGCAGAGCCCATCTCCTTTCCTGGGTGGGGAGACCTCAGTGCACACAGCACACACCCAAGTCTGTCGGGGATCAGGGCTGGCACAGACTCACCGGTGGTCAGGCCTTCCCACCTTCCCTCCTTATCCTGGGAAACCTGTACTTCTATCCATTCCAAATCAAAGTGCAACGCTTCTACCTCCCCGCAACACACATAACATACACCACACACCAGCTCCTCTTGTTGACGAGGAAGTGAGACCACTTTTGTATGAGGAAATGTGGTCATTTTTATCCAGATGCCAGGTGTACCCCTGGTCCTAGGTAGAAACTGAGCTCCTTCCAGCCTTAGAGGCTTCTGTGAACTGCCCACACACTTGCACAGCTGGCCTTGCCCTGCCCTGGCAGACAGAGGGACCTTGCCCACCTTCTCCTAAAGCCACCCTTGCCCAGCTCTGACTGGAAGGGGCTCTGAGGCAGCGTCTGTGTTCCCTCACATATCCCGATGTTACAGCAGAGGCTCTCAACCCCATGCCAGCTTTAAAAATCCCCAATGCATTTCTGAAAAGAAAACAAACTGCTTTTCTTTACTCTCACACAATACTGCTGATGCCAAATGTGTATTTTTCCCCTCACATTAAGCAATTCTGACACTAAATATCCGGGGTTAGTGCAGACCCCACAAGCTAAGGGCTCAGTCCTACAAGACTGCCCTCACTTCAGACACCAGTCACAATCCTAAGAGCTACCCACAATCCTAACCAACTGACTGTCAATCACAACCCTCTCCTTGGGTTCCATAATTTGCTAGGATGACTTATAGAACTCAAGAAATCACTTTACTTACTATTGGTGGTTCATTACAAGGAATACAACTGAGGAACAGCCGAATGGAAGAGATGGACACGGCAAGGGTGAGGGGTGGGCACTGCAAAGCTTCCAGGCCCTCTCTGGGTACAACAACCTCCCAGCACCTCAATGTGGTCATCAACCTGGAAATTCCCAAACACCCTTTGTTTGTGGTTTTTTATGGCAGCTTCATTACATAGGGACGATTGATTAGATCATTGACCACAGGTGATTAAGTCAGTCTCCAATCCTCCTCCCCTCCTTGGAGGACCAGGGGATAGGGCTGAAAGTTCCCAACCTCTCATCACCAGCGGGATGCTGGGGCAACCAGCCCCCATCCTCCAAGAGTCAGCTCATTAGCATTAGCAGCTCCAGATGTTTGAAAGAGGCTTATTATGAATAATAAAAGATATTCCTCTAAACTTTATCACTCAGGAAATTCCATTCTAAGGGTTTTAGGAGCTCTGTTCCTGGAAATGGGGACAAAGACCAAATACATATTTCTTATTATATCACAATATCAACCTTTCATTCACCAAACATCAATTAAATCAGTGTAAGGAATGGAGAAGTTCTTCAAAGTTTCTTAAAACCATAAAGAGCTTGTCATTTCTTTGCACTATGCATATCTATATATGTTCCAATGCAACTGCTCTGACTTGACCTGGCGTGCCTGGGCAGGGTTAAGTGAGCCCCAGACCATAGTACATGCCATTCCTTATTTGGAAACCCTCCTGACCCTCTCATGACTAGCTTCCTCTTTTCTTTGTCCTCTTTCCCCTTTGCCTATTTAGAAAAGTTTCAAGCTGTTAGCCAATTGGGTCAAGCTTAGAATGTGAGGTCCTGTTCCAGCCAATGCAAACGGGCACAGCCATAGGATGATTGCATCAGGTTACAAAGATTATAAGTGTCCCCCTCTCCTTTGTTCAGGTGTGCTCTCGTGGTAAGGCTGTTAGCGAGCAGCACGCTTTCTGCAGAAAGTAAACTAGCCTTGCTGAGAGATCCTTTGTCTCAGTGTTGATTGTGCGACACTGAGCACCTGTTTCCCACAATTAGAATTTCGGGATGTGGAACCCAGAAATCAGTGGTTGTTTTATTTATTAATTTATTAATTTATTAATCTATTTATTTGCTCAGCCAAATAGATCCCATTTGTAGTCAAAGTTGGGAGCCACAGCCTTGGAGTAATGGGCTGTTTTCATTTACGATGCTTTCCGCTTGGAGAAATGGAAAACCTCAGGTGAACAGTTTAAACAATAATTTCCAGCCAGGTGCGGTGGCTCATGCCTGTAATCCCAGCACTTTGGGAGGCCAAGGTGGGTGTATTATGAGGACAGGAGTTCAAGACCAGCCTGGCCAAGATGGTGAAACCCCATCTCTACTGAAACTACAAAAATTAGCCAGGTGCGGTGGCAGGCACCTGTAATCCCAGCTACTTGGGAAGCTGAGGCAGGAGAATTGCTTGAACCTGGGCAGCAGAGATTGCAGTGAGCTGAGATCGCGCCACTGTACTCCAGCCCAGGCAACAGAGTAAGACTTTGTCTCAACAAAAAAAAAAAAAAAAAGAATTTCCTTGCCTTCTATAACAAATAGTCCAGAGATGGAGCAGTTGCAGGGGTTGCTTACCTCTAGGATGCGACAGTGTCACTGAGGACCCAGGCTCCCCCATCTCTGCCGAGGCATCTTCCCATCACCGGTGCCTCCTCAGGCTGTGCCCCCAGCTCCTGGTATCACATCCTTGCACAGCCAGGTCCCCAGGCAGAAAAGGCATCCCCCGGAGGACAGAGCTAGGCTCTCAGAGCAAGGGGAGAGAACAGTGGCTGCCATACCACCCCAGGCCTCCTCACCACCTTCTGGGAGTCTCTTTCTGTACTCGTCACCTGGCCTAGCTCTTTTCAGTGATATCATTAGTTTATCTGAAACTCATTTTGATATTTTGATCCTTTTCGCCTCAGATTATTCTAAGATCATAGCAAGACTCGCTGAGCTCCGTGAAGACTGAACTACAAACTGGGATGGCATGAAACAATGGGATTCATGAGAGAGCTAGTGGGTTGGAAGAAAGGTGTGGTTTCTTTTTTATTATACACTTTTATTTATTTATATATATATTTTTTGAGATGGAGTCTAGCTCTGCCACTCAGGCTACAGTGCAGTGGTGTAATCTTGGCTCATTGCAACCTCCGCCTCCCAGGTTCAAGCAATTCTTCTTTCTCAGCCTCCCGAGTAGCTGGGATTACCGGCGCCCACCACCACACTCGGCTTTTTTTTTTTTTTTTTTTTTTTTTGAGACGGAGTTTTGCTCTTGTTGCCCAGGTTGGAGTGCAATGGCACGATCTTGGCTCACTGCAACCTCCGCCTCCAGGGTTCAAGCAATTCTCCTGCCTCAGCATCCTGAGTAGCTGGGATGACAGGCATGTGCCACCATACCTGGCTAATTTTATATTTTTAGTAGAGATGGGATTTCTCCATGTTGGTCAGGCTGGTCTCAAACTCCCCACCTCAGGTGATCTGTCCACCTCGGCCTCCCAAAGTGTTGGAATTACAGGCGTGAGCCACCGGACCCAGCTAATTTTTTGTATTTTTAGTAGAGATGGGGTTTCGCCATGTTGACCAGGCTGGTCTTGAACTCCTGATCTCAGGTGATTCACCTGCCTTGGCCTCCCAAAGTGTTGGGATTACAGGCATGAGCCACCGCGCCTGGTCTTTTTTATTATATACTTATTTGTACTATTATAAACAGAGGAAGCTCCTGCTGCTGTCTACAGACCCTTTGATTTCAGTGACCAAGCCGAACTAGCTCCCTCCCAGCACTGCTGTGGGTGTTTGAGTTGTGAGTTGGGGAGCCTGCCTACCTCTTGGTGTCCCTCTCCTACTTCCTGGTTATCCTTTTATCTGGCATTCCTCGGCCTTGGGTGCACGCCGGAATCTTTCCATGTCATTGTGTACTGACCTAGCTCCTTCTTTGTCATAGCTATATGGAATTCACTTTTACAAAGTAATTGCAGCCTATTTATCCCTCACTGATGCACGTTTACGTTTATGGTTTTCTGGCTTTTTTACCATCACCCGCAGTGCTGCAGTAAATTTCCTTCCACAGATATTTTGGGTTGTATTGCATGGTGAATTCCCCTACAGGGGAATTGCTGAGTCAAAGCATATGTGTATGTTTTGTAGATATTTCCAAACTGCCCTCCAAAAAGTGTGTTCCGATTTTCCCTCTCCCCACAGCAGCACATGGGAACGCCTGTCTTTGCACTCCTCCACCACCATCGCAGACTGGCACTCTGGAAGACACTTGCCAGCCTGAGATGTGAAAAACACCACACAGTTTTTATTTGCATTTTCTTCGTTATGATCCTGGTGATAATAATGTTTTAAAACAAGAACAAGCTGCCTTAAATTGCTGCCTTGGGTGGGGGCAGAGTGAGGGTGGATGGAGAATGAACCATTTCCTATAAAAGCAGAGAGAGGCACAGCAGGCTGCCCTGGCGAAACTCGCCAGGTGTCTTTTTATTTTTATTTTTATTTTTTTATTTTTATTATTTTTTATTTTTTGAGACGAAGTCTCTCGCTGTCGCCCAGGCTGGAGTGCAGCGGCGCGATCTCGGCTCACTGCAAGCTCCACCTCCCAGGTTCACACCATTCTCCTGCCTCAGCCTGGCGAGTAGCTGGGACTACAAGGCGCCTGCCACCACGCCCGGCTAAATTTTTGTATTTTTGGTAGAGGCAGGGTTTCACCATGTTAGTCAGGATGGCCTCGATCTCCTGACCTCGTGATCTATATGCCTCGGCCTCCCAAAGTGCTGGGATTACAGGCGTGAGCCACCGCGCCCGGCCTATTTTTATTTATTTATTTTTTTTGAGACGGGATCTCGCTCTGTGGCCTAGGCTGGAGTGCAGGGGCTGGGTCACGGCTCACTGCAGCCTGGACCTCCTGGGCTCAAGCGATCCGCCCCGCTCAGCCTCCCAGAGTGCCAGGATCACAGGCATGAGCCACCGCTGGGCCAACGTCTTTTGATGGAGCCTTGGTTAGACCCTCAGCGTGAGGAAGGCCTGGCTTAGACTGGAATGCCTGTCTCAGGTGAACAGAAAGGTGGGACATGCACCCAGGGACGGGCCTCGTTCTCAGAGACGCGCCACAGTCCTCCCGCCTCTGTCTGGGACTGACGCCCCCTGTGAGGTCTTGTCAAATTCCAGCTGGCCCACCTCCACCCCAAGGTGGAGTAGGCGGGTCTAGCGGCCCTTGCTGGAGTGCGCAGGTCCCTGCTACCAACAGTCACTGAACAGCCGGGGAGTAGCCGGGCAGGGCAGCTCCCGGCCGGATTCAGAAGATCCTGTGCGGGTGAGGAGCCCGCCTGAGTTGCATCTTCCACTGGGGGAGAGGAAGTAGGGGCAGAGTTGAGAACCTGAGGGAAATTCTGGACACGTCCCCTTTCCACTCCCCCTATCCCTGATCTTGAGCCCCACAAAGCAGGCCAGCTCACCATCACACCCCCAAAAGCCCTAGGCAGGTGCGGGGGCACAGAGTAGGCACACAGTAGGTCTTTATTGGATATATTAATGAACTCAGTGTTGGGGGCGGGGACCATTCACAGGCCCCATCCCCAGTTTAACAGCCCTGCACTAGAGAAACCCCCCTTCTCCCCGAGGCGACAACCGGGCTGGTGGCCTCCCCAGGGGCGCAGGACCAGACTGCTTGGGAAGAGTCCGGTTCTTCCATTCCACTTATCTACCTGCCCCCGTGTCCAAAATCTTTTAAAGGAGGCTAAGGACGCTATCTAGCTTAGTGTAGGTGTAAATGTGTTAGTGTGAAGTACTTAAGATCGTTCCAGGCCGGGCGCGGTAGCTCACACCTGTAATCCCAGCACTTTGGAAGGCTGAGGCGGGTGGATCACGAGGTCAGGAGTTCAAGACCAGCCTGGCCAAGATGGTGAAACCCCATCCCTGGTAAAAATACAAAAAATTAGTCGGGCCTGGTGGTGGGCGCCTGTAGTCCCCGCCACTCAGGAGGCTGAGGCAGAGAATTGCTTGAACCCGGGAGGCAGAGGTTGCAGTGAGCCAAGATTGCACCACTGCACTCCAGCCTGGGTGACAGAGTGAGACTCCATCTCAAAAAACGCAAAACAAAACAAAACAAACAAACAAAAAAAACCTGTTCCTGGCTCTATTGATAGTCAGTAAATGTTCCTATCATTATCCTGGCCTCCTGACAGTCTACCTAAGACCCTCTTCCCAACCTGCCCATGGCCATTACAGCTGGGAAGCTTCCCCTTCACCCTCAGAAGGTTTGCTGAAAAATCAACTCACAAAGAGGCAGATTAATAAGAGAAAAGGCACGCAAATGTATCACCACCGTGCACACTGGATATGCACACTGGATAATCACAGTGACAGCCTGACATCCTAGTGAGTACAGATGCTTATACATCCTAATTCTAGGCTGGATGCAGTGGCTCACACTTGTAATCCCAGCACTTTGGGAGGCCGAGGCAGGCGGACCACCTGAAGTCAGGAGTTCGAGACCAGCCTGGCCAATATGGTGAAACCCCGTCTTTCCTAAAAAATACAAAAATTAGTCAGGCCTAGTGGTGGGCACCTGTAATCCCAGCTACTCCGGAGGCTGAGGCTGGAGAATCACTTGAATTTAGGAGGCAGAGGTTGCAATGAGCCAACATTGTAGCACTGCACTCCAGCCTGGGCGACAGAGCAAGACTCCGTCTCCAAAAAAAGAAAAGTATACACACTACTTCTTAGGGAAAAGGTAGATGAGGAAGTGTGGATGAT